>NC_000002.12:237489618-237843128 GCF_000001405.40 Homo sapiens
CAAGAATAACACCACACGACACACCTTGGCTCTGAGTCAGAGAGAGCATTCCTGCTGTTGTTAGCTTGCCAGTTTGTTTGCCCAGGCGAGTAATCACCCACAATCACCATTGTTCCAAGGCTCCCCAAGCAGCCAGCCCAAGAGCTAGTTAAGCCAATTCTTCATCCAGGAGGAACCCCCACCCTGATTTCCCTTCAATTTGGCCAAAAAATTAATTCAACTCTTTAGCGGATAAAGATGACACACTACTGGAATTCAGCAGTCTGGGCCTGGGATACCCATCTTATAAAACCAGCTCCACTCTCTCCTCCCTGCCTATTAATCCCTGTGTCCCGTCCCTCTGCCCCACTATGGCTATTCAACTGCTGGGGAAGGCTGGCTGTCTCCAATGTTTAAAATATGATCGAATCTGAGCAGTGGAACAGGCAGTAAGTGGAAGTGTTTTGTTCAGGAACCTCGTGAGCAGGCGTTATCTAAACAGAAATGGAACAAGGAGCAGATAGAGCAGGGTGGCGTCTGCCCTCCCCCAGCACATACTCTGGGAGCCCCCACCCCACCCAGCTAGGGCAGGCACAGAGCAGCCCTGCACTCCTCATGGGTCTAGCATATTCTCTGCCCTCACCTCCCTGAGCCCATGGAGGTCGAGGCAGCAGTGAGCCATGATTGCACTATCGCACTGCAGCCTGAGCGACAGACCAGGACCTCATCTAAAAAAAAAAAAGAAAGAAAACCATTTGAAAGGGGATAGAATGGGGGAGGGACAGATATCCAAGCAGCCTCTAGGACATTGGTTGTGATGCTCTGTGATCTTTTTATCCATTCACTTCCTGGTCACTGACTGTGCTCTAAGAATGTGAAGCTTGCAAGACAAGAAAAGCAGGTTTTTCCTTTTGTTTTGCTTTTCTTCCTCACACATCATGATTTAAGTTTCTCAAACTGAGGCCTGGAATTTTGGCTTCTATGTTAGGAGAAGAGAGGGAATGATAATGCCTCAGCTGATGGTCACACTGTCCATCCATTCTGAAAATAGAATGTCGGTGAATGCTCTTCTTATGATCCCTTTTTTTTCAGAACTCATGAAAAATAAAAGTGAATGAACTCCAGTCATGCATCAAATAATAACTTTTTGTTCCAATTCTTTAGAAACCAGAAAGTGTGTGCTCTGTGAGAGCATCAAAAATGAGTTCGGTAGTAAGTCCATTTCTTGACCAGAACCTAAATCTGACTGTAAAGGAACAGAGTTTGAATGCTCCCAGGGCATTGGGGCAATCTCTTCTTGTATTGCAAACACTCAACTTTATGTTTGAGAGTGGAAATGTTGACGAATGGGTGCAAAAAAATTCAACGAATTATCCTTCTCCATTTTTATGGCATAAGCCAGGGACTATTTTGGCTGACTTCCATGACAGCTCTGTAGACATTTTTATTTTAAATGGTATCTGCCCAGAAAATGTCCCTTTTCATAGTTAACCTCTTGTGCAACAAAATCGAAGTACGTCTCCAGCACAGGGGGAGTTTTGTTAGTATTTTTATGATAAACGCTTCCAAATGGTCAGCAGCACTGATGGGAGATGCTTCTCAGAATTCAGAAGCAAAATTGTGTCTTTTTGGTGGTTTTGAGACTTCCCCCTGAAAGCACACAGATTGGACCCCTTCTCTAATGTTCCTGAGAAAATAGGTTCAAGTCCTCAAGGAAAACTTATTGAAATTACGAGGTGGTTTTTAAACTTTCAGTTACTCACAACAGAACTCCCAGTCATCCATTCCCCAAAGCGTCAGTGCCCAGAGCAGAGCTGGTCTGTCTGTAGCTGCAGCATCTGAGGGCCGAGGGCTTCCCTGGCACAGCCTGCTGCACACCAGGGAGCTGCAAGCACAGAAAAGCACCTGCCATGTGCTGGGAACGGACAGAGGTGCTATTCTTGTGGAGCTTAACAATAACTAATGAGACATCACCAACTGTTAAGGGGTATAAAGAAACGTTAAAGGGATGGGGACAGGTGAAGGAGTAAAAACCACAGGATGATCAGGGAAGTCCTCTGTGGGGAGCGTGCACAGTTTTGCAGTGTCCCAGTGTGCATGCATTGGTGGTGAAGTTCTCCCTGGTACAATTGTTCCTCCAATTTTATACCCAGCAGTAATGTCCACATCAATATAAGCTGTGAGGCCTGTGTGATATTGCCATATGAAAAGCCAGCAAGTGGATCTGTCATTCTCTGCTCAGCCACCACCACTGCATCACTCCCCTGCCTCACACCCATCAACCACCTGACAGGATGTACAGGCCAAGGTCCTCTGTGACTCGCCGCCCACTACCCAAGTGAATGAGTCTCCCCTAGAGCTTTGCTACTCAGAGGGGTCTGAGGACAACAGCATGGGCCAACACGTGCACTCGAGCTGCCTGGAGATCTTGTTCAAAGGCAGATTCTGAATGAGTAGGTCTGGGTTGGAGCCTGAGAGTCTGTACTTCTAACAAGTTCCCAGGGGATGCTGCCAGTCCACGAACCACATTTTGAGTAGCAAGCAAGATTCTAAGGTTCCACCTATCTTGGCTTTTGACATTTGGATTTTCCTTCCTCTGTCCTTTGGACATTGATTGGGATCAGGTCTGATGAACTTCAAAAAAAAAGGGCATAAGATCATCTGAGGTTTGACTTCTTGGTCATCAGGTTACCTACAAACACAGCATCACATAGTGCATTGGGTGGGGCCGCTGCTCTGCTGAGCAGCTGAGTCACACCAGATTCTCAGACAGGCACCATGGCTCTTTGGGAGGCCAAGGCAGAAGGATTACTTGAGCCCAGGAGTTCAAGACCAGCCTGGGCTGCATAGTGAGAACTCGTCTCTAAAAAAAAAAAAAAAAATTAAGTAAAATTTTAAAAAATTTAATTAGATTTGCTGAGGGTGAGGCCTGGCCACCAGTAGTGTTAGGTGATCCTAATACACCCCAGGCATGAGAATCCCTGCTGGGCAGCCCCACAGCTGACCTCTCGAGTAAATAAATCTCAGCACCTACTGCTCATCCTGCCCAGATGTTTTGTTCTCCCAAGTTGCATCACTTTTGCCTCCCCAGGGAAATTATGTGGATATTCCCAGCACAAGCACATCGCCCTCACAGGCATCAGGCTCATATGACCTCCCCCTGGAACCACCCCCAAACACACACATGGCAAACCTAAACAGCCCCCCACGCCCAGAGGATGGTGAAACCTTCCAAGTGCTGTGGAGTCTCCCAACTTTTCCACCTAGTGGGTCAGTCATCCAGGCGTCCCTGCCCACACAGAGCCTGCAGCATCGCTCTAGGAGGTCTAGGAGATGCACAGGAGACTCTGAGCTGACTATGAATTTGCTGTGAAGTTTCCTCTTTTCTGTGCTGTTCCCTCTCCCAAGAAACTTAAGGCGAGAAGCCTCAGGAATGGCGCATTTCTCCCAGGGTTTTCCATTGCAAAGCCCAACCCTAGGTGAGGGAGAGGAGCCATGCCCCTGGATGGGGAGATCACTGACGTTCATCCCACAGTGGAAAGAAAATGAGAGACCCGTGGCTGAGTGTGTTTGGGAGAGTAGGAAGTAGATCCCTTTTAAAATTCGAATGTGGGAATTTTGCATAGATTCACTTAAATTCATTAAACTACACAAGTTTCCAGACAAGCATTAGAAAACCATTTAACCCAAGTACAGACAGATGTCCTGAGAAGTCAGCAGCGTTCTGTGTTGTCTCTTACTCTGTGACTTGATTGGTATTGGTAGGCTTCTGGGACTGATGACTTGTGATCCTGTGACATTCCAGGTGTGACCCCGACAAGAAGCAGAAATGGGGAAGAAACTGGATCTTTCCAAGCTCACTGATGAAGAGGCCCAGCATGTCTTGGAAGTTGTTCAACGAGATTTTGACCTCCGAAGGAAAGAAGAGGAACGGCTAGAGTGAGTGTGCCGTGCTGAGCCCACGGAGCCCGGGGTCCCTGATCTTCCCCCAGGGCCATCATATGGGTGCTGTCTGGGTGGGTCAACAGCCACGTGCAGGGTGAAGAGTGATGGACAGGAAGCCAGGTCTGGGACACAGCTCTTCTTTCTGGCCTTGGTTTTCTCAATGAGAGGATCTGACTTGCCAAACTGACATTCACTTGTTCTCTGAATAGTTTTATTTCAACTTGACCCAGCTTCCAGGGTGATATATCCTAAGCCAGGTGATACTTAGGCCACATCTTTGAAGAATAGAGCAAAAGGTGATACATGGGGAAAGTCTCCATGCCATTCTGAAACACCTAGATGTTGGAATCAAGTCTTTAGGACAGAGGCTGCCCTTCCACCTCTCTTTTCAGCAATGCCAGGTAGCATCCCGTCCTCACCATGGGTGACCCCAGCACGGTTTTGTTCCACTCTGCCCAGTGACTGGGCTAAAACCCACCCATCCTTGTTCACTCTATCCACTGCGCATCTTCCTCCCCCCTCTATCTTCTGGGCCCCCTTATCCTTTCTTGATGTCTTTAGTAGATTGGGTCACCCTATGGGAAGGAAGCATATGAGGGAAGTAGTTAAGCAAAAGCTGAGAGGATGCTCCCGGCGAAGGGGGGGGCAGAGAGCAGAGGACAGAGGGCAGAGGGTGGAGGGCAGAGGGCAGAAGGCAGAAGGCAGATGGTGGAGGGCAGAGGCCAGAGAGTGGAGGGCAGAGGGCCCCGCTGAAGATGGCAGGAGGGAGCCTGGTGTGCCCCAGGGAGAGCACAGGCTGGCGAGGCTGGAGTGGAGTAAATGAGGGGGCCAGGAAGAGAGGCAGTTGGAGATGTAACAGGTGGGGGGCATGGGATCTGGTGCCAGTCACGGGGGTCCTGTAGAGCTTCACAGGGCCTCACCCTTCCCCTGAGTCACCACAGACCTTCGAGCAGAGCAACAGCAAGTCCTAGTTTCTGTTTCACAGCGGTGGGCTCTGTGAAGTGGCCAGATGCACTTTGCAGGCAGAGCCAGCAAGCTTGACCAGAGATCAGATGGGGGGTCTCCAGGGTGAGAGGGATCAAGGGCAACTTCAAGGTTGTGGCCTGAGCAACTTCAAGGACAGAGTTGAGGTCAGCTCTGCTGGGGAGGCCACAGATGGAGAGGTTTGGGGGAAATGTTTCAGGCATGTTGAAGTGACATCACGCAGGTGTGTTGAGCGGGTGTTGGATACATACACTAGTCCGGAGCTCAGAGGAGATGCGTTACGAGAGCTTCGTAAAGGTGAAGCTTCATATGGTGAAACGGATGAAAGGTATTTGTATTCATTTCTGGGACTGCTGCATATGTGACTTGTACAGTACAGATTTAGTGGTTTAAAACACACAGCTGTCCTGCAGTTCTGCAGGTCAGAGGTCCTAAAATCAAGTTGTCCTCAGAGCTACATTCCAGCTGGAGGCTGGAGGGAGGACCCATCTCTCGGCCTTTTCCAGGTTCTAGAGGCTTCCTGGATTCCCTGGCTCCTGGCCCCTCCTCCACCTCCAAGGCCATCAGCACAATGTCTAACAATGTCTCTTTCTGCCACTGCCTCTCTCTCACCCTCCCTCCCTCACCTGTGCCTCCATGCTCACATCTCTCTCTTTGACTTTCCTGCCTTCCTCTTTCCCCTATGAGGAGAAATATGGTTACATTTAGGAACTGCCCGTATCATCCAGGACCCTCTTCCCATCTCAGGATCCTTAATGTCATTCCATCGGCAAAGTCCCTTTTGCTATGTGAGGTGACATTTTCACAGGTTCTTGGGACTAGAACATGAATGCCTTGGGGCAGGGGGTGGCAGCATTGTTCAGCTGACCCCAGCATTTAAAGCTGCAGGGCCATAGGAGACCGCACTGGAAGGGAATTTGGATGGGGACCAGCCCCGGGGACGTGAGCTCAAGCATGTTGAGGAGACAAAGCACCAAGAAAGGAGAGAGAAGGAGCAGTAGAAGAGGGACTTTGGGTTCCCATGCTGAACAGGGTCCGCAACAAACCGTTAGGTGAAGCAAGAGCAGTTCAGCCCCACATGGAGCAGGAGGCGCTCGTGTTGGTGGGGAGGGGCCGGCGTCAGAGCCTCCCCACCGTGTGATCCCCCACTCTCCCTCGGCCCTGGACCACCAGTCACCCCTGGATTTCATTATAGCCCAGGTTTCACCACCGGCCTCGGGGGAGGGCCCAACCTGCTGGCCCTGGTACAGCCAGTACCAGCCTGGTGGCCATGGCCGGCCACGACCACCTTCTCAAAGCCTGAGCAGAGGCTGCGGACCAGCATGCAGCTGACCGCAGGGCTGACACCCTGTCCCCTTTACTCTGGCAGGAAAATGCGGTCTCACGGGCCCCGTCCTCACCCCTCCACTCTTGAGTCTCAGATCCCCCATTTCCACATTCTGAAGTCCCTCACCCTCTCTTTCCCATTCTCTCTACGTAAACTCAAATGTTCTCTCACTGTTTTCACCAGAGCAGCAATCCCTGCGTCAGCTTTGGCGTTCAGGCTGTGCCAAGGGCAGAACATCGTTCTCATTAGTAGAACCCCCTTCTGGGTGGATCCTTCCCAGGTGCATCCTGCCCTGTCTCCAAGGCAGCCCTGGCTATTGTCAGCCCTTATTTCAAATGGCAACTTGTAACTTCTCATTGCCTGAGTATAGGCGAATGCAGAGAAATGGAAAAGGGGGGAGAACCATGTTTTCCAAGGAGCAGAGGGAGGGAGCAAGTGGGGCCTGGGGGTCCCGGACAGGCACTGTCTTCCAGGGGACTGCTGAGTGGTCCGCCCTGCTCCAGTCCAGGCTTATCTGAAGCGGGTTTAGCAGAAACCCCCATGCGTTTCCTGTCTGTGGCTCACCCCCTTCTGACACCCGTCTTTCCTTATTTCATGCTCTTTTCATCATTTCACATTGCAAAGAAGGGACACACCCAGGTCACCTCCCAGAACTCTTAGGAAAGGACGCACCCAGGTCACCTCTCAGTACTCTTAGGAAAGGACTTTTGTAAGAATATGGGTTCTGATGACCCTGCCTGGTGGGCCGCTGATGGCCAGTTGGTTACAGCCGAGGTCACATTGTTCATTCTGTGCCTGAGGCTGTTTGCTCAGAATGAGCCAGTGGCTGGGGCGTTAATTGGCCCAGTCTGCTATGTGATTAGGGGGGGGCTTGTTAAGTCCCCAGATGTCTTCCGATGGGAAGGGGCCGCATGAGCGTAGAGTACTGTGTTGAAAATGTCAGTGAGCAGAGAGGCAGTGCTATGAAAAGCCTGTGTCAAGGTAGTGTTAGGTCGAGAATACTGAATGCCCAAGTGGCATTGCTATGATGGGTCTTACTATGAGAGTACATGTCAGCAGGTGACACATTTGGGAGGCAAAGAATCATGTAAACCAGTGGTCCCCAACCTTTTTGGTACCAGAGACCGGTTTCATAGAAGACAATTTTTCCACAGATGTGAGGGGCTGGGGGAGGAGGCTGGGGGCAGGGTTGGAGATGGTTTCAGGATGAAGCTGTTCCACCTCATTCTCGTTCTCATAAGGAGCACACAGGCTAGATCCCTCGCAAGCACAGTTCACAACAGACAACTATGGGAGCTCTATGAGTATCTAACGCTGCCGCTGACCTGGCAGGAGGCGGAGCTCAGGCGGGAAATGCTCTCTTACCTGCCAATCACCTCCTGCCGTGCAATTCGGTTCCTCACAGGCCAGGGACACTTACTGGGCCACAGCTGGGGCTTGGGGACCCCTGATGTAAACAGTGTGGTGGCAGAGGTAGTTAAGAGGTTTTTGAGTTTCTTATTGTTTCATTTGTGCTTGTCTTTTGTTGACTGCCCTATTGGTTAAATATGTCACTAAAAGGAGAGCTGCCTCTACCTGTGAGAAGACTTTTCACAGGTGCCTCGTGAGCCCCGGGGAGTGGCAGGGCCCCAGCGTGTGGGCACGCATCAGGTGCAGGTGACTTGAGCACCGCAAGGTCAAAACACGCCTCGCAGTGTGCTCTGCTCAAACCAGGTGGTGTGGACGCTGTGCAAGGCCACAGAGGAAACAAGCATAGAAAAAAGGCTCTGGTTCTTGGCACCAAAATTGGTTCTGCAGAGGAGCTGGCGAAAATACCAGAAATCCATGATGAAACGGAAGATAACTCTTACAATAATGAACCTCCTTCCCTGTCTTTCATCATTGCTAATCTGTGCGTTTAACCAATTTCAACATGAACAGTCATCTGTGTGCTGCCGCCACAGAATCCCGTTCTCTGTAGCGTCTCTCTGGGTGACATCCTCGGGGTCCTCATGTCTGCTCCCGGTCACCGAGTCTTAAATATCTGAATCAGCAAGAGGCTGGATGAAGAAACTGGTGCTCGAGGGACCACTAAGTAGGTGGCGGTAACAAATGTAGCAATTCAGGAGCCGCCCAGCAGTTTCCCATGTGTCTCACAAACTCTGAGAGGGAAGCCCGTGGGCGCGACCCAGCCCGAGGAAACTCAAGGCCACTGATTGGAGAGAGGAGAGAACAGGGGTGGGGGAATTGTGAAACCAAGAAACACACCATCGTTTCTTGGAAAGAGCTTTACTACCCAGAATATGCATCAGGGGAACACAGCATGCAGACTCAAGGCCAGTGCCCCAGAAACAAGTTTGCCAGGGGGTTGATTTGCTTAAGAGCGGATTCACTTAATGCACCAATTATCAAACCAAAGAAAATGCATTTCTTTTAACAGTCTTAAAATTAGCAGATGTGTGTCAGATGGATTCCTGCTCAGTATTTCTCTCCAGATGTGAGCATCAATCACGTTGAAGGACGCTGGGCAGGGTCTGGAGGTGACGCCTGCGCCTTTTCCCACAGCGTCAGAACAACACAACTTTGATTTCTCCTCTGTCAAAGCAGGGACAAACAAGCTGGTCCAGATCCCTGATATGCTGGAGGAAGGAGGGCATGTGACCCTGAGACCCCCATGAGCAGCATCCTGTCCCCAAGCCACGGAAGCTCCTGCTCCCTTGGCCAGGCCTGCCCCTCCCTCCAAGCTGTGCTGTGGACATTCGGTGACGCACACGCCTGACAAGGCTCTCCTTGCTGGCCCTTAGGAGGGATCGGTGAGAAGGAAGGGGAAGCCAGCACGTCTTGATCTAGCCCAGGCAGGCATAATCTCTCTCTCAAGTCATCTGTGCCACTAGGGATTTGGGAATGGGCTGTTTGCTATATAGAGTGGGAGGGCTGTTCCTGCCTCCCACGAGGACACAGTGCTGTGCACCATAGAATCGAAAACTTGAAGATGTACAAAATTAGGATGTTAGCACCACTGGCATCAGATAGGCATTTTAGGATAGATTTGACTTAACACCCATGTCCTATCCCAGGAGCTGCCCGATCAGCAGCCCCTTCTCAGCCTTTGTCCCTCCTGACCCTCTGCTTGTCCTGGGTGTAACTTTCCCCACACTCTCTTGACTTTACTCTGTGGTTAGTTTGAAGCCTCCTCTTTTTCCCGCTGGCCCATTATTGGAATAAATTGCCAATGACAGATCTTCCCGGAGGGTTTCGTCCATATGCTTTCATGGATGGATCTTTTAAATGGTCAAAGAACAGATAAATCCTGTGTGATTTAAACTGCTTCACGGCAGAGTGTTCACTAGCCTCGCCCTGACACCTCATATTGATGAAGATAAAGAAAAATATATACATAGCCCTGTTAAATCATCATATAAATAGACCTAAGGCTGCACTGTCCAGGACAGAAGTTACTAGCCACTAGTGGCTATTAAAATTAATTATAATTAAATAAAATAAAATTATAATTAAATAAAATTTAGCTCTTCAGTCTTATTAGTCACATTGCAGGTTTTTGATGGCCACATGTGGTTAGTGGCCACCATATCAGATCTTTGCAGAGGCCCATTTGGACTAAGGTAGCAAAAGTCTTAAAAGTATGCTCACCTGTTGAGCCAGCAGGTCCTCTGCTGGAAGTCATCATAAGGAGAGAATCAGACAAGGGTTACAGGAGAGAAGAACTAGAAAGACCCTAATGTCCAAATGTTCAGGCTTTGGTTAAATACCAAATTTAACAACGGATTTAACAATAGGTTGCTCAGCACCCAATGAAAATAATGATAGAAATAAATTGACATTAATAGTTCACAAGACATTGTCCAGTAGAAAAAGCAAGTTGTGAAAATGTAATTTTATCCCATTTTACTTTTTTTTTGTTTGTTTTGTGAGACAGGGTCTTGCTCTGTTACCCAGGCTGGAGTGCAGTGGCGTGATCATGGCTCACTGCAGCCTCGACCTCCCAGGCTCAAGTAACCCTCCCACCTCAGTCTCCTGAGAAGCTGAGACTACAGGCATGCATCACCACACCTAGCTAATTTTTTAAATTTTTTGTAGAGATGGGGTCTCTCTATGTTGTCCAGGCTTGTCTTGAACTCCTGGGCTCAAGTGATCTTCCCACTTCAACCTCTCAAAGTGCTGGGATTACAGATGTGAGCCACTACACTTAGCCAGATTTTACTTTTTTAAAAAAATACGTAGAAAAATCCAATAATGGTAGCAGAAGCTCAGCACTCATTGAGCCCTCTCTGGATGTGGCTCTACGTCGTGTGTTGGAGTCTAGTCCCTTCTCTGTCTCCTTTGCTGGAACTTCTTGGACTCTTTAAATATTCCCTTTCGCAGGGTCGAGGGCCCTGGCCTCAACTCTCTTCTCTGCTCTGTGTCACTCACTTCTCCAGTGACCTTGTCCAGCCCCAAGGTTTTAAATGAGTTCTAGACCAGCACTGCCTGATGGAACTTTCTACAGTGATGGAAATGTTCGTATCTGCATGACCCATGTGGCAGCCACTAGCCACCCAAGGCTATGGAGCACCAGAAGTGTGGCTAATGCAACTGGGGAAAAAAAGTTTTAATCGTATTCAATTTTAATTAATTTAAACGTAAATAGCTGCATGTGCCCTAGCAGCTAGGAGCTACTACAGCAGCTAGACAACACATCTAAACAATGAGTCCCAAGTTTACACCCACATCAGAGACACATCCTCTGAACTCTGACTTTTGTAGGCAAAGGCTTGCACGACACTGCGGCCAAAGTGTTCCACTGACATCTCTGTCCCAGCATGTCCAAAACAGAAGTTGTGATTTCTCCTCCACCTCCAAGCACCCCATCCCCATCTTGGATGCAGGCTGTTGCCAAAGTTAAGTTCCCAGGACTCATGGCTGTCTCTGCTCCTTCCCTCTCACCCCACACCCCACACTCAGCCAGTCCCGTGGCTCAACCAATACAGCCACTGCTCACCGCCCTCAATGCCAGCCTCAGGTCACGCCACACTGTCTTTCTTGTGGACACCACAGGAATCCACCCCACACACACACTTACTCTTCTCTCCCTCCACCCTCACCGTCTTGTTGTCCATTCTCCCCACATCCCCCAGACTCATGCCTTAAAAATGTGGATCAGGTCATCCCCCGGCTCATAACCCCCACAGAGCTTCCATCACATTTACGATGAAATTCGCCCTCCTCACCCCTGCTCACCGTGGGACCTCACTCCCTCCTCCATTTCCTCCTTAGCGCTTCTCCAATGCCCAGTGAGTCATTTCCTTGTTAGTGTCTTATCCCTGCCGGCATCTAAGCCCCATGAGGGTTCTGCTGCTTTGGCGCTGTGTCACCAGCCCCCAGCACAGTACTGACCATGGAACGACTCCACAGCTCTCTGGGCTCACATTGGATGATGACCTCTTTCAGCTTCATCTCTATTGTCTCCTTTAACCCTCAGACACCCCTGTGATGTGGTTACTTTTACTGGCCCCATGCACAAGTGAGAAACTGAGTCTGGGGCGGGTTACCCAGCTGTGATGAATATCTGGTAAATGTTTACTTTTAGCATTCGCGGGTCTATCTGCAGTGAGTGAGAGCTTGCTGTGTATTGGTGTATTGTCTCGTATTATTGTTCCTCTCATCTCCTATTTCCCCCATAAATATATATTACATCTAAAATAATTCACTCTAGGCCAGGTACAGTGGCTCACACCTGTAATCCCAGCACTTTGAGAGGCCGAAGAGGGTGGATCACCTGAGGTCAAGAGTTCGAGGCCAGCCTGGCTAACATAGTGAAACCACGTCTCTACTAAAAAAAAAAAAAAAAAAAAAAAAATACAAAAAAATTAGCCAGGCATGGTGGCAGGTGCCTGTAATCCCAGCTACTCAGGAGGCTGAGGCAAGAAAATTGCTTGAACCTGGGAGGCGGAGGTTGCATGAGCTGAGATCGCGCCACTGCACTCCTCAAAAAATAATAATAATAATAAATAAAATAATTAGATCTAATTCCTTAAATATCTAATGTGTGTTAAAACTTTTCCGCTCATCTCCAAATAATGTCCAGACCTTACACTTGCTTGCTGTATCTTTTAAGTCTCTTTGAATCTGTAAGATCTCTTTTCAGCTCTGTTTTTTTAATTTGAAGCTTATGTGTAGAAGAAAGCTAGCTGTTTACTTTTGTGGAATTTTTCACAGTCTGGAGTTAGCTGAGGATATCCTCGTGATGTTTGCACCAAAGTTCCATTGTCCCTGTTTTCCTGTAATCTGGTGGTGAGTTCCATAGAAGTGGTCCTCAGAGTGCTCTCATCTTGAGTGTTTTAGATTCATTCATATCACTTGGGTATTAAGAAGGTTTTAAGTACAGAAAAGATTATCACATGTTATTATTTTTTAATGTTCTACAAATACAAAGTAGGGCCAAAGTAAACCTTCTTGAAGGGAACATTGGTTAATAGTCACAGCTTTTAACTCCTTCTGTCCCCAGAAGAGCCCAGAACTTCTTAGGCACCCATCCCTGTCCTGGACCCAAGGGACCTGGGGCTGTGCACAAAAGGAGCAGGCCTCCTCCTGGGCACCCTGGAGCTTGCATTGGTGCTGATTTGTGTCTTGCTTTGTATCATGCTTGTGTCAAGTTCTCCCAGTAACTGCTTTCTGCATTTGTTAGGGTAGCCCCTCAGCTGTGGTTATGGTAGAAATTAATGGATATTCTCCAAACCCAGGAAGAACTAGGAGACCATGCATAGCCGGACTTGGGTGACTCATGCCCTGGGGGAAAGGCTGAAGCCCAAACGGAACACCCTGTTTTAAAGGACACAGCCTACAAATCAAATATTAGGACTGCCAACCTGCCCTGGAAAGGCAAATAGGTGGTGACGTGGATTTGTGATCTCTGCAAACAGAGGAGGTTCAGAGAGAATCTGTGAAGGGTCTCCTAGTATGAGACACGGGCAAACCGTGGCTTGCTTTAAAAAAAATTTTTTTTTGACCAGGCTCGGTGACTGATGCCTGTAACCCTAGCACTTTGGGAGGCCGAGGCAGGTGGTTCACCTGAGGTCAGGAGTTCGAGACCAGCCTGGTCAGCATGGCGAAACCCCATCTCTACTAAAAATACAAAAATTAGCCAGCCATGATGGCAGGCGCCTGTTGTCTCAGCTACTCAGGAGGCTGAGGCAGGAGAATCGCTTGAACCCGGGGGGCAAAGGTTGCAGTCAGCCAAGATCACACCACTTCAGTCCAGCCTGGGCAGCAGAGCGAAATTCCATCTCAAAAATAAATACATAAATAAATAATAAAAATCCATTTTTTTGATCATAAGGAATTTGAAATCACCCTTAGCCGGACTAGTTGGAATCACGGACACAGGCAACTCTAGAGATGAAAAAAATAGGGGCTAAAACAGGGACTCCGCTGCCAAGGCAGGGCCTGGAGGGGAACATTGGTCTGAGATGTTTTAGGAGATACTCTGAGGCTCCGTCTCTCAGCGCCTGCCGTTCTCACATCACCACTCACTTCCTCTTCATCTTTTTTATCGTCATCTTGGTCTTCCCCTTTAGAGGATCTCCAGGAACTTGAGTGAGTTTCCAGCTCCCTCGTGGTAATTCCCGACACGCGTTCCCAGGATGAGGAGCCTGGGTCCCCGGTGCTGCTCCTCAGCAATGCTGCCGTCTTTCCGTCCTCTGCCAGCCGTTAGCCCTGACGTGAGGTTTACTTTGGTTGCCACGCTTTCAGTCATTTGGCCCCTGGATCCTGTGACTCACTGGATCTTTTGTGCTCCAGTCCCCAACTCAGGGTCACCCTCAGGAATCATTTCTCCATTACCTGGGGTCTGTCCTCAGGCTGTTTTCTCAGGCATGGCATGGAGTGTGGATTTTGTCTTTGAGGATCTGTTCCACTTGCCTGGGAGTACAATCTGACCTCACACGCTTTCCCCTACAGGCTGTGGGGATGCTTACCGGTGGTAAGCAGAATAATCCCCCCCAAAAAGATGTCTACTTCCCAACCCCAAGAACCTCTGAATTCGTGAGGCTATACAGAAATGGGATTATGCATTTTAGGCTGCCCACCTGCTGGCCTGGACCTGGGAGATGATCCCGGGTTCCCTGGGCGGGCCTAATATCATCACAGGGGCCTTAGAAGCAGAAGGGATGGCTGGTTTTGAAGATGGAGAAAGGGGCCAGGAGCCCACATACCTGAAGCCCTCAAGAAGCTAAACTGCCAGAGAGCAGATTCCCCTCTGGGGGCTCCAGGAGGTGCCACAATCCTGCCGACACCTTGATGTTAGCTCAATGAATCCTGAGTCAAACTTCTGCCCTCCAGAGCTGTCAGGTAATGCATTTGCATTGTTTTTGTATTGTGTTTATTTTATTTTATTTTGTTTTTTGAGGTGGAGTTTTGCTCTTACTGCCCAGGCTGGAGTGCAGTGGCGCAATCTCAGCTCACTGCAACCTCCACCTCCTGGGTTTAAGCGATTCTCCTGTCTCAGCCTCCCAAGTAGCTGGGATTACAGGTGCCCACCACCACACGGGGCTGATTTTTTGTATTTTTAGTAGAGATGGGGATTCACCATGTTGGCCAGGCTGGTCTCGAACTCCTGACCTCAGGTGATCCACCCACCTTGGCCTCCCAAAGTGCTGGGATTACAGGTGTGAGCCACCGCAACTGACCAGCATTTGCATTGTTTTAAGCCATGGAGTTGGTGGAGCTCTGAAATGGCAGCAGTTGGACGGGAGCCACTGCCCCACGGCCAGCCCTCAGCCTTGCAGAAGGGCCCCCTGCATGACCTCCACTCTGTTGGAGGCCGCCGGTTCTGTCCACCATGCTGGTAGGGATTTTGCCCGCCCTATAACAGAGTGGTCTTGTCAGTCTGTGTAGGCATCTCCTACCATCCAGCGACCCCTCTAATCTGAAGACTCAGCTCTTTCTTTGTTTCTTCTCTCTGGTTAGGAGAGTTTTCCTGTGTTGTTAGGGTGACGGCTGCCTCAGTGGCATGGCAAAAACTCATGGTCGAAAACTTCACCCAACCAAGCCGTGCAAAGGAAATACAGGTCTTTTATTTCCCATCTGCTCCCCCTCGTGAGACCCCACCCCTTGAGCAGCAAGACAGTGCAAGCTTCAGGGCTTCAGATCTCCCAGACTCTGCTCACTTACCGGGTCTCTGTTCCTGGCTCAGCTTCTCTTCCAGAGCTCCCCACAACCCCACCTCTGCTCCCCAACCCATGCTTTTGGCCAGGCCAGCAGCTGGGCCTTGGGAGAAAGGCTCATGACCCTCCCGGTGGCCAGGTTGATGGGGTCTGGACTCCACACACTGTCCCCACCTCCTTGCTGGTCCTGATGCAGAGTGGAGGGCAGGTCAGCTTGCAGGATGGGGACCGCTGGCTGGTATGTGAAGGGTACTGGCCGGGCACTGAGATACGGATGGCACCCACCACTGAGACCCTGATCCCAGCCACATACCCACGTGCTGTGGCCTCTTCCACCAACCCCAAGCCTCTGCCAGTCCCCTGGCTGCTCCTCATCGCATGCAGTCCTGCTGGAGCATGGTTTAAGGATCACAGGGATGTGGATTCCCCACCACCCCAGCACCCAACGCAAGTGGAGGCCCACAGGACCCCTCATGCAGGCTCTTCCCCCGCCTGTGTGCTGGACCTTGGGGATGGCCACAGTGGGAGCTTCCCCCTGCTGTGCCTTCAGGGGTGGCCACCAGCCCCGCCATCCTGGGCTCTCCCCAGTATTCCTGCATGTTGCCACCACACCCCTGTCTAGATTTCACCCCAAGAGGGGCAGAGCAGGGCACAGGTCTGACCCCTTCACCCTGCGTGGCTCACCAATCCTGTCCAGACCCCATCATAGGAGCGGCCTTTCCTTCCTGTTCCCGTCCTAGAAGCGTTTTCCTTCCCTGGTATACGCCCTTTCTTCAGAGGCTGCCGGGCCTCCCTTGAGGACAGGAGTGCCCCCTTGGCTCTGTTCTGCCCCACCAGTCACAGCTCTGGCATGCGTGTCCCAGGGCCCTCTGGAGGTGGGACTGCAGAGGACAGTAATGTGGGTCCCCTGCCCCAAGGACAAGGACAGCACTTCCCTTCCACCCCCATGCATCCCCGTCTCCAGGGCTCTGTCTCCCCTGGGAGCTCACTTTCTCGGCCTTTGCCATCATCTCCCCACTGTCTCCCATCGCTTAGTCCCTTTTCTCCACATTCTGGGAGGGAGAGCAAACTTGACTTCGAAATCAGCAGTTCTCAAACCTTTGGGCCTCAGGACCCCTTCACATTTCCTAAATTACTGAGAACCCCAAAGAGTTTTATTCATATGGGTCATATCTATTAATATTTACCACATCAGAAATTAAAACTGGGAGTTAAAAATATTTATTTATTCACTCATTTAAAAATAACAGTAAACCCCCTACATGTTAATATAAATACAGTTTTTATAAAAAATGAGATTTTCCCAAAATCAGAGTGTGAGTAAGGTGAGTGGTGTTGTTCTGCTTTTGCAAATCTCTTTAATGTCTGTGTAGCAGGACAAGCCACAGACAAGAACTCCTCAGACACCGAATTGTAGAAGGAAAGGGCTTTATTCAGCTGGGAGCATCGGCAGACTCACGTCTCCAAAAACCAAGTTCCTCGAGTGAGCAATTCCTGTCCCTTTTAAGGGCTTACAACTCTAAGGGGGTTCATGTGAGAGGGTCATGATCGATTGAGCAAGCAGGGGGTACGTGACTGGGGGCTACATGCACCTGCACCAGTAATTAGAATGGAACAGAACAGGACAGGGATTTTCACAATGCTTTTCCGTGCAATGTCTGTAATCTATAGATAACATAACTGATTAGGTCAGGGGTCGATCTTTAACTACCAGGCCCAGGGTGTGGCGCTGGGCTGTCTGCCTGTGGATTTCATTTCTGCCTTTTAGTTTTTACTTCTTTTTTCTTTGGAGGCAGAAATTGGGCATAAGACAATATGAGGGGTGGTCTCCTCCCTTATCTGGAACAATAGAAGATGGGTGAATTCTCCACTTGCTTCTGCATTCAGTGGGTCGTAACATGTTTTCTAGGCTGTAGTATTTGAAGAAAATCTAGGCTCATACAGATACATAATTGAAAAAAGGAGTACTTGAATAGCCTTTGTAGACAATAATTAACATCATGTGTTGTTACAACATGAAAACCCGGCAGTTGGAGTTGGTAGTTTTTTTCCTTTTTCTTTTTTTTTTCTTTTTTTTTTTTTTTTTTTTTGAGACAAAGTCTCTCTCTGCCACCCTTGGATGGAGTGCAGTAGCGTAATCTCGGCTTACTGCAACCTCCACCTCCTAGGTTCAAGCGATTCCCCTGCCTCAGCCTCCTAAGTAGCTGTGACTACAGGTGCGTGCCACCATGTCTGGCTAATTTTTGCATTTTTAGTAGAGACAGGGTTTCACCACATTGGCCGAGCTAGTCTCAAACTCCTGACCTCAAGTGATCTGCCTGCCTCAGCCTCCCAAAGTGCTGGAATTACAGGCATGAGCCACTGCGCCCGGCCAGTTGGTAGTTTCTTAAAGGTTAGTTGTGATGTGGAATCTGAAACCATGTTAATGAACTTTTCCTTTTCTGTTTGTTCAAATCCATTGGTCTCTCTTGCACTTGAAGTGGATTTTCTACCCCTGTGTGATTTTTGTAACACCATGCATTAATCATTTGGAAGACACCGGCTCACTGAGTGATGCAGACTTCTCAAATGTTGACACATTTCATATGCACACCAAAAGAGAACCACTTCTGTTACTCTCACCAGCGATCTCATCAAAAGTCTCCCGGTGTTGGAAACCCTCATCAAAAGTCTCCCAGTGTTGCAAACTGTCAAGCTCACAGCAGGCGATATATGTTTTCCAGAATTCTACTTTGTGCTTGAAAGCTTCCGTTTTATTACTGGCAATAAATACTGTCACTTCTTTTCCTTGAAGTGAGAGTCGCACTTTGTTCATTTTTGAGAAAATATCTGCCAAGTACCCAAGTCGAAACAGTTCATCTCTCTGTTGTTCTCTCAAGTGAAAATGCTATTTCATAAGAAAAGTTTCTAGCTCAGGTGGCGATCGGAACAATTGCCCAATCCTTTTAATAGAAATATCTGTCACCTTCAACACGTGGCACAAGAGCTTCCTGTCCTCCTCCAAGCTCATCAGGCAGAATCCTCAAAAGACATGGACTGGGGGCCACGGTTCAAAAAGACTCATAACTTTTAGGGTTTCATCAAGGTGATTCTTTAATGAAACTGTTTTTTCTTCTCATTTCTTTTTCTTTTTTTTGAGACAGAATCTCACTCTGTCACCCACGCTGGAGTGCAGTGACACAATCTCGGCTCACTGCAACCTCTGCTTCCCTGGTTCAAGCGACTCTCCTGCCTCAGCCTCCTGAGTAGCAGGGATTACAGGTGTCCACCACTGTGCCTGGCTAATTTTTGTATTTTTAGTAGAGACGGGGTTTCACCATGTTGGCCAGGCTGGTCTTGAACTCCTTACCTCAGGTGATCCACCTTCCTCAGCCTCCCAAAGTGATGGGATTACAGGTGTGAGCCACTGCACCCAGCTCATTTCTTTTTCAATGAAGGATCTAATGACTGTCAGAGCAGTTGGGCCCACTGCCCTGACTCGTGCTAAAGCCTCAGCAGTTTATCCACCATTGTTTTTACACCTTCAGTGCAGGCATCAAAGAGCAAAGAAAAGGCAAATGATGTCTCAGCATTATTACAAAAATAGCTTTGGCCTTGTGACTCACCCCCCTAAAGGATCTTAGGAACCTCCAGAAGAGAGGTCCCTGGACCACACTTTGAAGACCACTCTTCGAAATCATTGGATCTAATATTCCACGGTAGAAATTGTGCCCATTTCCCCCTCCATTGTGAGCTGTGATTTCTCGCCATCTCTGTCTTAACCAGTTCTTCTCCACCTCCACCAGCATAGCCGGTGGTGCTCCCATCTCAGCCTGGTTTCCTCCTGTGTCTCCTCTGTCCCTCTCATTGAGACTGCACGTACTTGCTTATGCCCCATTCAGCACACCAAGCTGACTTGTTTCGAGTCTGTTTCTGATGGTAAGTCACATTCAGGAGGGTCTTTTATTCCTGAAGCTAACTTTAAATTGGAGCCACGTGCCGGGCTCTTGCCTGTTGAGGAGTGACTTCTGGTCAACCCAATTAGCAGAGTGCATGGAGTGCTCTGGCCCCATTCACTCCTCAGGATCGGAAGCTCCGGGTCTTGTTGATACGTCCTGGAGTGGCTGGCAGATGTCATTTGGTCTCCCCAAATGGAGTCTTCTCTGCCCTCCCTTCCTGGTCTCTGGCTATGAAGAAGGGAAGTTATGTTTTAAAGAATCTAAAGCACAGTACAGTTCTCCTTTCCCCTAATTTCAGCCTCTGAAATATATCAGCCTCCAGCTGCTGCCCCAGGACACTTCTGGGCTCTTATTTAAGAGGACTCCTCCAGCCTGGAATGCAGGGCAGTACACATGTCCTTGTCTTTCTTCCTGCTGTGCTGGCCCTCAGGGTACCGTTCTGCCTGGATACAGAAGAAGAGGTTCTCCCTGGGACAGAGGCTAACAAGCCCTGTCCAGCGAAGGGGTGGCCTCCAGGTTTTCTGGTTGGTGCAGAGCTGGCAAGGGTGGAAATGGAGGGAGTGAGGCCCTTCCCATCTGGCTCCAGGGACTTGTGCTCCTCTGTTTGGGACAAAGACTTTACCTTGTCAATGCAGCTTTATCTAAACTGTAGTCTGTGGATGGCGGTATCCCCCTAGATTCCTACAACTGCTTGACCCTTTTTCTCTTGGTTTTTGAAGCTATGACAAGAGCCTGATTTCGTGTCCATCTCAGTGAACATTTTTGTAAATAGTGGAGAGAGGAAAATCGTGAAGTTCAGCCAATTGCACTTGAAACCGGAGGTGGCCTCCCCCTGCCTGGTGGGACTCCTCCACTCTCTTCACCTTTGCTGCACTCTGGGTGTCCGCCTCCAAATCAGTGTGCTTCAGAGTTCTCAGAAGACAATGGCACCTAGTGTCCTTCTTGTTTTTGTCACTAAGAATGGATTAATTTTATCTCATCTGAAACTGAAAATATTACGTTTGGCAGACATTCTCTGAAATCTAGAACAAAAGAAATGTGTTCATTATCATCTAAGGATACACTTTCCAATCAGTTCAACTTGGCAGGTTCACCAGGAAGCTGTGTTATTTAAACTCGGATGGTCTAGGAGAACTGTAGACTTCCGGGTGCTAGATGATTCCTGCTCTGGAAACTCACCGAGCCATTTCAGCTGCGCTCTAGAGGAGCAAACCTGGGGCGTTAGCTCAACTCTTGCCCCCCTGCTGAAGGAGACCAAAACAATGCTTGATCAGGAAACACCATCTGGCTTTGCCCCCAGGATTCTGTGACTGCCCTGGGGAGGGCGCAGTGACCTGCCAACCAAAATTGGTACAATTGTAAACAGCCACAGAAATGCTTAAATGCAATATCATTTCTATGAAATTAACGTGTTTCCATTCCATTCCAGCCACCAAAATTGCCCGTTTGAGCTCAGCCCTCAAAACAAAGATGCCTGTGTGGCTTTGCCCAACGTTGGGTCACTGTTTTCTGCATAGGAGACAGTTACTGTGTGTGTGTATGTGTCTGTGTCTGTGTGTGTGTGTATGTACGTGTACACACTTAAAGCCTGTTGCAAAAACAAGATGCCCAATATATTTCTTGTTTCTGATATTTTCCCAAGGGCGTTGAAGGGCAAGATTAAGAAGGAAAGCTCCAAGAGGGAGCTGCTTTCCGACACTGCCCATCTGAACGAGACCCACTGCGCCCGCTGCCTGCAGCCCTACCAGCTGCTTGTGAATAGCAAAAGGCAGTGCCTGGAATGTGGCCTCTTCACCTGCAAAAGCTGTGGCCGCGTCCACCCGGAGGAGCAGGGCTGGATCTGTGACCCCTGCCATCTGGCCAGGTGAGCCCAGGCCTTGAGGTAAAATGACCTTGATAGTTTCTGGATCTGGCGTGTCCCTTCCATGGGGCTAGCTGAAGAAGGGTGGACGCACACATGCACACACTCGTGTGTGTGTGTGTGTGTGTGTGTGAGATTTATGCAGGCCTGTGTACAGCACTCAGGCAGTGCCATGAGCCTGTGCTTGTCCCTGCAGAGTCGTGAAGATCGGCTCACTGGAGTGGTACTATGAGCATGTGAAAGCCCGCTTCAAGAGGTTCGGAAGTGCCAAGGTCATCCGGTCCCTCCACGGGCGGCTGCAGGGTGGAGGTAAGGAGTGGAGAGTAAGAACGGCTTTTTGTTCCCAGGCATTTTAGGAATATTAAAGCAGGTTCCTTTGGAGTGTGCATGTGTGTGTGTACGTGTGTGTGTGCATGTGTGTGTGCACATGTGTGTGCATGCACATGCCTCTCTGTGAATTCCTGCTTCTGGCTGCTTTTTTTTTTTTTTTTTAATTTTTGTAGAGACAGGCATCTCACCATGTTTCCCAGACTGGCCTCGAACTCCTGGGCTCAAGCAATCCACCCACCTCAGCCTCCCGAAGTGCTGGGGTTATAAGTGTGAGCCACTGTGCCCTGTGAAATTGGCTCCTTTTTATGTGAGGTGCAAACCTCTGCATCCCACTGGCCTGGTCTGAGCACCTCAGAAGTCCTGGGTGCTGCTGAAGTTGCCAATATTTGAAATTATATTGTTTTCAAATCTTCAAAGTAAGTTGAGAACTCAAAGCCAAGTTTCTGAAACCCAGCTGCTGATTGAATCACCAGGGTGCTTGTTAATACTACATGTTTTCCAAGCCCTTCTTCCCTGGGACATCTGGTTTGGGGCCTAGGCTCTCTCTTTTCAACAAACATTTCACATGAATCTGGTGATTATCAAGATTTAGAGAAATCTGTTGTAATTCAGTTGTTTTCATCTTTTGAATCCAAGTATTTATTTCATGATGAATTTGAAATCCAGGCAGTAGGCTTAAACTAAACAATGTGTTCGCCTGTAAGATCCCCCATAAGGCATTTGGAAGAGATCTTTTCAGGGAGAGGGTGGGAGGATGCCGGGGGGTCTTTTGCATTTGAGTTTGAAGGGAGCTAACCCATCAGTGTTTTTGAGAAAGCTCACCTTGTCCCTGTTACCTGGAGTCCAAGGCTTCTGCCACTAAGCCCGGCCAAGCATTCGGGTGGGACAGCCGCCACCAAGCCAGGTGTCTGGGGTCTCAGTGTCCTGGATGACTCCATCTGCAAGACCAAGGCGAGTTTCTCCAGGGCCACGAGGCAGCGCCTGGCTCCGGCAGCTGGGCACGTCCAGGGCAGAGGCTGTGCTTCTGGATTGGGGCGTCCTCACCATGCCCCAGCCCAGGCGTCTCCCCCAGGCCTTCCTTCTGGAGAGACACCTTATTCGTGCCTGTCTCTTAAAGCCTCAAGTTTGATTGAAGAAGCAGAAGTTGGCATAGACACCTTTGAGCATTCAAGCTCTCGCCGGGCCTGCTGCAGGCATTTCAAGGCATCTTAGCCCATCGTTTAATTTAGGACAGAGGCCACGGAGAGGCACCGCTGGAGCAGTACACCGCACACCACAGGGTGGCTGCACTTTTTGGGTGGTGGGGTGGGGATGGGGGCAGGTATGATCAATCATCCAAACCAGGGCATTTTTAAGAGTAAAAGGAGGCTCTACTGATAACATGCTGCAACAACAGATGTGACTAGGAACGGCCGGTGACATGGGGAGGGCCTATCACCCTATTCTTGGGGGCTGCTTCTTCACAGTGATCATGAAGCCTAGCAGCAAATCCCACCTCCCCACACGCACACGGCCAGCCTGGAGCCCACAGAAGGGTCCTCCTGCAGCCAGTGGAGCTTGGTCCAGCCTCCAGTCCACCCCTAACAGGCTTAAGGATAGAAACGACACATAACACCGGGAAAAGCCATGCTGTCAAGCATCTCAGAATCTCAACCCCAGAGGCAGTCTTTAGGGACTGGGGTGGGCTCAGGAAGCTGTATTATTTCAAAGGACGCAGTGTTTCCACAGCTCAGCCCAGAGCTGCTGGAGTTCACACGGCCCACCAGAACCTGCTGACTTCAAAATCATCACCACCAAGGGGCCAGGAGGTGGCGCTGTGGGGCAACAGAAAACAGAAAACAGCTGCTCCTTGAACTTGGATTCCCAGCAGCTCCCCCAAGCGCCCACAGGGGCTGCATTCCTCCCTGCTGGACACCTGTAACTACAACATTAAAACAGGGCGCAAGCAAGGAACACAAACACTGGGAAAGCTGTGCCTTTAAAAAAAAAAAAAAAAAGGAGGGTAAAAAAGCTTAAGGTTAATGTTTTGAAACCTGACCCAGCCAGGGCCTAATGCAGACCTTGTCCAGCTAGTAAGTGGGCCTCTGGGGGTCTTCATTGAGTGAACCTTCAGAGTGCTGGTGTTTCACCAAGGCCTTCCATAGAGGACGCGGCAGGCTCTGCAGGAAGCAGCTTCGATGGCCGATGGCCAAGAAAGGAAGGGAAAACCCCTGGACTGGTCGCTGGGCACCCAGTCCCCCTACCCCCGTGCCTTCCCTTCCAGTGCCTTTCCCTCTTTCCCTCGGTGGTAGCTTTGCCTGACAGTGCAGACCTCGCCTGACGTCAACACTAGGTTCTTTATGCTCATGTGGTTTTATTTTTGTTTTCTCCTATCAAGAGTGGTCAGAAAATCTCTGTTCCATGTCAGGAACAAGGAAAATCTTTTGGAATTTTTTTGGTTTTTTTCTTTTTTTTAGCATGACTTGATCAGATAGGTAGGATAATGTTGCCCCCTTGGCCCAAGTGCAGAGTGACAAAAGGGACCAACACTAAAAGGATCCCTGAGATCCTGGGATACTTCCTCTTCATGTTCATTGTGGGGGCCGGGGACATCACCCTGACAGGTGGGTCCCCAGGCCCCAGAAAGCTCATTTCCGCATCCCTGGGTGCAGGGGGAGTTCACGGGGTCTCTGCCTGTTGGTTTGGGATGCGTCTCCTCAAGGCACTCACTGTCCAGAGAGAACAAAAATAAAACCAGGTCTGCTCTCTGGCTCTGTCATCTGGGCACGTTCGGAGCCAAAAGCCTTGACCTTCTGAAAGTTCACTGAAAAATCATCTCGTAAAAGGCAGATTCATTGGACAAAAGATTTAGAAATGTGTTTACCGTGTATACATGGGAGCCTTCAGAATACAGACCCACAGATGCAGGGAAATTGTCCATTTTTATGCTTAGGTTCAAGAAAGGGTGGACTGCGTGTGGAAAGAAGATTATATAACAAGGCCGGACCTGCTGCTAATAGGCTGAGTGGGGAACCTAGCAAGGTCTGTCTGCCTGGATTCTTCTTGGCCTTTCCTCCTCCGAGAATGGGGCGGGATGCTCTCTGGAGTGAGGGTCTTATGACCTAAAGTCAAACAAGGAAGGTCAGATAATTTCTTTTTTTATTTTTAATGTTTTTTTTTAGAGATGGGTTCTCACTATGTTGCCCAGGCTGGTTTTGAACTCCTGGGCTCAAGCAGTCCTCCCACTTGGGCCTCTCAAAGTGCTGGGATTACAAGCATAAACCGTGCATGCCCAGCCAGATAATTTCTTTATGGCTAGTTTTTACACAGAAAAGTAGAGGGAAAGAGTGATATTTGTATGTTTTATGGCTGGCTTTGGGAGAAAGGGATACTGGTTTCTATGTCCTGCCTTGGGGAAGAGGGATTCTAGTTTCTGTGGCTGGCCTTGGGGAAGAATGGGCCTGAGAGACAAGAGGGCAGGAGAAGGTCAGAGAGAAACTTTGCTTCTGAGGCTGCTGCTGAGGCCCTCATTTGGGGCATTGTTTTCTGAGCCCCAGCAGCATTGCCAGCCAGGCAGGCATCCGCTGAGTGTGTAAAAATAGACCTGTCAGAGCTCAGACACGGGCACCTGCAGGCCCCTTTAAAACCCTTGACAGCTTTTATCTTTAAGAGAAAGATTTAAGTAAAAAATGTACCATGCTGCCTCCCCCATCTTTCCTTCCACTGGGGAAACTGAGGCCCTCTGAGCCCAGGCAGGCAGCCGGTCCCCTTGACTCACCCCAGCATCTTCCCAGACATTCCTAAACAGGCAGCAAAGCAGTGAATGGCAGTGGCAGCTTCAGGCAGGACAGGCAGTAACAGCGTGTGCTTGTCACCTGATCTCAGCTGTTTGTTATAAAGTCCGTCGTTCAGATTTCCAGTTTTGCCAACTGGTTGACTATTTCTATCTCTGTATTATAAATGGAAAACTGTACAATGAGACTTAATTTTCCAACCCATGTAAAAGATCACTGCTGGCTCAGGACAGAGCCTGAGAACCCAGAGCTTCCCAAGGCCCAGTCGATGGTAGAATTGTAAGCTGGTGTGGACATCACGGAGGAGGGTGTACGGCACTCGGGGGCGGATGAAAGGAGGTGCACAGTGAGGTCTCCATCTCGCAGGAGGCTTTGGAAGATGCGTCGGTGATTGATTGAGTACATCCGCCGAATGCTCGCCAGGTGCCGGGTCCTGGGCTGTCCTGAGGGTAGTGCTGTGGAAGAGCCAGGCCCTGCTGTCCCCACTTGGGGACAGTCAGCACAGCCAGTCCAGTGAATAGGGACACTTGTGCCTCTGGGAGTGAAAACCACAAGGGAGGAGTTTCCTGCAGAGGGGCCCCAGGCCCGAGAGATGAGGATAGGATCCCCACGGGGATCACAGGTGGGCCAGTCAGGGAAATGTCTAAAACAGAAACCACGCGGTCGTTTCACATAAGGAACTGGTTGAAATGCTGTTAACTGAGAATGGGAAAAGGAGATACTGAGGTATCAGAGGTCATAACTGCAGGAGTGCCTGCATCCCCCACAACTACCAGGGGTGCAAGCAAAGGGCAGAGGCTGGGATTAATAGAAACAGGCAGCTCCAAGGAGGCCACCCAGGGGTGGGACCCAGCCCTCCAAGGCAGGGGTGCTGCCCACTGGTGCCCATGTCTCAGGGGCCGTGATGAAGCTGGACCAGCTGTCAGGGTCAAGGGCTTGGTGCTGGAAGCCACAGGAAGGGGAACATTCCTTCTCCTTCCTTTTCCCACTCTCACTCACTGCGAGCCGAGCCCTCACAGAGGAGCAGGCAAGGCAGAGGTGTGGTGTGCAGGGCCAGCTCCCACATCACAGAGCAGAGAGTGAAGGTGGCTCTGAGGCCACCCTGGGCCCTGCACCCGCAGTCCTGCTTCCCTTTGCAGTTGACAATGCACACTCCAATGCACCAATGCCTGCTTGTTCACACCTGTGACCCGTGAGGCACAGAGAGCAAGGGGCAGGTCCCAGGGCAAGGGTGTCCAGGGGCAGCAAGGCCTGGCTGGGCCCAGAGGATCTGACCTCCACAGTGCCAGCTGTGCCCTCAGCCCCTGGAGTAGAAAGGTGGATGGTCCACGGGGCCTGCTGGCTCTAAACCCTGGGGTCCCTTTCCTAAATCACTTGCCACAGCCACAGCACCGGCCAAGCCAAGGTCAGTAGGAGAAAGGAGGGAGAGACGGTGGGGCTGTGCTAGGGAGGCCAGGCCCAGGAGGTCAGTGTGAGGAAGGAGCCCTGGGGGGCAGAGAAAGGAGAGGGGGCATGAGGGCTGGGCCTCACCTCCCTTCCTGTAGTGATGAGGTCAGGCCTGCTGACCAGCAAATGCTATGAGCCTGCAGGTGAAACCATGTGTTTGGGAGAACATGACTTAGCTCTAGGCCTCATTCACACTCCACAGCTCCAGGGTCTTCCTACTGCCCAATAAGCACAATCCTGCAGACATGGTCAGACCTGTTGGTAACATTGATTGGTAACATTGGCAACTGATTGGTAATGTTGATGCAGATTACCGGTTTTTATACTGTAATTCAGACCAGCTCTAAGTGATGTTTGGATAGGTATACGAAAGGCCAGCAGAGAGCCTTCGCTGGATGTTTCTCAGTGAGTAGATGGATTGTGGGAGAGGGAGAGATGAATGGATGGATGGATGGATGGATGGATGGATGGATGGATGGATGGATGGTAGGATGGATGGATGGATGGATGGATGATAGGATGGATGGATGGGTGGATGGATGGTAGGATGGATGGTAGGATGGATGGATGGTAGGATGGATGGATGGATGGATGGATGGATAGGTGGATAGGTGGATAGATAGGTGGATGGATGGGCAGCTAAGGTGGTAGGTGAGTGGATGGATGGATGGATGGATGGATGGATGGATGGATGGATGGATAGGTAAGTGGATGGGTGGATGGATGGATAGGTAAGTGGATGGGTGGATAGATGGATAGGTGTTTGAGTGGATGGATAAATAGATGTCTGAGTGGATGAATGCATTGGTGGGTGGATGGGTAGGCAGCTGGGTAGATGTATGAAGGAGTGAGGGATGAGTGGTGGGTGGATGGATAGACGAATGGATGGATAGGTAGGCGGAGGGGTGGATGGGTAGGTGAATGAGTGGATAGATGGGTGGATGCATGGATGCATGGATGGATGGATGAACGGATGGATGGATGGATGGATAAGTAGGTGGATGGGCGGATAGATAGGTAGGTGGATAGGTGGATGGATGGGCAGATAAGGTGGTAGGTGGGTCAATGGATGGATGGGTGGGTGAGTGGATAGGTGGATGGATGGATGCATGGATGGATGGATGGATAGATAGATAAGTGGATGGGTGGATAGATGGATAGATGTCTGAGTGGATGGATAAATAGATGTCTGAGTGGATGAATGCATTGGTGAGTGGATGGGCAGCTGGGTGGATGGGTAGATGGATGAAGTCGGGAGGGATGAGTGGTGGGTGGATGGATAGATGAATGGATGGATAGGCAGGTGGAGGGGTGGATGGGTAGGTGAATGAGTGGGTAGATGGGTGGATGGATGGATGGATGGATGGATGGATGGATAAGTAAGTGGGTGGATGGATGGATGGATGGATGGATGGATGGATGGATAAGTAAATGGATGGGTGCATTGGTGGGTGGATGAGTGGGCAGCTGGATGGATGGGTAGATGAATGAAGGAGAGAGGCATGGGTGGTAGGTGGATGGATGGATGAATAAATGGATAGGTAGGTGGATGGGCAGATGGGTAGGCGGATAAGTAGGTAGATGGGTAGGTGGATGAGTAGGTAGATGGATAGATGGGCCACTGATTGATTGAGTGGATGGATGGATAAATCGATTGATGGGTGGGTGCATGGATGAAGGAGGGAGGGGTGGATGGGTGGGTGAGTGGATGAGCCACTGATTGATTGGGTAGATGGATGTATAGATGGATTGATGATGAGTGGGTGGATGAAGGAGGGATGGAGGGATGGATGGATGGATGGGTGGGTAGGTGAATACATGGATGGATGAGCCACTGATTGAGTGGGTGGATGGGTGGATGAATAGATGGGTGGAGGATAGATAGGTGGGTGTATGGGTGGGTGGATGGATTGATGCATGGATGGATGGGCTGCCCATTGAGTAGGTGGATGAGTGGATAAATGGGTGGGTGGGTAGGTGAATAGATGAATAGATTGATAAATAGGGGGATGGGTGGATTGGTAGATGGGTAGATGGAGGGATACATTGCTGTGTGGATAGGTGGGTGAATGGATGAAGGAGGGAGGGATGGGCAGGTAGATGGATAGATTAGTGGATGGATGGGTGGATGGGCTGACAAATGGCTTGTTCCCAGACTGTTTGTCCTTGGGTGGAGTCATGCAGGTATCTATTGCAGCTGGGCCTGAACTGATATCTGAAGAGAGAAGTGGAGACAGCGACCAGACAGATGAGGATGGAGAACCTGGCTCAGAGGCCCAGGCCCAGGCCCAGCCCTTTGGCAGCAAAGTAAGTCATCTCCAGCCACCCCCTCCTCAGCCACCTCGATTCCATCCCGCAGCTGGGACGTCAGGTTCTGATTTCCTGAAAACCTTGATGGCCTCTCCACAACTCCACTAGTTTCTACTGCATGAGCACCAAGAATCTGCTGCCCTTTCCCAGGCCTCAGTAGTCTCTGAGATCATTGGGCACCAGGCAGGAGCAGTGCTTCCACCATCAGAAACCTCAAAAGCAATCTGTGTGATGGGCAAAGCCTACTGAGTGTGTGGCCAGAGTCTGGGGGCACACGGGTGTAGTGAGTGCAGGGGACTGCTGTAGGACAGGCAGGGGTCCTGGAGGGCTCTCGAGGGTCCTGAGAGCAGCTGCCTTTGCAACTTTCAGAGAAGTGGACCCCTCAGGCTCTCCTCTAAGACCTTTTCTCCTTCTGGGTTTTGTTTTGTTTTGTTTGTTTTTTTTTGCCAACCATGAGCCTTGTGTTTCTGTTTTCACGTATTGTTTAACTTATTTTGGGTGGGCGAGACAAACGAGGTAACACCTGGGTTTTGGGGTGGGAAGCAAGAAGGGGAAGCAGCTGGAAGAAGGGGCTGGGTAGGTGAGCAGGGGTTCAGACTTAGATGCTTGGAGAGAAATGGGCCAGTGACATTCAACATGAACCAACTCTTTGCGGCTGCTGTGAGGGGAACGTCATCATCTTTCGTTTGAGAACATTTGATTCATGCTATTTATGAAGTTCCCAGAATGCTCTGCAGTGCCTGGAGTATTCCCTACATGATAGAGCAGTTTAAAGGATCAAAAGAATTATAATGAAATAGGGGTTTAGAACTAAATGCAGGCTCTTACATCTAAAGAACAAGGAACTATCAGGAGCTTGCCCACCTCTGTCTCACTCAGCCATCGTGCCCCGGCTATCCGAAGCCCCAGGGACCCGCCCCTCTCCCAGCCCTGGAACAGCTTGCCTGCCCCCTAGGCGGGGTCCCTGGGGCAAGTGCAGGGGTTCAGCTCAGTGTTCCTTCAGCTCAGCCAAGTTTCTGGAGATGCAGATCCTGTATCCTGGGTGGGATGGGCACCGTGAGCACCAACCAGTCCCCCAACCAGCTCCCCCTCTGGGCTTGGTCAGGTTTGTTCCTAGTGGAGGGGGTGGATGTGCTGGGAGAGGAGCCTGCCCCGCCCCTCTGGGGGCTGAGTGTGGGGTTGGGGAGGTGCAGGGTATTTGGTCCTCTCCCTCAAGCTAGCCCTGACTTGAGTCTTGCCCTGTCTTGTGCCTGCTAAGAAAAAGCGCCTCCTCTCCGTCCACGACTTCGACTTCGAGGGAGACTCAGATGACTCCACTCAGCCTCAAGGTCACTCCCTGCACCTGTCCTCAGTCCCTGAGGCCAGGGACAGCCCACAGGTCAGTGGGTCCTCGTGTCTTTCCCCTGCCCCTCCCAGGAACCTGAGTGGCAGGTGCTCAGGCCCCAGGTGAGGGACAGCACTCTGGAAGCAGTGTCTGATGGCCACACAGTCCCACCTGGCTCCCAAGGCATGACAGGGAAGGGGACCGATGTGGGAAGACAGGATCCAGAGACCTCACACTCCCCCAGGATTAGCATGTCTGGAGATATGAGCAGGCAGCTTGGAGAAGCAGGGGGCGATGCAGGGCCCTGAGACTGGACAGATGAGTTGGGGCCCAGGGATCGGTGCTTGGGACAGAAATAAGGCAGAACCCCCGAGACTCAGGAGGGCGGGACAGAGAAGGGCATCTGAGGTGGAGTCAGGCAGGGCCTGCTGTGATGCCTACATCTCCGTCTTACTGGGAGGGGAACATACACTTTATTGCCCAAACTAGGACAGTCCTGTGATGCTGGCAGCTATTAATGATCACACCTAGACACAGGGCATGCGCAGGGGCCATCCAGGTGAACAGGACATGTGGCCGCCTTACTCATTAGCTGTGTGGCCTTTGTCCCTGGAACCTCTTCAAGGGCTGATTAGTGGTAGTTGCTGGTTGATTATTATTTGTTAGTATTTATGTTGCAATTGAAATTACTCAAGATAATAGATTAGATAATTAGGAGTAGGATTAGAAGGGATGGGATAAAAAAAGAGAGAAAGTAGAGTTTAATCAGGCCTTTCTGAGTAGATACGGTAATGGAGGCTGAAATTTGGGTTTGCATAAAGGTCTTTGGTATAGACTTTTCTAGTTAAATTAGGTTTGGAAGTGAAGCCAGATTTTGGCTTGTGAATAGCCTTGAGTTGGGGGTTGTATGGTGAATTGTGGCTGAATAAAATCCTAGTATGTTGGAGAAGTTAAATATCTGTAATGGGTATTTTAGTTTAAGGTTATTAGTTATGAGATTAAGCTCCATTGCTAGCAAGAAGCCTAAGGTGTTTACACCTAGGGCTGCGAGCTTCAGGTGGAGTGGTATGGTTGTTTGGGGGAATGAAGCAGGAATAATACTGTTGGTGATGAGGAATCCAGCAAAGATGCTGCCGATTGTTAGATGCTTAATTGAGTTAATTAGGAAGGGGTTATTTTTGTTAATAGTAACCAGAGTCGTGTAGCGAGGTTGTCCTATTAGAGCGAAGAAAACAATATGGGTACTATAGACAGCTGTTAAGGAGGTGGCAATAAGAGTAATAGAAAGGGCTCAGGCATTGCTGTATGATGGGCTTGCGGTATCCATGATGAGGTCTTTGGAGTAAAAGCCTGTGAGGAAAGGCATGCCTGTAAGTGCAAGGCTGCTGATAACAAGGGAGGAGGAGGTGAGGGGTAGAGTCTTGAATAGCCCTCCTATTTTTCAGGTGTCTTGTTCATCCATCATTGATGTTATGGATGATGGACCCTGAACCTATAAATAATATAGCTTTAAAAAGGCGTGGGTGCAGATGTGAAGGAATGCTAGGTGTGGCTGATTAATGCCAATTGTGACTATTATAAGGCCCAGCTGACTTGAGTTGGAGAATGCGATGTTTTTTGATATCATTTTGTGTTAGAGCATAGATTGCTGTGAGTATGGTAGTAACAGCCGCCAGACAGAATGTAAAGGTTTGGATTGATAGATTCTTTTCTATTGAAGGGTAGAAGCAGATGAGCAGGAAAACTCCAGCTACAACTATAGTGCTGGAGTGGAGCAGGGCTGGGACTGGGGTTGGGCCTTCAAACACCTGCTATGACTATAGTGCTGGAGCGGAGCAGGGCTGAGACTGGGGTTGGGCCTTCAAACACCTGCTACAACTATAGTGCTGGAGTGGAGCAGGGCTGAGACTGGGCTTGGACCTTCAAACACCTGCTACAACTATAGTGCTGGAGCGGAGCAGGGCTGAGACTGGGGTTGGGCCTTCAAACACCTGCTACAACTATAGTGCTGGAGTGGAGCTGGGCTGAGACTGGGGTTGGACCTTCAAACACCTGCTACAACTATAGTGCTGGAGCGGAGCAGGGCTGAGACTGGGGTTGGGCCTTCAAACACCTGCTACAACTATAGTGCTGGAGCGGAGCAGGGCTGAGACTGGGGTTGGGCCTTCAAACACCTGCTACAACTATAGTGCTGGAGCGGAGCAGGGCTGAGACTGGGGTTGGGCCTTCAAACACCTGCTACAACTATAGTGCTGGAGTGGAGCTGGGCTGAGACTGGGGTTGGACCTTCAAACACCTGCTACAACTATAGTGCTGGAGCGGAGCAGGGCTGAGACTGGGGTTGGGCCTTCAAACACCTGTTACAACTATAGTGCTGGAGTGGAGCAGGGCTGAGACTGGGCTTGGACCTTCAAACACCTGCTACAACTATAGTGCTGGAGCGGAGCAGGGCTGAGACTGGGGTTGGGCCTTCAAACACCTGCTACAACTATAGTGCTGGAGTGGAGCTGGGCTGAGACTGGGGTTGGGCCTTCAAACACCTGCTACAACTATAGTGCTGGAGCGGAGCAGGGCTGAGACTGGGCTTGGACCTTGAAACACCTGCTACAACTATAGTGCTGGAGTGGAGTAGAACTGAAACTGGGGTTGGGCCTTCAAACACCTGCTGCAACTATAGTGCTGGAGCGGAGCAGGGCTGAGACTGGGGTTGGGCCTTGTATGGTGGATGGGAGTCAGGGATGGAGGCCGAATTGAGCTGACTTTCCTGCTGCTGCTAAGAGAAAGCTAATTAATGGAAGGGGTTGGGGGTGGGGTCTGGAATAAATATGTGTTGACATTCTCAGTGTTGGAGGACAGGAGGAACCATGCTATAGCTAAAATAAAGCCAATATCACCGATGCGGTTGTACTGGACTGCTTGAGGGCTGCTGTATTAGCATCTGCTCGGCTGTACCATCAGCCGATTAGTAAGAAAGACATGAGTCCTACACCTTCTCATCCAATAAAGAGCTGAAAGAGGCGGTAACCAGAATTAATATTGTGATGAGGAAAATAAGTATTTGAAAAGTTGATTAATGTTTGGGTCTGAGTTTATATATCATATTGAGAATTCTACAATAGATCGGATAATGAATAGTGCTGCTGGGATAAATATTGTGGAGAAGTGGTCTAGTGTGAAGCTTAGTGAGGGTTTGAGAGTCTGGATTGTCAGTGTGAGATAATGGCTTCTTGGTCTGTGTATATAAACATCGTTGTAGGGATGACTGTAATGATGAAGGCACATGCGATAGATGTTTTTATGTAATTTGGGTATGAACCTTTTTTGCAGGGGTTGGCTAAGGTAACAGTAATTGGTAAGATTAAGGGGATTAGGGCTGTTATAGCAGCGGAATAATTCATGTTTGCTATTTTTATTTGGAGTTGCACCAATGTTTTTAGTTCCCAAGACCAACGGTAACTCTAATCCTTTAAAAGCTGAGAAAGCCATGTTGTTAGACACAGGGGCATGAGTTAGCAGCTCTTGCATACTTTCTCCATAGATAAGAAGTTGCAGGCTTCTATTGTTAGGTCCACAATCTAATGTTTTGGTTAAACTATAGCTACAGCATGCAAACCCCATAATTTAGGGTTTAAGGATAACAGGAAGATGGGCGCAAGATGTATAAGTATTAACGTATTTTCTCGTGTAAAGAAGGTTTAATACTGTTAATATACAAGTGTCCCTCGTTGTGTTGTGATTAGCATATATAGGGAGTAAAGGGCTGTAATTAGTATATTAAGTCCTATAAGCATAACAGTGATAGTTGATCAGGAGAACGAGGCCATAGTCACAAAGAGTTCTCCTACTAGATTACTGATAGCGGGTAAAGCAAGATTAGTAAGATTTGCTAGAAGTCATCAAGAGGCTATTTACTGGGAGCAGTGTTTGAAGGCCTCGGGTAAGTAATATGGTTCGGCCTAGGGTTAAAATAGTTACTAATACAAGGCCTGTGCTGATTATTAGTGTCAGGTGGGTTGTTTGAAGGGCTCATGGCAGGAGTAGTAGTAGAGTGATCTCTAAGTCGAACAGGAGGAACGTGATGGCTACTAGGTAGAATTTTATGGAAAAGGAGAGGCAGGCTGAGGCTATTGGGTCAAATCCTCATTGACAGGGGCTGGATTTTTCTATATAAATATTAAGTTGCGGGAGCCGAAATGCGATTATTAGTAGTAATAGGGCTAGTAAGGTGTCGGTTACTAGGGCCAGTGTCAAGTTGATTATTTCCGCCCTACAGGATCATTTCAAGGATGCTGTATTAGGGTTTTCTTAGAGGGACAGAACTAATAGAATATATATATATATATATAAAGGGGAGTTTATTAAGTATTAACTTACACGATCACGAGTCCCACGATAGGCTGTCTTCAAGCTGAGGAGCAGGGAGAGCCAGTCGGAGTCCCAAACTGAAGAACTTGGAGTCCGATGTTCGAGGGCAGGAAACATCCAGCACAGAAGAAAGATGTAGGCTGGGAGGCTAGGCCTGTCTTGTCGCTTCACGTTTTTCTGTCTGCTTTATATTCACTGGCGGCTGATTAGATGGTGCCCACTTGATTAAGGCTGGGTGTGCCTTCCCCAGCCCACTGACTCCAATGTTAATCTCCTTTGGCAACACCCTCACAGACACAGCCAGGAACAATATTGCATCCCTCGATCCAATCAAGTTGACACTCATTACTAATCATCATAGATGCTGTACCTGGAAGGCATGAGACTCACAGGCAGGCAGTGAAGGTAACTATGGGCACAGAGCCAGGCCCAGGCCCAGGCCCAAGGCCGGCTTCATAGTGAACTTCTGAACTCCATTCCCAGCATCCCCTGGGCACAGGCAGTGCTGAGCCAGAGCTGGGGCGGGGCTCGGTCCACCCAGGCCGGTCTGAAGACCCCTCCAGGAGGAGGGGGAAGCAGGGTGGGTCCTGGAAGCCAGCAGCCAATTGGTTTCTGGGCCACAGGTCCTGCTCTAACTGGAGGCTGTCCTAAGTGCGCATTTCCTCTGGCCTCCACCCCCCACTCACAGTCAAACTGGAAGGGCGCTGTGGCATATTGCTTCTTGAAGCCCTCAGTACCTCCTTTCCTTGGGGACAATGACATAACACAGACACCCCTCTGCTGGAGGGATGTCCGGATTACAGCCAAGGAGCTGCCAGGAAGCCCCAACCCACTTTTCTGATCTTCAAAGATTAAGGTGTACATAGTTAGTAACAGTGCACCCTTCTCCCAAAAATATTAACTTCCCTGCCCACGTCCTCAGAGCTTTGGTCTCTGGGTGAGTCTGAGCCCCTGAGGCTGTGTCAGGAGAGTTTTGATCCCTTTGTGTCATGCCTGGCCCAGGGTGTCGTTGGGGGCCCCAACATTGCACAGACACATGCAATAGGCAGTCAGTAGGCAACAAATAGGCAATATATGCTTTAGGCACAGTCTTTGAAATTAAACAGAACTGAGTGGCAGGGGCCAGCGCAGATGGGTGCCTAGTGCTGGGTCAGTCAAGTGCCTGGAAAGCCTCAGGGCTTGGATTGAAAGACCCACATTCCAGGCAGCGGCCCCTCCTAGTAAACCCTGCAGAGGAGGCTGACAGCCCCATGTGCTTAGTCCCTCACAGATGAGTCCTGCTCAGAGAAGGCAGCCCCTCACAAGGCTGAGGGCCTGGAGGAGGCTGATACTGGGGCCTCTGGGTGCCACTCCCATCCGGAAGAGCAGCCGACCAGCATCTCACCTTCCAGACACGGCGCCCTGGCTGAGCTCTGCCCGCCTGGAGGCTCCCACAGGATGGCCCTGGGGACTGCTGCTGCACTCGGTAGGTGCCCTTGGCCAGGGTCTTCCTGATGGGCTCGGCATGGGGGAGCAGGTCACTGAGGAACAACCCCACCACCCTGACCTATCCAACACACGGGCTGATTTGAAAGGCCCCTTCCTTTGGCGTGATTGTCCGGGACGTGCAGTCCCAGCAAACACCGTGGACACCTGCCGTCCCCGGGACCGGGATGTGCGCTTCCCTGTAACTGTCAGAACTTCCAGCACAGGAGGTGGCCAGCCCACAGCTCCCTGCTTCCAGCCTGGGGTGGGACATGCAGGCCTCCCTGAAATGACTAGAACCACTGGTCAACCGGCCAACCATCCTGGTCTGGGCAGGATGGGCATCTGGGCATTGCCACTGCTGGCCCACAGTCAGTTCAAGTCTGTTGATCAGGAGATCTTTAAGCACTGAGAACCTAAATCTGCTTGGCTTAACTTTGTCGTCAGTTTTGCTTTGAAATGAAATCCCCAAAGCTCTGTCTTTTCTGGTACCCCAAGGGTGTATGTACCATGGGTCCGAGAGTTCAGATGTCCCATCGGAACAGGAGCAAGTAAGATCACAGCAGCAGCCAGCTTTCCCCAAGCCACAGCAAGTGGCTGCGTGCGGGAAAGCTGTCTACTCTCCAGCTTCCCTCTTCGTTGTATTGAAGGGGCCGTAATCTCATGCTGACGGGGACCTTGGAGGCTTTGGGAGGAAGGCAGGGCTCTACTTTCCCCCAAAAACAATGATTAAATGAATCTACTTTGGCCAAGCCACAGGGTGCAGACCTGGAGAGCAGTTTTATTTCCTCTGTGATCTCAAGTCCCCTGAGCACGTCGACCGGAGGCAGTCTGGGGGAGAGGCCATCGTGCTGGGAGAGCTGCCTCAGAGTCAGGCAGTTCTGAGTTTGGAGCCTCACTCTGCCAGTCTGTTTCACTGGTTCTCACACACGTTCTTTTTACACACCAACCTCTCAAACGGGGAGTGTCTTACAGTGAATGTGGTAAGAAAGGGGTATGCTTGAGACTCACTGGCAGCACTGTCTCTCAATAATGCAACATCCAATCTGCAAAGTCTGAGATTCATTGAGGTATGCTGTGCTGTTAGAACAAATCGCTTAACCTCTGTGCACCTCAGTTTCCTCATTGTACAAAAGGGGTTAACAACGTCTAACTCATCCCATTGTCATAGGGATTAAATGAGATGGCTGAACCTGTTGACTACATAGCAAATTATCACAAACCTAAAATGTGGCTTGAAACAACATGTTTATGATCTTATCATGGAATCTGGTGTTATTTGCAATTTGAAATTGGGAATCATATTACATTTACTTTGCAAACATGCAAAGTATGTCCACTCATAACCCCCACCCACAATGCCAGGCAAGGTCCTCTTTTTTCCTGAAGATCTTTGTGTGTGGCTGTGGAATCTGCCCCATTCTTATTGTGACTTTGGAACCTCAGCCCTGTAACATGAACATCCTTATGTCTTCATTTTCTTTGAGCCTCATTTTTCTTCATTGGACTAAACACGTCCATCAGCTTTCAGGTTTTCACTGCAAGTAATTCAAACCCACTCTCGCTCTGAAGGGTCGAATGTCATCAGGAATGAGCAGCTGCCCCTGCAGTACTTGGCCGATGTGGACACCTCTGATGAGGAAAGCATCCGGGCTCACGTGATGGCCTCCCACCATTCCAAGCGGAGAGGCCGGGCGTCTTCTGAGAGTCAGGTAACGGTGGCTGGAAAGACTTCTGTCTTGTCGTTTCTTTGGGTGGAGTCTTTTTACCTCCACACCAAGTCACTTTAGAGAAATTACAGCTTTTAATACTTTCAAACTATGAAATTGCACAAGCCTACTTAATGGAGATACGTCATCACAATATTTTTTGTGGAAGTGAATTCACATAACAGAAAATTAACCATCTTAGTATGGCCATTCCCCAAAAATTAAAAATCGAGTTTCCATAGGATCCAACAATTCCACTTCTTGGTATACACCCCAAAAAATTGAAGACAGGGACTGAAAAAGATATTTGCAACCCCGTATCCATAGCAGCGTTATTTGTAATAATCAAAAGGTGGAAGTAACCCAAGCGTCCATTGACAGATGAATGGATAAAAAAATGCAGGATGTACGCAACATGGAATATTATTCACCCCTAAAAAGGAAAGAAACGCTGACACATGCTAGACCATGGATGAACCTGGAGAACACTGTGCTAAGTGAAATAAACCAGTCACTCTGGACACATGCTATATGGTTCCACTTAACCTGAGGTTCTTAGTCAAATTAATAGAGACAGAAACTAGAATAGTAGTCACCAGGGGCTGGGGTCAGGGGGATGGGAATTAGTGTTGAATGGGCACAGAGTCTCTGCTTTGCATGATGAAAGGAGCCCTGGAGATGGACGGTGGTGACAGTTATACAACAATGTGAATATACTTAATACCTTAAAAATGGATAAAAGGGTAAATTTTTATATGTATTTTATAATTGAAAAAAGTAATATTTTATTGAATTTAGGAGAAAATAAATAATCTTTAGTCTTTCAAAAAATTTATTTTTTTTTAATTTTTTTTTGAGATGGAGTCTCCCTCTGTGGCCCAGGCTGGAGTGTAATGGCGCAATCTCGGCTCACTGCAACCTCCACCTCCCGGGTTCAAGTGATTCTCCCTCCTCAGCCTCCTGAGTAGCTGGGAATACAGGCGTGCACCACCATGCCTGGCTAATTTTTGTATTTTTAGTAGAGACGGGGTTTCACCTTGTTGGCCAGGCTAGCCTCAAACTCCAGGCCTCAGGTGATCCCCCCACCTTGGCCTCCCAAAGTGCTGACATTACAAGCGTGAGCCACTGTGACGTACAATTCAGTGACAGTACATTTACAGTGTTGTGTAACCACCACCTCTCTCTAATTCCAAAACAACTTCACCCCCCAAAAAAATCCCATACCCATGAAGCAGTTACTTCCCAGTCTCCCTTGTCCCCGGCCTCTGACAACTACCAGTCTTCCTTCTGTCTCAATGGATTTGTCTATTCTGGACATTTCATGTAAATGGACTCACAGAAGGACATCTGGCCTTTTGTCACGAGCTCCTTTCACCGAGCATAATGCTTCTGAGGTCCATCCATGCTGTAGCACATATGGGTGCTTCATTCCTTTTTATGAAAATATATATTTTATACTTGATCAAGTATTATATATTTTACAAGAGGAGGAAATAATCTGTCAGCTATGTGAAACGCTTAGCAGGCTGTATTATTATTATTTTTTTTAGAAAGAGTGTTGCTCTGTTACCCAGGCTGGAGTTTAGTGGAGCAATCTCGGCTCACTGCAAGCTCCGCCTCCTGGGTTCAAGCGATTCTCCTGCCTCCCCTTCCTGAGTAGCTGGGATCACAGGCGCCCACCACCACGCCCGGCTAATTTTTGTATTTTTAGTAGAGATGGGGTTTCACCATGCTGACCAGTCTGGTCTTGAACTCTTGACCTCCAGTAATCTGCCCACCTCGGCCTCCCAAAGTGTTGGGATTACAGGTGTGAGCCTCCATGCCCAGCCCCTTAGCAGGCTTTATATAGGCATTAAGAAACTCTGCTCATAATACTTAACACCTGTTAAATTAGTAGAATCACTCACATTGTAGACATTAACTTATGAAATAATTCATCACAAGATTCAAGTGCCCTGAGTTCCGCTTGCTGCATTTAAATGATGATTCTGTTGAGTCAGCTGATTTCAATTTGAGCAAGTTCATGTTACCGGGGGAAAGGCAATATTGTTTCTTCTGAGAACATCATGACCACTAGGTTCTTTAAGGCAATGAAAGACACAGGCTATTAATGTCTCTGATAGAGCCTTGACTCCAGCAACGTAATCACAGGATGGGGGACTGTTCTGTAACTGATGACTCTTGAGGCATGAAACCCAGAGAAGGGGAAGTGGGGCTGCTCTGAATGGAGACCGGAACCGCAGTTTCACCAAGGCTGGTCTCAGGCACATCTTCTGGAGCCTGGATGAATGTAGGGCCAGCTCCTTGGGCATGGTGATGCCTGGTACAGAGCCCCTCCTCCCTCCTCCTGGGAGAGCTGGGGAAGGGAATGCCCTGTGGAGCTTCCCTTCGGGCCTGTGGGCTCTGGGCTGTCAGGAGGGAGGCTAAGTGAAAGCTGAGCCTTGTCAGGAAAGGCCTGGAAGCAGCGAGGACGCAGGTGGTGCACAGCTGGGGTTCTCAAGGGGCAGGCGAGGTGGGCAGGGCACGCAGAAGCTGCTCTGCAGGGTCTAGGGCTTCTCCAGCGCCCTGGCCTTTCGGTGCACAGGACGACCTGAGATGGAGCATCACCCAGCTCTTCAGCCACAGGGCTGCAGATTCCTCTCCCAAGGCCTTGGCCTACACTGTGGCAGTCACTAGACCAGCACTGGCTCACGAGTGGGCAACAGGAAGTATGCAGTAGGCCCTGGGCTTTTCCGAGCCCTCATTCAGCAGGAAATCTGTCCCGTGGCTGTTCTCACAGGGCCAAACCTTCGCGTGCATGATAGGTGAGGGGCTCCTCCGACATCCTGTCACTTTGCTTCTGCACCCAGAGAAATGATCTACCAAAAATGAGCACCTGAATTTCAAAAAGAGACTTCCTTAGCATGGCAATATGGGGAATCATAGGGGTTTGGGTTCTAAAATTGGGCTAGTGTCCACGGGGCAGAAGCATGCAGTTTCTGAATTCAGCATCTCTCTGGACTCAGTGTCCTCAGCTGACTTTTTACTGTAGTGTCATCTGGAAGCTTCCTCAACCCTGGGTGGAAGTTTCTCCTGCACCAACTTCCTTGAGGGCCCACTTAGTCTCTGAAAGAAGCACTCTTGCCCCTGAGCATAGCCGGGCATGAAAGGCCCTGACAAGGCCTGCGTGAAGACTGCTTATGGCCGCGTCACCCATTGGGGCCCACAATTCCTGAGGCATGGAACTCCTTTTGTGTAACAGCAAGCAAGGCCCTGACACAAGGAAGTGTCCTTTCATTCAGATCAGGGAGTGACTGGCTTGGCCCCTGCAGTTTCTGTGTCCCGAGAGGACTTGAAACCTGCAGGTATGCTGAGCTCTGGCGGGGACTCAGAGCAGACCCAGTGCTGCAGCAGTCAAGCCTCCACCACCTGCATTCGCAGGTCTAGTTCTGCAACACGGAACACACACAAGTCGAGCAGAGCCACTTCATTACTCACAGTCAGGCAGCGAGGTCCCCCAGGCTCAGGGAAGCTGCAGGGAGGGTGGAGTATCGGCTGCAAGTATCCTGTGTCATGCGGCAGCTGGGGGGTCCCAGAAAGCATTCCTCTCTGAGTCTTATACCCTGGGAAACTGGGATCACTGGGCCAAAGGATATCCAGTTCTAGAGCCCAGGTTCTAGACAGTCCAGACAGTTCTTCCTTACATCAGGAAGTGGCTTTCTTGACACATTCTACAGTTATTCTGAGAAAAGGGGAAGAGCCAACTCAGCCAAGTCCATCCAGGGACCTGTGGATGCAGGGGACAGTGGAGGACTAGGGTGGCCAGGATAGAGACCTCCCCAGTGTGGCCAGGATAGAGACCTCTTGGGTGAGGCCAGCATAGAGACCTCTCAGGGTGGCCAGGTAGAGACCCATGGGACATCCTTGGCTGGCTGAGCATCTCCTAGTCTCCTAGCCTGAAGACAACAGGATGAAGAGGAGAATCAAGTTGTCTATTTTCAGTAAACCTGTAGTTTAGCAACTTTAGTAGCCTTTAGTAAAATACATAGCGTGGTTTCCAGCCCCACTGAAACCAATTATCCTTTATACCTGCTTGGAATTATTCTCTAGTTCATGTTTGTATATCCTGCCTGTGGAATTGTTTCTCTTTATTTATTCCTATTAACTTGTATTTACTTTGCCAACCCTAAATAATGAGATTCAGAAAATATAAATAAGTATTAGTATATCAAGTTTATCAGAACAAAAGCTTGACAGTGGCCACCCAGAAACACAGACTTCAAACAAATGGGGCCCAAAGTGGACTAGTGAAGTTTTCACCTATGTAGAAATTGTAGCAGGATCACAACCTTGCAAAGGAACAGTGACCTGGGGGGCCCTTATCTCCAATCCTGTTTGGTCTTAATTATTCACAGGGAAAAAAAAAGTAGAAGTTTCAGCTGTGAAACATGTCCTCTCAAGACTCAGAATTTAAAGTTCCAACAGCTTTGTTTGAATTATTCAATGTGACAACCTCAACTAATATTTCACCTAGATTGTTTCCCATGCATCTTTATATGGAGGAAATTAAGCAGCAGAAAGAAGCTCCAAATGCAGCAGCGATCCTGTACTTCAGAGAAAACCCAGGCAGACTCTTAGAGGGGCCTTTGTGAAGTGGCTGTGGTGGGACCCCAGGAGGAAGCACTCTCAATCTGCCCATCAACCCCAAGACTCCCAGCCATGCCCTCAGGGCCTGAGCTTTCTCAGGAATCGTATTTTATCACAGCTCATCTGAGGGGTCAGGCAGCTGTGCATTGCCTGCCTTTGCATTTGTATTGACAGTCACAGCTTTCCCGACGAGGGGTAAAGACTTCCTGTAGATATTGTTCAAGCCCAGACAAGGCCCAAGATGGCACAAGCATGTGGTAGGAAGGAAGTTTCTAAGGGGCTGAGATGGGAGACGGGAGAGGAAACGGCCCTGGCACGCACCCTCCGCCCCCTCACTCCCAAGGGCCGGCCCTGGGGCCATTCGTGTGTGCTCGGGCTACAGACACTGACGGTTTCCCATAAAAGTGTCACCAGTGACATATTTTGTTGGTTTGCTTTAATCCCTAGCTAGTGTCTGTATTGCATTTGTAAACTCTAAACTTTGGTATTGTCGCGAGTTGAAAGCTCAAGGGGTTCCTACCTAGTATTCTGTCCGTACATATCTAAGTAATGTGATAATCCTGATGACTGGTGCCCACACAGGGTCAGATGCCCACGTCTGAGTGATGCTACTCCCACCAGAGCAGTTGTTACTGTTGGAGAAATATAATTTTTAGAAAAACCCGAAATCTTTTCATTACCCAGAAAATCTCTCCATAAGGGTAGCAGAGGAAGAAGACAGATTTATTCTTGAACAAGCATCAAACCAGAATATGGCACGTGCCCCAGGCAATCCGCTGAGAGATTGCAAAGACAGGAAGGCCTCTCAGCCCTTCTGCAGCCCGGCAGGCCCGGCCCATTCCACACAGTTCTCAGCACAAACCATCACCAGTCCTTACCAATGAGAGGAGCTGATGGTGCCTTTGATCACAGTGTACATCCTCACTCTAGCATCATAACCGGGAGACCACTTGTGTTGGCTTTAACCCTAAGAAAAGCAACCTTCTCACACATCTTTAAGATGGGAGCTAGTTTTGCAAACTGGAGCAAGGCGCCCACCCACGTTAGACTCTTCACCCTCTCCTGGGGAGTGGGAGCTAGAGTTATCTTCAAGGATGTTTCCATTTCAAAAACACAGTTCCCAGGTGGAGTTTTGAGACTGCAGAGAGGCTTTTTAGCCATTTTAAAGATTTATATGTATTTGGAAAAAGCAGAGAAAGAAGCTCTGAAAGACAAGGGGGCAGTGGGAAGTCTCTTCTCTATTTTCTTTTCTTTTTTTTTTTTTTTTTTTTTTGTCAGAGTCTTGCTCTTGACACCCAAGCTGGAGTGCAATGGCATGATGTCAGCTCACTGCAAACTCCACCTCCCAGATTCAAGCGATTCTCCTGCCTCAGCCTCCCGAGTAGCTGGGATTACAGGCATGAGCCACCACCCCTGGCTAATTTTTGTATTTTAGTAGAGATGGCGTTCGCCATGTTGGCCAGGCTGGTCTCGAACTCCTGACCTCAGGTGATCTGCCTGAGTCCCCAAGCCCACTGCTTCCGGGAGACAGAGGATGTGTGCTGAGTGCTGTCTCCCCAGGGTATTGATCTCTGCTTCTGCAGATGCTCAACGGGACCAGAGGGTGACTCAGTTACTAGTGGCCGCTCAAGGCGTGGGCCGAGGTCTAACTGAAATCCTGGTGTTGACATTTCTCAGCCAGTCATGTTCTTCGGGCAGATTTGCCCACTCAAAGCCCTTGGTGCTGTGATGATTCAACTAATTACCGACCAAACAATACAAAAGCATCTTAACACTCCACAGCACCATTTCCCTCTTTTAAAGCCAGGTGAGCCGTAAATGAGATAATGGCAGGAAAGATGCATCTGCTGGGTGAGGAAGAAAACTAGAAAATTGATTTATCATGTCTCAGTCTGGGAGCTAATAGACTTTGGGTGACTCAAGAGTCTGGTGACTCAAGGGATGAGGAAGTTGTACTTCTGGTCCCTTTAGGTTGTCACCTGAAGTGCCTTGCCTCCTAGCCCACTAGTGACCCCAGGCTCTTGCTAGCTAATGACTGTGAGTTTGATCACTGTGGCGTAATTAACTGATGTCTTCCTGTGCTGCTCGGTACCGGCAGTGACAGTGGCTGTCCACAGTAATGACACCATCACAACCTTCCAGATTCAGCTCCTTGTCCTGCTGGACTCGGCTCCTCTCCTCCACTTTCACCCTCCCCACTCTCCCCTCTCTTGGTTCCGCTCCAAGATTTTGCTTGGTGTTCCAGAACTCTTGGTGTTAGAAATGGGTTTCACAATTAACCTTCCCAGGCCATGTCATGGGTGGTGGCCTTAGCTCTCCTTCCGCTTCTTGGGAATTTGGTGCTTCAGAGGTGGTGGGTGCCAGTGTCTTGCTGGTTGGAGTGCACTGGGTCCTCTGCCCACTGTTTCTCTCCTTCTGCTGCAGATCTTTGAGCTGAATAAGCATATTTCAGCTGTGGAATGCCTGCTGACCTACCTGGAGAACACAGTTGTGCCTCCCTTGGCCAAGGTAACACTGGGGGCTGGGCAAAGAGAAAGGGCCCCCACAGCTCCTTAGTTAAAGGAGGCTGAAGTGTGACATGGGCTTTTGGGAGAAGAGTTTCTTGAGATTTTGCTGTTTGTAAGGTTAAGTTCTGTGTGTAGTTCTCAGAGAGCCAGGCAGTTCCCACCACATAGCCTGAGTGAAGTCTTCTGTCCCATCCAGGCCTGCCACCACCTCTCATGCCCAGAGCTTGAATGAGAGAATGCTTGGAGGGCACATACGTGTAACAGCCTTCCCAGGGGACATAACTGGAGATGGGAGGAAACTTGCTTGGCCCTACAGCCTCTGAAGTCTAGGCACCAAAGCAGGGTGGAATCTCCTTCCGCACCATGTTTGTGAATGTATCATCAGCACAGCTTAGTCTGCTATATGCTGCTATAGCAAAATACCACAGACTGGGTAACTTATAATGAGCAGAAATGTATTTGGCTCATGGTTCTGGAGACTGGGAAGTCTAGGACCAAGGGGTGGCATCTGGTGAGGGCCTTCTTGCTGTGTCACCACATGGCACATGGTGACAGAGGGCAGGAGAGACAGAAAGCAAGATGGAACTGAACTTGCTTTTATAACAACCACCCTGGAATGAATAACAAATTCATTCCTTCAATAATGATATTAATCCATTCATGAAGGCAGAGCCCTCACGACCTAATCACCTCTTGAAGGTCCCACCTCTCAACACTATTGCACTGGGGATCGAGTTCCCAACACATGAACTTTAGGGGACACAGTCAAACCACAACAGCACACCGAGACAACCTGATGGGGAGTAAATAAAACAAACCATGGCCTGCTGCAGGAGTGTGTGTGCATGTGTGTGTGTGTGCTTTTGTGTCTGAGAGACAGGCAGACAGACAGCCGGGGTGCAGAGGGAGTAGGGACCCAGTCCTCCATTCCAGCTGAGTCACAGCCACACATCTAGCACCTGGGCACGGAGATAAGGAGATTCAGCAAATATGATTAAGTATTGAGTTTCTTTGAGCACAAAGTTTGAGGACAGCCTTCTGGGCCACACAGACTCCATAGGAATGGGGTCAGTGCTCCAAAGTGGAGAATTTAAAGTTTCACTTATATAGGCAGAAACAGAGAAGTTTCTCAGTGTTACAGCATTTTCCATACAAGGCCTATAATTACATTGTAGCAATTCACTAGGTTACAGCTTACTAATTCCGAGGAAGATTGCTTTAACACTCCATGAGTAGGGGTAATGATCTTGAGAGGGGTCTCATCTCTGGCACCACTCGGTCTTTCCCAATCGTCTACAGAGAAAAGCAGAAACAGAAGTTGCATGCCACTTGACTCAGGCCACATAGCCACATTCCTCTAGAGGCTCCCAATCATTTAAAGTTCCAACAGCTTTAAGTTTGAATGATTTCACTCCGCAGGACGCTCCTTGTAGCACCCTAGGTTTGCAGCTGCTCATTTTTCTTGGGGCCAGGGCTCCGGAGAAACAGATCTGGGTGAAGCTCGGGTTGGGGGCATGAGACCAAGTGGGAAGCAGAGCACACAGGCCCCAAGTTAGACCCCAAGGGCTACCCCTGCACAGGCTCTGACCCCGGCCGGAGCGGAGAGAGACTGAGGCCCAGCCCACATGCCATGTGTCCAGCAGGGACCACAGCTGCCTTTATCTATAAGGGGATGAGTTACTGTGCTCTGTGCTTTATGGGTTACTAGAGCCAGGCTGACCATGTGCCATAATTTCATTTAATCCTGCAGTACCCCTGCAAGGTAGACATTTCTTTCCCTCACTTATAGATGAGGAAACTGAGGCCCAGGCTCTCATGAGTGAGACTCGGCCCATCACTGACCGGAGAGCACCAGCTGAAAGCACAGGGAAGTTAGGGAGAGCATTGCTTCCCACGGGATGCCTCTGGAAGGGCCCCTGCCTGCACTGAGTCAGAGTGGCCCCAACACAAGCTCCAGCGCCCCATCGGACCCCATGTCCCATATCCAGCCATCCAGCCCCCAGGCCCCTGCGGAACACTGACCCAGGTCTCACTCGGGCCTCGGCTCTGCCTCTCAGGTGGACACTGGAGATCTGTCACTCACCTCCTTCACCCCCTTCCTGCCCAACTCCTTCCCCACCCTGCTGACCCCTCAGCAACACTCGGGACCCGCTGTCCTGTAGCCTGCCCGGCCCTGGCTCCAGCCCACCCAGAAACAGATTAACCTTGTGGAGGGAAAGGGCAGCCACCCTCGCTCTGGCTCTTGTTGGTACCTCCTGGCTTTGGCCTTTTGCTCATACAAATCTCAGCCCAGGGACTAGTAAATCAGAAGTAACAGACTCCACATGGGACCTGCACTGCCCATACACTCCCCGCGAGGGGACACTGCTCGCGGAATGGCCCTCTGGGCCATCAAGGAGCTGGACCTGAGAGGCAGCGGGGCCCTCCACCTTGAGGGGCTGGATCTGGGGCCACCAGCATCCTGTCAGGGGCTCTCAGGGCTTTTGCACCTGGAAATCCCTGGCAAACAAGGACGAGTTAGTCACCCTGGCTGTGTCCCGCCATGCTGGTTCAGGTCCCTGTCACACACGTATGTTGTCATGTGTTTTCCACACATACATGTGTATATGTGTGCATGTGTTGTGTGTGTAGGTTTGTGTGTGTGTGTGTGAATTTATTTACTGGCTTACAAAGCGAAGACAATCCCTGCCTCTCCCAGGCATCTACCGGCTTCCACCCCCATACCCCGTCGCTCTGCTGCGTCCTGCCTGATGGGCGCTGGGCTTCCATTTCTCACGGGGATCCTGCAGTTTCTCAGCCCCATGCACTCTGGGACGAAGTTCAGCTCATATCAGGCCCAATGGCGTTTACAGGCTGAACGTCATTCCCGATCTTTCCACCGAGGGCCTCTGTGATTTGGGGGCTTTGTCAGGAAAGTGGAGCCTCACGGAAAAGCATACTGGCTAAAACACGCGGCTTCTTCATCGACTCAATCTAATCATCCCCTTGGTGTTCGTCTGTGAGACCCCAGGCAGCCAGCCCTGTCGATCTGTCTCAATAGGCTTCGTCCAAATAGAAAATTAAATGATCATGTGCAATATCCTCGGCTTGATGGGTGAGGGAGGGATCGATGCAGCCCAGGGGCGCCGTGGGCTGTGAGCAACTTCCTGGTGGAGGCACCTGCTCTCCCTCCCTCCCAGCCCTCCAGTGTCAGTGGAGGTGATGGCTCCCAGAGGAAGGGACCAAGGACGGCACTAAAGTTCCCCAGGTGGCATCTCTGCGCGGCCCTCGCCTCACACTTCAAAGTCGACTTCATGGGGCCAGGGGAGAGCCCTCGGAATGTGGGATGGATGAGTGAACGAGCAGGTGCACGGGCAGACAAGTGAATGGGCGTCGTCTTCCTGGCCATCTTGCTAACTTGTGTGACTTCGTCACCTGGGAAGAGTCGGGAGACACAGGGAGCCACTCTGCTCCCAGCACCGGCTCCTGACGATGGGGAGGTGGCCGTGAACAAAGTCGACAAAAACGCGGGCCTTGTGGGGTTTGCATTCCATCTGGGAGAGGCAGGAAACACGCAACTGCTGGAACACCAAGCTTTCCCCCAGGAGGGCGGGGCCTGCGTCTGCTGAAGGGAACTCAGCATAGACAGGGTCACAGGGAAAAGGCCAATGATGTGTTACTGTGCACATGAACACGGGGGTCCCCCAAATGTGGGACTCGAAGCAGGGACAGACGACTGAGGTTTACACCCAAGGCGACAGGACGGATGGGTCTTGGGGCTTCCTGAGGGGTTACAGGGGTGACAAGGTCACGGGAGGGTGAGGGGAGGAAAGCCTTCTGGTTATGCAGATAAAAATCTCTCGGGTAACCAGGAGCTGCCCTCGAAGAATCGGCAGCAGTCCATGCTGGCGGCGTCGCTGTCCGACGTGTCACTGTCAGGCATCAGTGTCCTTTTAAGGCCGCTGAGGGGGTCTCAGAGAAAGCCTGTCTGCCTGGTGTTCAGCTCACCCCTATAGCTTTCCTCCAGGGATGAAATCCACCCCCAACACACACACAAAAAGACAGGTTTTCAGAGTGATCCCGTCTGCAGCTTCTCTGAATAAACAGCTGGAAATAAGTCCCAGAAGTCTATTCTGGGGTGGTGTATTTTGGTTTCCTTCACAACCCAACAAGTGGAACACAGGTCAGGAGGTGGAGGAAGGTACAGAAAAATAAATCAAGGCAGAAGGTCCCTGGGGTGAGGGTGACATTTCAAACAGGACAGTCAGGGCGCCTCACTGAGCGTGGGATTTGCCCAAAGAGCTGGCAGAGGTGCCGGGGCTGCCGTGTGGCTGTCTAAGGTCAAGTGTTGCAGCCCCTCCTAAGGTCCCAAGGAGGGAGCCGCTGCAGGAGACAGCCCGGCCAAGATGGGCGAGGCAGGGGCGGGTGGGCGCGCAGAGGCTGGAGCCGGACGTAGTGGCAGAGTCAGACAGAACGGAGCCTCCCAGGCCATGGTCCAGGCTCTGCCTTTTACTATGGGGGGGCGGGGAGGCTTGAGCAGAAGACAGCTGGCTGAGGGCACAGGGGTTGCTCTGGCCATCCTCCTGAGAACAGGTTGTGGAGGTGGGGGTGAGGCAGCAGGGCCGGCTGGGAGAAGGCGGTGGTCGAACCGGAGAGCAGCGAAGGTGGTGCAAGGCAGACCGATCCCGGGGGCCTCGCGTAGGCAGAGCCAACAGGAATGGATATCTGGGATGAGAGAAAAAGAGGGGTCATGATGTCTGCAAGGTTCTTGGCCTAAGCGAGCTTTAAAGGGTGAAGCTGCCTTTAAAAATGTGAGTTTTACAGTGTGAGTGACACTTTCAATCTCATCGCCTACCTTAGCACCATGTTGGCTGTAAGAGGCAATTGGGATAATTTTGTGTTTTTATCACATAACTCTGCCACTTTCTCGGAGCTGGCACCTAAAACCCTTCATGAAAGGCCAGCGTCCACAACAGTTAAAGCCTGCCCTTAACCCTCCTGCCTCCTGCCCACAGACAAGGTGGCCAGTGGAACTAGACCCTTTAAGGACTTTACAGAGATTATTGAACTGAGTTCTTATAACTTGCAGGTTGGATACTGCTATCACCACCATTTTAAAGCTGAGGGAACTGAGATGCAGAGGGGTTGAGTGACCTGCCGAAGGTCACATGGCCTGATAGGGAGCCACAGGTGAACTCGCAGTCCAGTGGCTGCTGTTATGTGATCAGGAGCAGTGTGCCCCAGAGGAGTGTCCCACAGCAGCTGCTAAATGAATCGTTGGCCAGAGCGTGGGAAGAGCCCAGCCCCTGAAGCTGGACCCGACCAAGGCTGTCTGTGTATTTCCCTGAGAGAGAGTGGGCAGAGATCCATGACTCCACACCCCTCTCTCCTCATCCCTAGAGTAAGGACGTCAGCCTGGAATAAACAAATGGCACCCTTAAACAAAAGGGATGAGAAGGGAGAAAAAAAATGTGGGTCTTAGATAGCCAGGGGTGGTGGTCAGCTTTCCCTGGGAACCCCCAGCCCTGCAGAACCTGCTCCTGGAGTCTGGGACTGGGCCCCAGAGGGGCATGTTGGACAAGCTGGCATGGAGAAGGGAGGCAGCTGAGCTCAGCAGGAACCCCAGGTGTGCTGGGCCCTGGCCCATCTCCCAGAGCCAGCCCTGGAGCTCCATGGCTCCAGATGGCTAGCCGAATCCAAATCCACTGGCCTGTTCTGTCAGGGTCTAGGTGCTGGAGTGCGCACGGAGGCCGATGTAGAGGAGGAGGCCCTGAGGAGGAAGCTGGAGGAGCTGACCAGCAACGTCAGTGACCAGGAGACCTCGTCCGAGGAGGAGGAAGCCAAGGACGAAAAGGCAGAGCCCAACAGGGACAAATCAGTTGGGCCTCTCCCCCAGGCGGACCCGGAGGTAAGACTATCCCCCAGAGGTCTCAGCAGGACCCTGCAGAGGTAGGGGCAGGGATGGACAGTCCCAGCTGGCAGCCACCCTCCCCAGGGAGGCAGCACCCACAGGAGCACACCAAGGGCCCTTGATGGGGTCTGCAGCGGGTGGCCGGCTCCTGACCAACCAGCTCCCAGGGTTCAGAGAGGAGAGCAATATCGTGGTGAGTCCCCATCTGGGTGAAACCCCACACTCCCTCCTGCTGCTGGTCAGCCTCCGTCCTTCTCTTTCCTAGGTGGGCACGGCTGCCCATCAAACCAACAGACAGGAAAAAAGCCCCCAGGACCCTGGGGACCCCGTCCAGTACAACAGGACCACAGATGAGGAGCTGTCAGAGCTGGAGGACAGAGTGGCAGTGACGGCCTCAGAAGTCCAGCAGGCAGAGAGCGAGGTAGCCCAGAAGGCACAGGGGAGCACTGAGTTCCACAAACACAGATGGTGACCACACCCAGGCCTTGAACATCTGCCAGCTCTAACATCCGCCAGCTCACACTGAGCCCTCCCCATTGGCCCAGCATGCACGGCTCTGAAGGCCAGGCATGAACCTGGGGGTTTCTGGGGGACTCACCTAATTCGCCACCCCCTGAGCCCTCCACCCCTTCCCTTTTTCCTGTTCAACTTGGTGAGGGACAGGCAGGGTTTCCACCAAGAAAAAGGTGCTGAACACACAATCCCTGACCCAGGATGGGGGCCTAGAAGCAGGCCTGGAATTTAGGACAGCCCCAGACCTCAGCACTGGACTCTGTCCGGAGGGCCATCTGTGAGTCTGAGTTGTGGCTGCAGAGCTTGAATCTGGGTGAGGAACCCATCAATAGTGCACAAAGGTCAAAGGGCAGAGCCAAAGCATTCAGGCCTCCCAGGGACAGCTGAGGTGACTTAGGCACTGCTCTGTCCTCCCTGGAGACCTACAGAGAGGAGAGGGGGTGCCTCTCGGACTGTGAGGACAGCCAGCCCCCACGGCCCTCCTCCACTTCCCTTCTCATCAGCAGGTGCCTGTCACTCCCTAAGGACAAAGGGCACGTCCCCTAGAGCTGTTCAAGGGGAGCGAGTCAGGCTCTGGACTTTCCCTTCATGTATTCCTTCTTGCTTTGCAAATAAGCTTTAAATGCCTAGAATGTAGCCCACATTGTGTAGGCCACGGAAGATCTGGTGCAAATACCTTAGACGAAGCCCCAGCCTTCCTGGAGCTTGTTTTTAGTGGAAGGAGATAAACAGCAAACAAACAAGATCATTTGGGTTCATGAAAAGTGTGATTAAGACAATCAGTGAAGGTGAGCCCCTAGAGTGCTCGGGGCAGGGCGATTGAGATAAGGCAGTCAGGAGGGATACTAGGAAAGTAAGCCAGCCTGGCAAATCCAGGGGGCAGGAGGCCGGGTGGAGGGAGCAGCCCGTGCCAAGGCCCTGGGGTGGCAGTGGGCTTGGTGCCTGCAGGGATTAGCCGTGAAACCCCCACACCAGGTCAGAGTGATGAGGGGAGAGTGTGAGGAGGGTGGACGGCAAAGGCCCCTGGGGGCCACTGCAAGGATCTGAGTAGGGGGTGATGGGGCCTGCTTCTAATTTCCAGAAGCTGCCCCCAGCTGCTGTGGGAGGAGGGGCCTAAGACGGGAGGGGTGGAATGGGGGCCAGGCAAGGATGATGCCAGTGGGAGTGGCCGACTGCTAGGTGAAGAGTAGCCACTACTGTCCTTGCATGTCACGGCCCCTCCTCCAGCCCCTCATGGGAGCCGGACTCCCTGAGACTCAAGAAAATGCACCCGTCCTGCGTTCCTCCTGCCTGGGGTGACCCATAAGGAACACCCCCCCCTTCTCAACAACCACAGAAGATAAATGCCAAGGGGACCACCAACATGGGCATGGGGCTGTGATGCCAATCTTAAGGGAAAACACAAGTAAAATTGGCTCCAGGACTGAGCTGGGGGCAGCTGCTCTTTCTGTCCATGACTTTGAGGCGGGATCTCGAGCGTCTGTCTGACGGGCCTTCTGTCTGCTGTCCTCTCGCAGGTTTCAGACATTGAATCCAGGATTGCAGCCCTGAGGGCCGCAGGGCTCACGGTGAAGCCCTCGGGAAAGCCCCGGAGGAAGTCAAACCTCCCGGTGAGTGGGGGGCAGTGGTGAGTGGAGACAGTGCTGAGTGGGGGGGCAGTGGTGAGTGGCGGACAGTGGTGAGTGGGGGACAGTGGTGAGTGGAGGGACAGTGGTGAGTGGGGACAGTGGTGAGTGGGGGGACAGTGGTGAGTGGAGGGACAGTGGTGAGTGGGGACAGTGGTGAGTGGGGGACAGTGGTGAGTGGCGGACAGTGGTGAGTGGGGGACAGTGGTGAGTGGGCACAGTAGTGAGTGGGGGGACAGTGGTGAGTGGGGACAGTGGTGAGTGGGGGGACAGTGGTGAGTGGGCACGGTAGTGAGTGGGGGGACAGTGGTGAGTGGGGGCACAGTGGTGAGTGGAGACAGTGGTGAGTTGGGGGACAGTAGTGAGTGGGGGGACAGTGGTGAGTGGGCACGGTAGTGAGTGGGGAGACAGTGGTGAGTGGGGACAGTGGTGAGTGGGGGTACAGTGGTGAGTGGGCACAGTAGTGAGTAGGGGGACAGTGGTGAATGGGGGACAGTGGTGAGTGGGGGACAGTGGTGAGTGGGGGCACAGTGGTGAGTTGGGGGACAGTGGTGAGTGGGCACAGTAGTGAGTAGGGGGACAGTGGTGAATGGGGGACAGTGGTGAATGGGGGACAGTGGTGAGTGGGGGACAGTGGTGAGTGGGGGCACAGTGGTGAGTTGGGGGACAGTGGTGAGTGGGCACGGTAGTGAGTGGGGGGACAGTGGTGAGTGGGGGAACAGTGGTGAGTGGGGGACAGTAGTGAGTGGGGGACAGTGGTGAGTGGGGACAGTGGTGAGTTGGGGGACAGTGGTGAGTGGGGGCACGGTAGTGACTGGGGCGACAGTGGTGAGTGGGGGGACAGTGGTGAGTGGGGGACAGTGGTGAGTGGGGGACAGTGGTGAGTGGGCACGGTAGTGAGTGGGGGGACAGTGGTGAGTGGGAGGACAGTGGTGAGTGGGGGACAGTAGTGAGTGGGGGACAGTGGTGAGTGGGGACAGTGGTGAGTGGGGGCACGGTAGTGACTGGGGCGACAGTGGTGAGTGGGGGGACAGTGGTGAGTGGGGGACAGTGGTGAGTGGGGGACAGTGGTGAGTGGGCACGGTAGTGAGTGGGGGGACAGTGGTGAGTGGGAGGACAGTGGTGAGTGGGGACAGTGGTGAGTGGGGGGACAGTGGTGAGTGGGCACGGTAGTGAGTGGGGGGACAGTGGTGAGTGGGAGGACAGTGGTGAGTGGGGACAGTGGTGAGTGGGAGGACAGTGGTGAGTGGGGACAGTGGTGAGTGGGGGGACAGTGGTGAGTGGGGGACAGTGGTGAGTGGGGGACAGTGGTGAGTGGGCACGGTAGTGAGTGGGGGGACAGTGGTGAGTGGGAGGACAGTGGTGAGTGGGGACAGTGGTGAGTGGGGGGACAGTGGTGAGTGGGCACGGTGGTGAGTGGGGGGACAGTGGTGAGTGGGCACGGTGGTGAGTGGAGGGGACAGTGGTGAGTGGGGACAGTGGTGAGTGGGGGGACAGTGGTGAGTGGGGGGACAGTGTGTGGGGGGACAGTGGTGAGTTGGGGGGACAGTGGTGAGTGGGGACAGTGGTGAGTGGGGACAGTAATGAGTCGGGGGACAGTGGTGAGTGGGCACAGTAGTGAGTGGGGGGACAGTGGTGAGTGGGGACAGTGGTGAGTGGGGGGACAGTGGTGAATGGGGACAGTAGTGAGTGGGGGACCGTGGTGAGTGGGGGCACAGTGGTGAGTGGGGACAGTGGTGAGTCGGGGGACAGTGGTGAATGGGCACGGTAGTGAGTGGGGGGACAGTAGTGAGTGGGGACAGTGGTGAGTGGGGGGGACAGTGGTGAGTGGGGGGACAGTGGTGAGTGGGGGGGGACAGTTGTTGAGTTGGGGGACACTTTAGTGTTGGGGGGGACATTGTTTATTGGGGGCATAGTGGTGTGTGGTTGTCAGTGTGTGGTGGTGGTCAGTGGTGATTGGGCACTGTAGTGAGTGGGGGGACAGTGGTGAGTGGGAGGACAGTGGTGAGTGGGGACAGTGGTGAGTGGGGGGACAGTGGTGAGTGGGCACGGTGGTGAGTGGGGGGACAGTGGTGAGTGGGCACGGTGGTGAGTGGAGGGGACAGTGGTGAGTGGGGACAGTGGTGAGTGGGGGGACAGTGGTGAGTGGGGGGACAGTGTGTGGGGGGACAGTGGTGAGTTGGGGGGACAGTGGTGAGTGGGGACAGTGGTGAGTGGGGACAGTAATGAGTCGGGGGACAGTGGTGAGTGGGCACAGTAGTGAGTGGGGGGACAGTGGTGAGTGGGGACAGTGGTGAGTGGGGGGACAGTGGTGAATGGGGACAGTAGTGAGTGGGGGACCGTGGTGAGTGGGGGCACAGTGGTGAGTGGGGACAGTGGGTGGAGGGGGCACTATTGGTAGGGGGGACAATTATTGGGGGGGGGCACTAATTGTGAGGGGGGACCAGTGTTGAGTGGGGGAATAGTTATGAGTGGGGACAGTGGTGAGTGGGGGGACAGTGGTGAGTGGAGGGCACAGTGGTGAGTGGGGACAGTGGTGAGTGGGGACAGTGGTGAGTGGGGCACAGTGGTGAGTGAGGGGAACACAGCAACCCAGTTGAGTTGGTGCCCCCTGAGGCCTCCCCACAGCACACACGCCACCGTGGGCCTGACAGCAGGATCCTGGGCCCCCCACCTCCCTTCCCGTGAACATCCGGCCTGAGTTTCCTCATAGCCAGTTAGCCAGCTGTGCCTTTGTTGGGGTTCATTTTTGTTTATTATTTGTTGTTTCTACCCTAAAAAGGCTCTTTATGAGGGGACTCTGAGCCTCTGCTCTGAGGATCTGAAACACACACACCCTGACAGTGTAAAATCCAAAAGGAGCCGCCTGAATCATGTTGCCTCATGTGGAAATCCTTAGTCCGCCGCCACGTGAAGATGGATGTGACTAGAACGGAGGGCGCGGGAGGCTCACATCAGAGGAGCTGCTCACGTCAGGCCAACATCCTCCTCTCCTGATCCCATTCAGGAATCTTCAGACAAAACCATCCTGATTAGGACATTTGGCAAAAGAATGAAAGATGACCTTAGGAGAGTCCCAGATAGGGTCATGACGGAAAATACAGGATGCCCAGTTAGCTCTAAATTTCAGATCAACAACTAATAATCTAGTATAAGTATACCCCATGCAACATTTAGGACTTACACTAAAAAAATTAGCTGTCGATCTTGTGAACACAAAATATCTGAGACAGGTCTCAGTCAATTTGGAAAGTTTATTTTGCCAAAGTTAAGGACACACCCATGACACAGCCTCAGAAAGTCCTAAAACTTGTGCCCGAGGTGGTTAGGGGTACAATTTGCTTTTATACATCTTAGGGGGACATGAGACATCAATCAGTAGGTGTAAGATGTACCTTGGTTCAGTCCAGTAAGGTGGGACAACCCTTAAGTGGGGGCTTCCTGGTTGTAGTAGATAAGAGACAAAAGGTTGCATTCTTTTGAGTTCTTGATCAGCCTTCCACTGAACACACAATTTAGTCTGGCTCAGTGAGTCTGCATTTTTACAGAAGCGATAGGGGAAAGGAAGCAATCAGCTATGCAGGTGAGCCTCAGGGGGATGACTGTGAATAGAATGGGAGGCAGCTTTGCCCTAAGCAGTTCCCAGCTTGACTTTTTCCTTTAGCTTGGTGATTGTGGAGTCTCAAGATTTGTTTTCTTTTCACAATCTGAAATTCAAAGTTCCCTGGGTATCCTGTATTTTCATTTGCACACTTTGGCGCCCTAGTCCCAGAGTCCTGGAGCGGCATACTGGGGGTGGCTGTGCAGTCCCAGCATCCCCAACCCAGCATGTATAGAGAGCATCCATCCTTACATCCAGCTGACCCATGCCCATGCTCCTCCCTGTGGCTGGAGGTTCAACAATAACATAAGTCTCTTCTTTGCCCTCCAGATATTTCTCCCTCGAGTGGCTGGGAAACTTGGCAAGAGACCAGAGGACCCAAATGCAGACCCTTCAAGTGAGGCCAAGGTATGTGTTACTCCATTCAAGCCCCAGACACCCGACAAAGGTGGAAGACTGCACCCCTTTCCAGCAGTGTGGCAAGTCCACGGGGTGGCAGAGATGCAATGTCCTCACAGCTACCCACACAGCAATGCCCACACAGCTGCCACAACACCGTGGCAACTCTTGTGAGTTGGCTTCCTCCGTGGCACACACCTGAGCTGGATTTGTGTAGATGCATTTGTTGAAAATCCAAGAAAGCCCAGTAGGGGAGCGGGAAAGTGAGACGGGAAAGGAAGGAGGCAAGCATCTGACATGAAGCAAACCCACACAGGCTGACTGTGGCTCAGTCCTCCTGGGGGCTCTGGAGACCACGCAGATCACACCCCACAGTTAATTCCGCGTAGGAGCAAGGCCACCCACACCCGTCAGTCCTGAGTAAGGGCCAGGCCCTGGGCCACACACATTCCCAGGCACTTCTGCCCTTCCCTGAACAGGCACAGCGGGCCCGTGGCCTGGGGACTTCTTCCATCTGGGAGACATAGGCGCTGGCTGCCAGAGGTGAAAACACTCAGGAGCCAGTGTGCTCGAAAATGGCACAGGGACTCGGGGGGTGTGAGCGGGACCCACAGATGCAGTGCACAGAGGGCAGAGCCAGCCTGGGAGGGAGGAGCTCCCCGTGTTTAGGTGGAGTGGTTAGGAGTAGGAGCAGTGCACAGAGGGCAGAGCCAGCCTGGGAGGGAGGAGCTCCCCGTGTTCAGGTGGAGTGGTTAGGAGTAGGAGCAGTGCACAGAGGGCAGAGCCAGCCTGGGAGGGAGGAGCTCCCCGTGTTCAGGTGGAGTGGTTAGGAGTAGGAGCAGTGCACAGAGGGCAGAGCCAGCCTGGGAGGGAGGAGCTCCCCGTGTTCAGGTGGAGTGGTTAGGAGTAGGAGCAGTGCACAGAGGGCAGAGCCAGCCTGGGAGGGAGTTGCTCCCCGTGTTCAGGTGGAGTGGTTAGGAGTAGGAGCAGTGCACAGAGGGCAGAGCCAGCCTGGGAGGGAGGAGCTCCCCGTGTTTAGGTGGAGTGGTTAGGAGTAGGAGCAGTGCACAGAGGGCAGAGCCAGCCTGGGAGGGAGTTGCTCCCCGTGTTCAGGTGGAGTGGTTAGGGGTAGGAGCAGTGCACAGAGGGCAGAGCCAGCCTGGGAGGGAGTTGCTCCCCGTGTTCAGGTGGAGTGGTTAGGGGTAGGATGAGAGGTACCATGGCCAGCGCCCCAGGAGGAATGGGCTTTAGCTTCAGGCCTTACCTGCAGCCCAGCGCAGCAGGGAGCCTCAAGGAACATCTAGCCACTCCTCTTCCAACCCCGGCAGCTCCTCACAGTGACACGCGATGTTTTCAAAAGTCCATCTTTCCACAGGATGTTTACAGCACCCAGCGGGTAGGCAGTGCTATTTATTAACCCTGTTGTACTGATGAACAAACCAGCCGGCTCAGGGCAGGGGGTGAGCTTGATCAAGATCACAGACAGGAAGTGACAGCGGGGTCTCAGCCCAGGCCATGCCTGACACCCACACTCTTCTCTGGTGGGGGCGCTTCCACCTTTGTCCCTGGAAGCCCAGCCTGACAGCTTCTGCAGTGCCTCTGGCAGCCGCCCACAAACCCAGCCAGGCAAAATCCCAGGGTGCCAGACACCAGGAGAAATTTCCAGGGGAATTTGGCCATTTGGCTGTCTCTTCACTTCCCTGAAAAGCCAAACAGAGAATGGATTTCTTATCACACTGTAGCAAGGCAATCAACTGGAAAAGAGACAGGAGGAGAAGTGTGAGGACCAACAGTCACAGGGACCCAGGAATCGTGTTAGCCACAAGTGATCTTCCAGTATCCCTGTAAAGAGAGCTACAGGCCCATTTTACAGAGGAGGAGACCGAGGTTCAGAGAGGGTAAGAAGTGAATTAGCCGGGCGCAGTGGCTCACACCTGTAATCCCAGCACTTTGGGAGGCCGAGGTGGGCGGATCACAAGATCAGGAGATCGAGACCATTCTGGCTAACACGGTGAAACCCTGTCTCTACTAAAAATACAGAAAAACAAAATTAAATTAGCCGGGCGTGGTGGCGGGCGCCTGTAGGCCCAGCTACTCAGGAGACTGAGGCGAGAGAATGGCATAAACCCGGGAGGCGGAGCTTGCAGTGAGCCGCGATCGCACCACTGCACTCCAGCCTGGGTGACAGAGCGAGACTCCATCTCAAACAAAAAAAGAAGTGAATTAATTGTCCATGTCACACAGTGGTAAGGGGGAGTGCTGGGATTTAAACCAGACCTGCAGGGCAGAAACTTGTACTCTTTCTGCCATACCACCCAAATGTGGCAGCTTCCCCAAAGCTGAGCATCTCTTATTTCAGGCATTTCATGCTTAATTTATTGAAAATGTCCATTCTCATATTGCTAAAAGTTCAAATATTGCTAGAGAGCAGAAAATAGTGGCCATGGTTAATTAGAAGCTGGAAGAACAATAAGAAATCCAAAATTAGTTGACAATTCCTAAACGTCACAACTTGATGAAGCCTGGAGACACTCTGTTTCTTCTAGGCAATGGCTGTGCCCTATCTTCTGAGAAGAAAGTTCAGTAATTCCCTGAAAAGTCAAGGTAAGAGCCCTCTGCTCCCCCACCCCCATGGGCCTGGGAAATGAGCTTCGGGGAGGAAAATGACCAGTCGCAGCTCTGTGTGTTTCTTCATTATCTGTGGGACATATCTCATGTCCTGACTCCCAAAAAACATTCCCAGTGCCGCTCGGGCCACCCTCAGGACCCAGCAAGTTGGTGTTCTGGACAGCTGGAACTTGCTGCTTTAAGCGTGCAAAGGGGGCCCTGGTGGCAGCGGTGGTGGTGGTAGTGGTTTCCATGGTTTTCTACATAAATTGTCCTAACGTGGTACACAGTTCCTGGCCTTCTAGAAAGTACGGCTCATCATTTAGCCTTCCTTGAAGGCTTGGTGGTGACAAGGACATTAGCTTTGTCCTGGACGAACGGGATGTGAGGCCTCCCCAGCACGTGGCCGGGCTCTTGGGGTATCTGTGTGCTCATCTCATTCACTCACCTTGTGACCCAACCACTGCTCACCAGAGGCTGGTAGCTCCTCCCCCCATTCAGAGTCCCGTCCCTCTGCTGTCGAGCTGTTTCAGGCCCCCAGACATTGTTGGACTGATCTCCTGTTGTCCCTGTCTTCTGAGCTTTGCCCTCACACACACCATTGTTCAAACTCTGCCACAGCTGCAGTCCTTGCAGACAGTGTGTGTCCCTCCTCTGCTCACAAGCAATCCTTGGCTCCCAACTGCCTGCAGAATGAAGTGGGATTTCTTAGCATAGCCCTGCAGACTTTGGCCATTTGTCACACACTGGAGCCAGCCTGCCCCCTACTACACCCGCCCAAGGATGCACTTCCTTCCCGTGCGTAGGACAACGCACAGCGGACGCTGGTTTCAGAGCGCACCAAGCAGGCACTTGCCTCCACGCCTGGGTGTGCCCCCTCCCTGCCCATCTCTGTCCTGTGAAGTCCTCCAGGGCCAAGTATGAAGCCTCTCCCCCGGGGCTCTCCACCGCCTCCCTGCAACACCTGGCACATCAATCCCTCTTTCCAGCCAGCTCACTCCTTGATCAGTCAGCCACCCCACCTCCATGCCAGCTCGCTCTTTGCATGCCCTGAGCTCCCAGCACACATTCTGGTCAATCCTGGGATACAGCTGGTGCCCAGGGCCCTTTGGGGCTAATCCCAGATTCAGGGTCACCAGCCAGGAGGGCAACTTTGCCAGAGATGACCCACTAAGGAGCTGCCAGCAGGGGCTCCTGGAGAGCCATGTGCTGGCTCTGCGGGGAGTTTCCTGCACATCTCGTGGGCTGAAATCCAGGTGGAGATTCTTGTTTTGTTTTATTTTGTTGAGACAGGGTCTCACTCTGTCGCCCAGGCTGGAGTGCAATGGCGTGATCTCAGCTCACTGCACCCCCCGCTTCCTGGGTTCAAGTGATTCTCCTGCCTCTGCCTCCTGAGTAGCTGGGATTACAGGTGCCTGCCACCATGCTAGGCTAATTTTGTATCTTTAGTAGAGACGGGTTTTCACCACGTTGGCCAGGCTGGTCTCGAACTCCTGACGTCAGATGATCCATCCACCTCGGCCTCCCAAAGTGCTGGGATTACAGGCGTGAGCCACCGTGCCCGGCCAAGAGATTCATGTTTGTAGCAGGAGGACAAGGGGCGATTCCTTGTGTCCTCTGTATGACTGGTTTTGTGAAGGGTAGACTCTGTCCTATCCAGAGACCTCACTCACCTCCAGTCCAAAGCCAGAATAGCTCACCCCCGGCCCCCTGAAGCTCACAGGAATTTTGGGGTCTGAAAGGCAAAGCTGAGGCCTGACCCTTCACATTTCTCCCCGCCATCCTCACCAGCATCTGCCAAGCGTGGCCACGGGAGCTTTTCACTGTCTGCAGAGGCCAGCCCCGCACACTGGCAGGTCCTTGGGCCTCCAATCCCGGGGTCTGTGGGGCCTCATGCGACTTCACTGCTCAGGAGTCGTGATCCCTCGAGTTAGGTGATTCCCTCCACAGAGGTTAGTCCTGGAGCGGGGACGGAGGGCCGGCAGGCCAGGCCACATGACCCTGCAGAGAGGGGAACAGCACAACAGGAGCACGCTGCTGAGCCAACTCCCAGAAAAGGAAAAGGACAAAGTCCTGGCCTGTAGCATGTGCCAGGTTCTGTGGCGTAAATGCTCCCACCCTGGCTGATCGCAAGCTCCCAGCTGATGTCACCGAGCGTGGGGTCAGGAAGAGGTGCCCACAGTCAGCTCTCAGGAGCCCTGACAACTGGCTCCAGTCAGGCAGGCCACAGAAGACATGCAAAAGTGAAGAAGGGCGGGTGCCTGCACCAGCCACCTGGACACCAACACTCAACTAGGATGTGAGGCCAGATGCCCCCAGCTACACAGCCATGGCCCCAGGAGGTGCCCTCTGCTGAGGGTCAGCATCTGAGACCCCTTGGGCTGTTGCCGTGTCTCACAAAGGAAAGGCAAGGAAGCCAGGCATGGTGGCTCACACCTATAATTCCAGCATTTCAGGAGGCCAAGGCGGGCGGATCACTTGAAGTCAGGAGTTCGAGACCAGCCTGGCCAACATGGTGAAACCCCATCTCTACTAAAAAATACAAAAATTAGCCAGGCATGGTGGTGTGAACCTGTAGTCCCAGCTACTTGGGAGGCTGAGGCAGAAGAATCACTTGAACCCGAGGCAGAGGTTGCAGTTAAGCCAAGATTGCGCCACAGCACTCCAGCCTGGGTGACAGAGCAAGACTTTGTCTCAAAAAAAAAAAAAAGAAAGAACAAAAAAGAAAAGAAAGTCAAGGAAATGCGAAGACCACACACCAGTGCAGTGTGATGGGCCTTTCTGCTGCTTCATTAGTGTGAGGATTTCCAGGGCCACAGTGAGGAAGAATGTTAATGCCAGTGCCAGAGCAAAGGAGAAAGAAGTTGGCAAAACTGTTGATTTGCATGACAGCTGAAATGTAAATACTTTTTAAAAAATATGTGATGTGGAAGCTTCTTAAAAGGGGATATGTCCATTTTTTTCTACCTTTTAAATTTCTGAGGAGGCCAAGGCACTTGTTTGGGCTAAGTATGTGATTGATAAAGCACCATCCCTCTTCCTGTTTTCCCCAAAGGTAAAGATGATGATTCTTTTGATCGGAAATCAGTGTACCGAGGCTCGCTGACACAGAGAAACCCCAACGCGAGGAAAGGAATGGCCAGCCACACCTTCGCGGTAAAGTTTTCTCTCATTCTCTGAGGAGTTTTTAAAGTTCAGTGACCCGTCAGATTTATGTATTAAAATTAAGTCTTCAGAGCAAAGAAAATGGAGATAAACAAAACAAAGATTCAGACCTGAGAATCAAAGCAAAAAGTAAAGTAAAATCTTTGCCAACGAGGGCTTGAAAATCTAAATACTTTGAAATTAGAATAATATCTTGTGTTTTAGAGCTTTAAATTTTCAAATATCTGCTGTCCACACACCCCATTGGAGGAGGACCTGTGTCACTAACCCAAATTTGTAGCTGAGAAAACAGAGGCAGAGAGAGGTTAAGTAAAAAACCCCAAGAGAGTTCACCTAATATTGTGAAGAAAGCAAACCCAGGGTTTCACTAACTTGTCCATGTGTGTATGTGTGTGGCTGCGTTCACCCCTGTGTGTGTGTGTACTGTGTGCATGCCTGTGTGTTTGTGCACACCCATGTGTATGTACCTGCATACACACCCAAGTGTGTGTGTTACCACAACGAAAGCGCAGATTTATTGAAAAGAAAGTGCACTCCACAGAGTGGGAGCAGGCTAGAGCCAGTGGCTCAGGAGCCTGGTTACAGCATTTTCTGGAGTTTAAGTGCCCTCCAGAGTTTTCCCATTGGTTACTTGGTTATACTCTATGCAGATGAAGGAGTGGCCCCAACCAATGTGATCAGTCGCAGGAGGCAACCAATCAGAGGCTGAAGGGAAGTTACAAAGTTACACATGAAGACTTGGCCGATGACCAGTCTGGTTGGTTGCGGGAGGGGACCAATCCGAGGTACTTTCCATTTTCATCTGAGATGCAGTGGAAAGGGGGTATAGCAAAGGGAGTAGCTGCTGAACCTTTTGTTCCTCAGGCATGGAGAGGTGGGGTTTTCATTTTGATTCAGTTCTAGGAAGTCAGCACGAATTGGCCTTAGGTTCCCTGCCTCCAGACCCTATTCTCTTGCCTCACATGCATGTGTGCACAAACGTGTAATCTAAATTTGTGTCTACAGATGTGCACATCCATGTACACACCTGTGTATTTGTATGTGCATGCCCATGTGTGTCTGTGTTACATGCCTGTGTATGTGTGTGCTTATATGTGCATGTGTGTTTGTACTTTACAGAAACCTGTGGTGGCCCACCAGTCCTAACGGGACAGGACAGAGAGACAGAGCAGCCCTGCACTGTTTTCCCTCCACCACAGCCATCCTGTCCCTCATTGGCTCTGTGCTTTCCACTATACACAGTCACCGTCCCAATGAGAAACAAGAAGGAGCACCCTCCACATGGACTCCCACCTGCAAGTGGACAGCGACATTCAGTCCTGCACTGCTCACCTGGGTTTACTGATGACTCCTGGCTGCCCCACCATCCTCTCTGATCTGTGAGAAACAGCTAAGCTGCTGTGACTTCCCTTTAGGACAATGTTGTGTAAATCTTTGAAGGACACACCGAAGACCTTTATACTGTGATCTTTTACCCCTTTCACTCTTGGCTTTCTTATGTTGCTTTCATGAATGGAATGGAAAAAAGATGACTCAGTTAAGGCACCAGCCATATGTGTATTCTTGATGGTCTATATCGGGGTGTGAGCAGATGTTTGCGTATTTCTTGTGGGTGTGACTGGATATTAGACATCCGGACAAGTGACTGAACTAATGATCTGCTGAATAATGAAGGAGGAATAGACACCCCAGTCCCCACCCTACGTGCACCCGCTCTGCAAGTTCCCATGTGATCTGTAGACCAGGGGAAATTACACTGCGGTCAAGGGCAGAGCCTGCACATGACAGCAAGTGAGCATTTGATAGATGCTCAGATGCTAGTGCAGAGAGCCTGCTGGGAGACGAAGAGACAGCAGGCAGAGCTCCAGATGGGCAAGGAAGAGGCTTGGTTCTAGCCTGGCTCTGCCCCTCACTGCAGTGGATCCAGTGGGGCAGAGGACAGAGGGTCACAACCAATGAGGGATGTCTGCCAAGGATGGGGGTGCAGAGGCCACAGGAGTCAGCTTGCCACTCGCCCATTGGTTACATAGATGATCTCTCAGACAGGCTGGGACTCAGAGTTATTTCCTAGTATCGGTGTGCCCCATCCAGTTTTAAGTGGAGCCCTCCAAGACTCTCCAGAGCTGCCTTTGAACATCCTAACAGTAATCACATCTCACCCTCCCTGAGGTTCACTTTAGACAGGACCCAATGGCTGCACTGCCTTTGTCAGAGGGGGTGCTGAGAGGAGTGGCTTCTTTTAGAATCAAACAGTAGAGACAAGAGTCAAGCCTTGTGTCTTCAAGCATTGACCAAGTTAAGTGTTTCCTTCCCTCTCTCAATAAGACACTTCCAGGAGCTTTCCAATCTCTCACTTAAAACTAAGGTTTGAATCTCAAAGTGTTGCTGGGAGGCTGATACTCCTGCAACTTCAGGAGACCTGTGAGCACACATTAGCAGCTGTTTCTCTGACTCCTTGTGGCATCAGATAAAAACGTGGGAGTTTTTCCATATAATTCCCAGCCTTACTTATAAATTCTATTCTTTGAAAAAATTATTCAGGCTAGGTAAGGTGGCTCATACCTATAATCCCAGCCCTTTGAGAGGCCAAGGTGGGAGAATTGCTTGAGGCCAGGAGTTTGAGACCTCCTGGGCAACATAGTGAGATCCCATCTCTACAAAAAACAAAACAAAAAAATTACCCAAGCATGATGGTATATGCCTGTAGTCGTACCTACTTACTTAGGAGGCTGAGGCAGGAGGATCACTTGAGCCCTGGAGGTTGGGGCTGCAGTGAGCCATGATCGCATCACTATACTCGAGCCTGGGCAACAGAGTGAGACCTTGTCTCTTAAAAAAATTAATAATAAATAAATGAAAATAATTCTTCAGAGTTCCTTTCCTAGCAGATGGCTATTCTGGAGATGTGTAGTGGAAGCTGCATACAGGCAGGTCAGGGATCCCTGAGGCTAGTGTACCCCAACCAGTACAGCTGCTGGCTCTTTGTTTCCAGCTAAAGATTGACAGAAGTCAGTGGTTTCTCTATGACTCCAGAGGGAGATTAGAGACAAGCATTTAAAATATTTCTCCAAAGTTTTATCCTCCAACAGTCTTATTTATAAGGGGAAAAAGAAAAAATTTTAGGAAGCGTTGAATGCACAGATCTCCCAAAGATGCTTCTTACAAATGAGCTATGAGTGTGCAGCAAAATTGCACTCCCCAGATAATCCAGTATCCAACATATTGCAATATAGCACCCAGATCACCAAGGGATACCTTGCCTCACTGCAGATTATTGGGGTGAAACACAATTTGACAGGTGTAGCTCCCAGCTCTCAGGGATCAAACCAACCATGCATTACAGTGTTGCAGTTTCACTGATTTTATGTCAAGCCATTGTTTCTGTAAGTTCCAAGGATTTTCACTTTCCAACAGCTCTATCCAAAAGAACCCACTTTACTGGGGGCCAAAAACCCATCCCCAAAAGAGTAATAGTAATGGTATTGTCACTTGCTGGGCTTCTGAGAGCCCAGCTAAAGCTCCACTTTAGCATGCTGGTGACAGCCAAGTAATCCTCACATATTCACAATGCTCATAACTTCAAAGTTATTCTTATAGAGAATATTTATTACATATGAATTTTTTTTATTTTATTGGGATAAAACAGAAAAGATAGATATGCAAAAGAAAAAAAATACATAAAAAAAGAATCATCTACCCACTAGCAACCACTGCTAAGTCCTTGCAGACATTGGTTCACGTATTAGCTTTTAATAAAACTCCCACAAGTTAATATACTAGTAGGTGAGTAAAGCCCATTCCAAACATGACCGCACACCTATATCTTCCCAGGAAAGAGCCAGCCCCAGAAATAAGTATTTTACCCATGTATGCTACCCATATTCCCCTGAAAATATCTACAGCAAAGTCTTCCCAGAGACAGCCTTGCTGTCTAAATGAACAAACTGCTCAGTTATTTCCAATGAACACACCTGCAGCTCAATGGCATCTGGGCTCAGAGTTCCAAGGACATGGCCATGCTGGGGAAAGGAGTATTTTGCTACATCACCACAGACACTTGTAACAGTCTATGATTGTTAATTTTATGGATCAAATTGGCTCAGCTGTGGTGCCCAGATGTCTGATCAAACACCAGCCAAGATGTATCTATGCAGGTATTCTGTAGCTGTGATTAAGGTTTAAATCAGTAGACTTTAAAGCAGATAACCTGCCATAAAGTGGGTGGGCCTTCCCCAGCCAGTTGCAGGCCTTAGGAGAAAAGACAGATGTGCCCTGAGCAGGAAGGAGTTCTGCCTCCAGACTCCAGGGACAACTTTCCTCCTTCGCTGGGTCTCCAGCCTGATGGCTAGTCCTGCAGGATTCAGACCTCCCAGGCCCTGCAATCTTATGAGCCTATTCCTTAGACTAAATCTCTCCTCCCCCTCTCTCTCTCTCCCTCCCTCCCTCTCTCTCTGTTCTCTCTCCTCTCTCTCCCTCCCTCCCTCTCTCCCTCCCTCCCTCCCTCTCTCTCTGTTCTCTCTCCTCTCTCTCCCTCCCTCCCTCTCTCTCTCCCTCCCTCCCTCTCTCTCTGTTCTCTCTCCTCTCTCTCCCTCCCTCCCTCTCTCTCTCCCTCCCTCCCTCTCTGTTCTCTCTCCCCTCTCTCTCTCTCTCCCTCCCTCCCTCTCTCTCTGTTCTCTCTCTCTCCCTCCCGCTCTCTCCGTTCTCTCTCTCCTCTCTCTCCCCTCTCTCTCTCTTCTCCACACACACACACGCTATTGGCTCTGCTTCTCTGAAGAGCCTTGACCAATGCACAGTCCCTATATAAGAGCCTTGTCTGATGTTCAGTGTGTCTGTGTTTGAAACTTGTAAACTGGTTAGATGGGAGCTATGTGTGAGGGACGGGGAGCACCGTTTATTTTATCACAAATGCAATGCCAAGGTCCCAGAGCCGTGGCCACGTGGGGTAGGGGAAGCCTTCCTCCGGTGCTCAAATCTCACTAGCACTTTCTCTCTCAGTTCTCAGAGATGCCACTTTCTGGATGACTCACACTTCAAAAGCACCTTTCTAATTTACAAAGAGGAGTGTTTTAAAATCTCGTAAGAGTCTGGATTTTCAGAAGCCATCTACAGCAGAAACAGCTTTTCTGGTGACTGAATATTGCTCTTGCCGTGGCTGTTCCACAGCTGCAACTCGATGGCTTCCAATTCCCAAGGTTACCTCTCCCATCAGGCTGTGTAGTGTCTTCCTAGGAGGCCAGAAGAAACACACAGGCCACAGCCACGGTCCGCTTTCTTCTGGGAACAAGCACAAGGGACAGACATTTCATCAGTCCACTCAGACACACGTTTGAAGCCCTGCATTAGTTTCCTGTGGGTGCCATAACAAAGCCCCACAAACTGGTAGATTACAACAGAAAGTTACTCCCTCACAGTTCAGGAGGCCAGAGTCCAAAATCACAGCATCAGCAGAGTCGTTTCCATCTGCAGGGCCTGAGGGCAGGCAGTTCCTGGCCCCTTCCAGCTGTGAGGTTGCTGGCATCCTTGGTGCTTCTTGGCTTGTAGCTGCCTCCCTCCAGTCTCTGCTTCCATCTTCACATCGCCTTTCTCCCTGTGCATTTCTGCGCGTCTGTCCTCTTCTTATCAGGACACCAGTTGTTGGATTTGGGGTTCACCTTAATCCAGGATGACCTCATCTTAACTAATTACATCTGCAAAGATCCTAGTTTCCAAATAAGGTCATATTTGAGATTCCAGATGGGAGACTCCAACCCACTACAGAGCACCATTATGGTCCAAGAACTAAAACCAAAACCAGCTATCCATGAAATCAACTGTCCATCATGGTGCTGTTGCTACTTACCAAGTGCCTGCTACAGGCTGCACATTTACCATGTTGAGGGTGAAAGCTCAAAGATCTCAAAACTGAAATGCACCCCAGAGTAGGGTCCTCTCCCCATGTTGAGTACAGGAAGAAAGACTAGGAGGGAGGGAGGCTCTCAACTTGGGGCTCTTTTTTTATATATTTATTTATTTATTTAGAGACAGAGTCCTCCTCTGTCTTCCAGGCTGGAGTGCAGTGGCACGATCTCAGCTCACTACAACCTTTGCTTCCCTGGCTTAAGTGATTCTCCTGTCTCAGCCTCCCAAGTAGCTGGGATTACAGGTGCCCACCACCAGACCCAGCTAATTTTTGTATTTTTAGTACAGACAGCGTTTTGGCATGTTGGCCAGGCTGGTCTCGAACTCCTGGCCTCTTGTGGTCTGCCTGCCTCGGTCTCCCAAAGTGCTGGGATTATAGGCATAAACCACTGCACCTGGCCTTGGAGTGCCTATAATTGCAAAGAGCAGAAATCCACTGAAACCAGCCCAAGTGAAACAGCGAGCGTGAGAGAAGAACACAGAGCCTTCTCTTGGGGACCCAGGAAAACCCAGCGATCCAGTGCAGCAGCCACGGGGGCTGGGGTGGCTCTGCAATGGCCACGGCCTCGAGGCTTCTCAGCCCCCCTTGTGCCCTTCTCTTCCCTCTTGACTGTGAACTGCTCCTCGGCCGGTTCAGCAGGTGGCCTCTCTCAATGGCCTCTCCAACCCCCAACTCTAGGACTGTTCCCTCCAGCGGCCACAACTTATTTTTCCAGATGCCCGAGAGATAGATGGGCGGGGCCGTGTACATGCGAGTTGCTAGCCAACCTAGAGACAGCCTGTGCCAGAGAAGAGGTCGTCTTGCCCGGACAAGCAGGGTAGCAGGTCACTTCAACCCGTTCACACAGCACAACACTCCCACACAGTGCGTTCTCTTGTTCTCCCACTTTACACAATGGTTTTCAGAAACAGCACGAGGCTGTCACAGTGTCGACTGCACACCTGTTGCAACAGTTTGCCAGCTGGAGACCTAGACCCAGGGCAGCAAACGGCAGGCTGGGCCAAAGCCAGCTGCGGCCCATCTTCCTAAGTGAGGTTTCATGGGAGCCCAGCCACACCCATTCATCTGCCTTTTCCCCATGGCTGCTTTTCTGCTGCAACAGCAGATTTGGCCAGCTGCCACCAAGATCCTATGACCCACAAAGCTGGACACGTTTACTATCTGGCTCATGGCAGAAGAAGTTTGCCAGCTCCGTGTTCAAGATTGGATTTGGAGTGTCCCCTACAGACCACAAGCAAACGAGCCGGCAGGTGGGCGCCGTGATACAGTCCCTGACTCGGATGATCCCTTCTTTGTTGCGGGGCAACTCTGCCTTCTTCACTCCTCCCCGCTTCTACCCGCAAGACCCTCCTCCCTGGTACTTTCTCCGGGTCCTTCACTGAGTCGTTTTTCTCTGTCCACCCTCCGCCACCTGTCCTCTTCTTGTCTTCTCTCAGGTGTGCCCACCTTTCCCTGGCTGTTCACAGCCACCTGTCCTCTGTCCACACCCATGTTCAGGTTTACGGCTGAGGCCTCGTTAAAGAGCTCTGGGCTTCTTTGAGGTCTCAAACGTAAGCAAAGAAATAAAGGGTTCCAGGCCCAGCGAGCAGCCACCTGGCCACCCTCTAGGGCTCCTCAAACACCTGCCCACGACTGACCTCAGCATTTCCCCATCCCCAAGGCTCCCATCTTAGCCCCCCAGCTCTCAGTCTGGAAACCCCCGACCCATGACCTCCGAGCTCACTCCTTTTCTGCCCCTCACCTCAGCCCAAGTCCTACCCCATATGTCTCCTAGACAGCTCTGGAATTCCTATCTTTACCAGATCCTTTCCAGAGGACAGGAAAAAGGGGAAGCGTGGCTCCTCTTTCATAAGGCTGGTAAGACCTTCCTACTGAATGCAATGTGAGGAAGGAGAAGTAAAGGCAACATATGTTAACATATTTATTCTATAAATTAAATTTTCTTTTTTGTAGAGATAGGGCGTTGCTATGTTGCTCACGCTGGTCTCAATCTCCTGGCTTCAAGCAATTTTCCCACCTCAGCCTCCCAAAAGTGTGCTTGTACTACAGATGTGAACCACTAAGCACAGCCTAAAAGATCTATTCTAAATAAAGTATTCATGAAACAAATCCCAGAATCTATTAGAAAACCTATTGTATCTTACCAAGGTAAGGTTCATCCCAAGAAAGCCAGGAATTCTTTAATGTTAGAAAAAAATATATATTCTTGCGGTCCACTGTGTTAACAGAGTGAATGAGAAAACCACTGTGATCACTTCATTCAATGAAGAAAGGCACAGAAGAATAAATCAGTAGCTGGCCGGGCACGATGGCTCACGCCTGTTATCCCAGCACCTTGGGAGGCCAAGGTGGGTGGACCATTTGAGGTCAGGAGTTGGAGACCAGCCTGGCCAACATGATGAAACCCCGTCTCTACTAAAAATACAAAAATTAGCCAGGCGTGGTGGTGGATGCCTGTAGTCCCAGCTACTCGGGAGGCTGAGACAGGAGAATCGCTTGAACCTGGGAAGTGGAGGTTGCAGTGAGCCGAGATCGCGCCACTGCACTCCAGCCTGGGTGACAGAGCGAGACTCTGTCTCAAAAAAATAAAATAAAATAATAAATAAATAAGTATCTTAGAAAATTAGGACTGGAAGGCGTGGCAGTCAGCATCTTTGCTGTCATTATACCCGTGGCCTCCAGGAGGGTAGCATGGCAGGCAGTCATACTTTCCCCAGGGAGGGGACTTTCCTGCACAGGTTCTAGTTTGTATGTGCCACAACTCAAGTGGCCACATCACATTCTGGATGAAATACTGACCAACAGAAGCTGGACCAAGAGTGCTTGGCTCTGCCTTTCCTGAGGCCCATGACGCAGTTAAATAGGGGATGGGGAGAAGCTCCCTGACTGCCTGTGGTCAAAACCCATCTGTGGGATTCATTTCTCTAAAAACACTGAAGCCATGTGCATCCTGAAAGCCCCAGGCCAGGCCTGCAGTTCTGTGACATTCTTGCAAGAACAGCCCACACCTCACTCGCCATCACAGCATCTCCGGCCAGCCACAGTGCCTCTCAGCGGTTCTGAGGTCTCTGATGGACACCATCGCCTTCTTCGTGGGGGTGGGGTAAGCAGGATTGATGCCTGTGCTACTGCCCAGCCCGCCTGCTGCCTCCCACTGGTGGACTCCCAAAGTGGCAAGATGCCAGTGCCACACTGTGACAGCGCTGCTTTACACACACACACACACACACTCCAGTGGTGGATGCCCAGAAAGCTGCCCCCAGGTCCTGGGGTCTCAGTTTCTGCTGCTACAGGCAGGCCTAGCACTGGACAGAAAACACACCTCCAAGATGGTGATACTTAACCACCACTATCACCACTACAGGTCAAGTTCCCTTATCCAAAGTACTTGGGACCAGAACTGTTTTGGATTTTAAGGGTTTTTGGGGGGAGGATTTTGAAATATTTGCACTATACTCATGAGTAGAACATCCCAAATTTAAAATCCAAAATGCTTCAATGAACATTTCCTTTGAGAATCAACTCAGCACTCAAAAAGTTTCCGATTTGGGGTTTTTGGATTTGGGATACTCAACCTACATTTGTAAAAACTATGGGTAAAAACTATGGATGGGGAGCTTTTCGCCATCACTGATGCCTGAGCTACCCCCACAAATTCTGATGGAATTCATTCCAGGTACAGCCCAGGCATTAGGAGGTTTTTAAGGCTCCCAAGTGACTCTAATCAGCAGCCCAAGCTGGGAGCTGCGAACCCCACCCCATCACCCTTCCCGTGCTGCTTACCCTACTTCCCGCCTCCAGCTACCCCTGGGCTCCAGAGCTCCCAGGGAGCCCACCAGCCACAAACCTGTGTCACTGGGAAAAACAACTACGCAGCAAGGAAGAAGCCACTGTGTCCTGTTCCCTGAAGGGGAAAGTATTGCCCAGAAGCTTTTCCTAAAGGATGGAAGTGGCACATTGACCATCTGCGCCAATCCATGGGAAGCACGTGCCAAGTTTCCCCTCCAGAAATTTTCCTTAAAAAGATTGTACTCAACTGCATATAAGTGGTCATGAGTATAACCTATAATTATTCAGAACATGAATGATTTAGATCCACCTTAAATGGTAGAACATTGCACAGTTACTTAAAATGGCACAAACTTGCAGATTTTTTAGCAACTTGAGGATGTGATTGTTACAGTGTTAAGTGAAAAGAATGAAATTCAACATGTATAAATGTGATCAATCTACCCAGAAAATATGTCGGAAGCTCACTAGAAGAAAATGCATCAAATGTAGACGCGAGAGGCTTTCTTTTTTTTTTTTTTTTTTCTTTGAGACAGAGTATCGCTCTGTCGCCCAGGCTGGAGTTCAGTGGCAGGATCCCAGCTCACTGCAACTTCCACCTCCAGGGGGTTCAAGTGATTCTGCTGCCTCAGCCTCCTGAGTAGCTGGGATTACAGGCGTGCGCCACCATGCCCAGCTAATTTTTGTATTTTTAGTAGAGACAGGGTTTCACCATGTTGGTTAGGCTGCTCTCGAAGTCCTGACCTCATGATCCACCCGCCTCGGCCTTCCAATGTGCTGGGATTACAGGCATGAGCCACCACACCTGGCCACGAGCAGCTTCTTTAACATGATCAGTGCTATTTTTTCTATTTTGTTGTATGCACTAATATTTTTCCAAATGTATATGAACTGCTTTAATAATAAAAATGTATTTGTTTCTTTTATAATAAAAAATAAGCTTGTCTTATGAGAATAATAAACTTGTTTATGTTAAACATTAATTATAAAGACTGTAAAAGTCTAGAAACCACCTGTTGTAAGTTATAGAGTGCTTGCTTCTGCAGCACATATACTAAAATTGGACCGATACAGAGAAGATTAGCATGGCCCCTGCGCGGAAGTTACAGAATGAGGAAGACATGGTGTGCACACGACAAATGCAGGTAGGACAGTCAGGCAGGTGAATGAACGAGGACCGAGAAGATCGCAAAGATACAAAGCCGCAGTGCTGGGCTTTGGTGACTGTCCCTGCTCACCTTTCCCTTGAATGTGAATGCGGTGATTTAAAGGCAGGGAGAGAGGACTGGAAGGAGTCCGGGAGCCCCATCTGTGAGGCCCAGCGGACACTTGACACTGCAGTCTGCCCGAAGGCGAGCACGAAGAAGAGAAGCTAATGTGTTTTAAAACCACTTGGTCCAAATGAAATTATATAACCCAGGAAGGAACAAATCGCATCGCTGATGAGTTTTGTTTTGTGTTTTTTTTTTTCAATAAAGGAACGAGAAGAGACACAGGCTCGCTCCTGATGCCGCCCTGTGAGGGAGACAGGCTGGCTTGGGGGAGGGCACCTGGGGGTGCCGGCTTCGTCCTCTCGGGGGCTATAAAAGGGGAACAGAGGCTCCCGCCTCCTCGGCTCCACTGCACCCGTAGCCAGGACAGCTCCTCTACCACACTCGAGAACGGTGAGTTGCACATCCAGGCGCTGGAGCTTGGGCCCTCTGCTTTGCTACTTTGTAAAATCTTCCCTTGCTGTCTGAGTGTGGGTCGGGTTGAGACCCTGCCTGCTCTCCTGGCAGCTGAGGCTAGGCCTAAGCAGGAGAGGCAGAGACGGCTGGCCCCTGGGTTCTTGCATCCAAAGCCACCCTGCCCTCCCAGGGCACCAAGGCTCCGGCGCTGTCCATGGTGGAGACTCCAGACAAAGACGTCCCATTCAACTCCGCTGACCAGGAAATCCCACGGGGCAGCCGGCCAAAGTCTCCACCTCTCAGGGAGGCAGGTCTTTGGGGATCAGGAGCCAAGTGAGCATCGTTAGCATTCTCGGACACCCCTCAGGTGGCGTGGGTCCCGTGCCAGAGGAAATGCAAACGGCCAGCCTGCTGGGATGAATCTCTTTATCACTCTTCAAGGTGGCACCTCCATTTCCTCTAGACTGGGGAACCCCCCACCCCACCTAGCATGGGACGCCCCTCCAGGTCTCTAAAAAGGAAAGGTGTAGGCATTTTAAATTGTTCTGATGGAGAGCACTTTCTGTGGGGCTCAGGGAGGGGCTGGAAAGTCAAGGTCGGCAGGGGGATCCTTCCCAGAGCAAGATGGAGCTGTCGGGCATCTTCCCATGGCACCCAAAGTGCCACAGGTGGAGGAAGGAGGAGGGGTGCCTGCAGCAGGTGTTTCCAGGTCTCCCATGATGGATGCTGTTTAGGCATTTCAGCACCTCCACTCCAGTGGGGTGGAAGGGGCTTTCCATGCACCTGGTGTCATCCACGGCAGCCCCCTCCTCCCATCACCGATAGGAAGTGGCCCTGCCTTGTGAGAAGAGGTCCCAGATGCTACAGGCTTACCTTGGAGCCTCAGAAGACTGGATCTAGCGTCATGGCAAGGGTGAGTGGGCTTACTTAGGGCAGAGGATGCAGACTCATTCTACGACACGCAGCTGTCGGCTGACATTCCCCAGCAGGGCTGGGCTGGCAGGCTGGAACCAGGCATTAGGAGGCGCTGAGATGAATGTGGGAAGGGGCCGTGCACCGGATTCCAGCCCCTGAGCCTGGTCCAGGCTTGGCACTCCCCAGCTCCCCAACCATGTCTGAGGTTGAGCAAGGGGCTGCCTCCACCTGTGCAGCTCCCTGGGCACCTCCCCACAAACCTGCTGTCCTGGGTGTGCAACATGCACAGCCGTGCAGAGGCCTGCTGCACCTTCTGATCCCTTAACACAGGCGGACAGACGGACCCAAGGCTGTTCCATGACAGCCCCCCTTTATAACGCGTAGCTCACACCTCCTGAGGGCTTTCTGATCATGAGCATCAATGTACATGTGACCGATCCCGTTAGAGGCTGACGCGCACAGAAGCATCTCACTTAACACCTCATTGCGCAGAGGAGAGAATGGGGTCACAGGCGGGTGGGGGACCATGCAGAGAGCCAGGTTTAACTGCTGTTTCTGTGCTTATTCCCACCTCAGCACAGATCAGAGGAACACGTGGAGATCTATGTGGCTATGTGCACGCGCACATCTACACACATACATACACATCTACACACTCACACACATCTACACACATACATACACTCACACACAACTACACACACATCTACACACATACACACACATCTACACTCATACACATCTACACACACTCACACACATCTACACACGTACACACACACATCTACACACACATCTACACACATACACATCTACACACATACATACACACATCTACACACATACACTCACACACCTACACTCATACACACATACACTCACACACACATCTACACATGTACACTCACACACCTACACACATACACATCTACACACACTCACACACACATCGACACACACACATCTACACACATATCTACACACATACACACATCTACACACATACACACACACACAGCTACACACACATCTACACATACACACACATCTACACACATACTCACACAACTACACACACATCCACACACATACATACACTCACACACAACTACACACACCTACACATACACACATCTACACACACACATCTACACACATACACACAAACCTACACACATACACACATCTACACACAGACACATCTGCACACATACACACGCATCTACCCAATACACACAGACACACTACACACATACACACACATCTACACACACACACATCTGCACACATACACACATCACACACTCACACACATCTGCACACATACACACACATCTACACACATACACACAAACCTACACACATACACACATCTACACACAGACACATCTGCACACATACACACGCATCTACACAATACACACAGACACATCTACACACATACACACACATCTACACACATACACACATCTGCACACATACACACATCTACACACATACACTCACACACATCTGCACACATACACACACATCTACACACATACACACACACCTGCACACATACACACATCTACACACATACACACACATATCTGCACACATACACACACACAGGCACCCATGTGCACACACCACACCCTCTTGTACACATATACATACACAGCTGTGCACTCACATGCACACAGGCTCATGCACATACTTCTCTCTCACACACAGTGCTCACTCTACCCAAGGTCCCAGCTCCGTGCACACGCACCCTGATGCCTGTGTGACGCTGCTCCTGCCCCTTCTCCCCCAGGCCGTGTCCTCCTCATTTGGATCTCCCCTCCAGCGGGGCCTCCTCGGAGGAGCCAAGGGATGAAGGTGCTGAGGGCCTGGCTCCTGTGCCTGCTGATGCTGGGCCTGGCCCTGCGGGGAGCTGCAAGTCGTACCCATCGGCACTCCATGGAGATCCGCAGTGAGTGCCTGGACCCCTGTCAGCCTCCCTTACCCCACCCTGCCTCACCCCAGAACCTAGTGCAGCCTGGTCGCTCGAGAACCTGGCAGGAACGGGGTGCGCGGGAGGAAAGGGAAGTCAGTCTTGGTGCTTTTTTGAACTCCTGCTTCCCAAAGCCAGCCCACGCCCAGAAATGGCCTCGCCAGAACCTCTGGGTGCCTGTTCCTCGGGTGGCTCCCAGCATGGCCTGGCGACTGGGCTGAGAGGCCCTGCCTGTGCACTCTGCCCCGCTGCCTCTGGGAGCACAGCACACCCTGGGGACACGTGCCCATGGTCTGCTCCAGCTCTTTCCTTTCCAGCCCCTGACATCAATCCTGCCTGGTACGCCAGTCGCGGGATCAGGCCTGTGGGCCGCTTCGGTCGGAGGAGGGCAACCCTGGGGGACGTCCCCAAGCCTGGCCTGCGACCCCGGCTGACCTGCTTCCCCCTGGAAGGCGGTGCTATGTCGTCCCAGGATGGCTGACAGCCAGCTTGTCAAGAAACTCACTCTGGAGCCTCCCCCACCCCACCCTCTCCTCTCCTTCGGGCTCCTTTCCCTTCAATCCTAATAAAAGCTCTGGTCTTCAGTTACACATTCACGACTGTGTGGTGGTGACTCTGAAGTTGTTCCCTCCTGGGACATTAGACTAGAAAGAACCTCAGAGCCCAGCAACTTCTTTGGAAGAAAAGGCTTTGTGACTTGGCAGAGGGCACTTGGCACTGAGTTGGGGCGCTGGGTCTACCCTTGGTCACCGGCAGCCCACAGCCACCCCCACACCCAAGCTGCCCTGAGTGGCTGCCCAGGCTGTCCACTGCAGAAGGCCAGGAGGTGCCACGCGTCATACTCTGCAGGACACTGTCCCCATAGGACGGTAGCACAGCCCCCAGCCTGAGCCCTGGGCAGCCCCTCAACTTCAGTCCTTTTTATTTAGACTATTTTTCAGAGCAGCTTTAGGTTCACAGCAAAATTGAGTAGAAGGTACAGAAAGTTCCCATCCACCCCCTTCCCCCACATCCGCACAGCCTCCCCCATGATCAACACCCCCACCGAGGGTGCTTTTGTCCCAGTCGAGGAACCCACACTGACACATCCCCATCCCCAACCAGCGTATGTCAGAGCCCACTCTCCACGCTGTGCGTCCTGTGGGTTTGCACAAATGTACAACAACACGATGTGGCATCACGCAGAGTCGTTTAACTGTCCTAGAAGTCCTCTGGGCTCCCCCTACTCATCCCTGCACCCCGCAACCCCTACAACTGCTAGTCCTCTCATTGCAGTCTGTCTTGCCTCCCTCTTACTCAGGGAAGATGCATCATGGATTGTTTCTGACCCATGGCAGGGAGACTTGAACCTAGATTGCTCCCACGCCACGTGCGTCCCTTTCAAATCACACGGGGATGTCTCCACATCCTGCCTCAGGTGTAGCTTAGGTTGGCATTGGGGGCACACTTGCACCACCTGGGAGACTGAGTTCATCCCGTGAATCACTGAGCCTCAGTTTCCACAACTGCATGCCACAGAACAGCAACGCTTACCTCATTCCTCAGCTCCGTGGGCGTGGCACCTGCACGCCTGCCGGCACAGGGTGGGTGCTCTGTGAGTGCAAGCCCCTTCCCCAAGGCCCATCCTCCACCCAGCCATGTAACAGGCTTCACCAGCTCCCTCCAACCCAAAGCTTGGCCTGGACTCTTGCTGGACCCTGCCTGCAGATGCTGATCTCAGGAGCCCATCCTGACCACAGCCCTCTTGGCCATCCATGCTCAGAGGGGCCAGTGGCAAGGCCCAGACCACCTACACGGGGCTGAGTTGGGGTGACTGCACCTCCCCAGCTACAGGGGAGCCCCTCCAGCCCTGAGCCACCTCGCCAGGGTAGAGTGAGCCTGCAGGAACAGGAAGGGGGGCAAGGTCTGTTCCGAAGGCAGCAGGGGCTGGGTCAGGCCTTAAAGAGGCCACAGCCCTCAAAAAGTTAAACACGGAGTTATCAAACGACCCAACAATTCGCCCCAGGTGTAGACCCTGGAGAACTGAGGGCAGGTGCTCAGCACATCACAGCAGCGTTTACAGCAGCACCCTTCCAAGTAGCCAAAGGGTGGACATGACCTGAATGCCCATTGCCTTAGTCAGTTCGGGCTGCTCTAATAAGATAGCATAGGCACAGAGGCTCAGCCAGTAAACACTCACTCCTCACAGTTCTGGGGGCAGGAAGTCCAAGATCAAGGTGCTGGCTGATCCGACACCTTGATCCGACACCATCTTCCTGGTTGACAGACACCGTCTTCTCGTTGTATCCTCACATGGCAGAGAGCAGAAACAGGAAGCAAGCTCTCTAGCCTCTTCTTATGAGGGCACTAATTTCATCCATGAGGGTTCCACCTTCATGACCTAATCTCCTCCCAAAGACCCGATCTCCTAATACCACCATAATGGGGGGAGGATTTCAACATATAAATTTGCAGTGGCGGGGACACAAACATTTCATAACACCCATCAACAGAAGAATAGAAAAACACAGCGTGGTCTATCCATGCAATGGAATATTACTCAGCCAGGAAAAGGAATGGACCACTGATACATGCCACAACACGGATGAACCTTGGAAGCATCATGCTAAGTGAAAGAAGCCAGGCACAAGAATTCAAATGTTGTATGATTCTGTTTATATAAAAACGTTGTATGACATTGCATATTCTATGGAAGCAGATTCATGGCTGTCAGGGGATAGGGAAGAGGGGTGGGGGGATGACTGCTTAATGGATATGGGGGTTCCCTTTTGGAGGTGGTGAAACGTCTTAGAACTGGACCACGGCAGTGGCTGAAGAACAGAGTGAATGTACTAGAAGCATATTTTCAGCATCCTTCTCCCACGAATAAGGCCAGTCTCCTACATAGCCATAAAATCATCATACCTGAACAAACCGTTGTAGTAATTTCACAATATCATCTAGTTTTTAGTCTGTACTCAGAAATCCCCACATGCAGCAAGACAGTCTCCTTTTTCCCCCACCGGGCTCCAATCTGCATTCACAGTCCGTTGTTTCTCTTTGATTTCCGACCAGTTAATTTTTTATGTTGTCCTGGTGTTGAATTTTTCAAGCACCCAGATGAGTCGTCTTGGAAAATGCTCCACCTGTGTGATTTGTAAGTTGTTCCCCCAAGGTGATGTCCCTGTTCTTCCGTTCCCTGTACTTCCTGTCATCAGAGAGGGGCATCCAGGATCTTGCCTGGATTCAGGTCGCGCACTGTGGACCCAAAAACTGTGTCCTTCCCACTGCATCATATCTGACCATGGGATCCTGGGCTCCCTCTCTGACAGTGCTATTTGACCCTGTGGTAGAGACAGATCTCTTCATTGTAAGAGGTTTTTTCCCTGTGTGATCAATGTGAAATCTGTGCTGGGGCCAGGGCCCCATGGCCAAATCCTGTTTCCCAGCCAGCTTGCGGCCTGAGATGTCAGTGTCCCCTGACTACCCATGCCAGGCTCAGCTGCTGCACCACCAGTCACCCCCACACCATGGTGATTCTCTAATTCCTTCCACAGTCATTAGTTGGATTCTTCCAGAGAAGATATTTCTTTTTTTCTTTTTTTTCAGAACTTTATAATTTTTGACACTCGAATTGGCCTAAATTTGGCCAGTGGGAGTCCTAAACAGGGAATAAATTTTAAAAAAATTAAAAAGAATAGTTCTGTGAGTCAGCCACTCTGGGAAACGCAGACCCATCAGAAGAATGGGATGGGAACATACTCAAGAGGAAACAAGACAGGGCGGGCACGGTGGCTCACACCTGTAATCCCAGTACTTTGGGATGCCGAGATGGGCGGATCACTTGAGGTCAGGAGTTCGAGACCAGCCTGGTGAAGCCCCATCTCTACTAAAAATGCAAAAATTAGCCAGGTGTGGTGGCGGGCGCCTGTAGTGCCAGCTACTTGGGACTGAAGCAAGAGAATCACTTGAACTTAGGAGGCAGAGTCTGCAGTGAGCTGAGATCCCATCACTGCACTACAGCCTGGGTGACAAGAGCAAAACTCTGTCTCAAAACAAAAAAAAAAAAAAAGAGAAAGAGAGAGAGAAGAAAAGGTTAGCATCACAGGCTGGGATGGCAGGGGCTCCCAGGGCCACTCATCAACATTGCCATGCCTCCGGCATCCACCACCACCCCCCACAGGCAAACAACAGCTCACGAGAAGACCCAGGTCCGAACTCAGGCTAAGCAGGGCTGGAGCTGCTTCCCCAGCAGCAGCCTGGACAGTGGGTACATGGACCAGCTTCTCCCAGGATCTGGGGCCAGTGGGGTCCTGGACCCATTTATCCTGAATCATCTGCGACACAAATGTCTGCAGCCCTGCTGGGGCCTCTCCCTGTGTGCTTGCAGAAATAGGGCCTTCCTGCCTGCTGCCCCACCCCAGCCCCGTTTCGGGACAGGAAGATAAGGTGGTGGAGCACTGACACAGGTGAGTCTTCCACACGCAGGTGTCAGGGGCGGCGGGGGCTGTTTTCAGGAAAGCCTGCCTGTTCTTTAGGTCTCTGGGGAAAAAAAACATGCTTTCCTCCCTTTGTTGGATACACATGTGTTGAGTGCCTGGTGTGTGCCAGACAGTGTAGAGGACCCTGGGAATCCCACAGAAATCAGGACAGACAGAGGCCCTGCCCTCACTGAGGTTCTCAGCCTCACCTATGCTCACCTGGAAGGATTTAGAAATCCCTGGGCAGTCTGATGGAATCAGAACCTCTGGGTGATATGCAGCTGAGGCGCTCCATTTTTTTTTTTTTTTTTTTTGAGATGGGGTCTCATTCTGGTGCCCAGGCTGGAATGCAGTGGCTTGATCATGGCTCACTGCAGCCTCGACCCCCGAGGCCTAAGCAATCCTCCCACCTCAGCCTCCAGGGTAGCCAGGACTACAAGTGTGCACCATCATACCCAGCTAATTTTTTGTTTTGCTTTTTGTAGAAACAGGGTCTCCCTTTGTTGCCCAGGCTGGTCACAAACTCCTGGCCTCAAGTGGTCCTCCCGCTTCGGCCTCCCGAAGTGCCAGGATTACAGGCATGAGCCACCGCACCCTGCCCCGGTGTGGGGCTTTCCGAAGCTCCGCAGGTGACTCCAGCACAGGGTTGAGCCCCACCTGCCTAGTGGTGAGGGAGGAGGGGAAAGGGGCAGTCACAGTCCTGGGAGACCCAGGGTTCCAGGACCACCACAGATCTGTCCACTCTTGGGGAGGCCATGAAATGATTCCTGAAGGAGTCAAAGGACACATTTTAATAATAAATGCTGGCATAGTCACAGGAGGTCGTCAAAACAGAGGGGGAAGCAGGCAGTCAGACCTACAGGCATCCTACAAACTTCCCTTGTATTCTTCCCCTTCTATGTCATCAAGCCGCTCCTCTGCAGCTCCTCTGAGAGCCTCCTGGTTCGCCCTTCAGCAGAGCAAGCACTCCGGACGCCAGGACCGTGGGGCTTGCCTTCCACAATGCTGGAGCGCCATCTGGTGGCCACGGGCAACCTCAGCCTCCTGCCGCCCGCAAGCTGGGTCCCCACCCCGGCTGAGGGCCCGCTGCGGGGGCACAGGGCGCGAGGACACAGCCTAGCACACTAGGGACTCACACTTCATGTTCTTCATCGGCAAGGGAATCATCGCGTGAAAAATGGTCCAACTTTACTCGCAGCCGGAAACTGCAGTGTGGATAGCAATAATACAGTGTCAGATTTCACCTGTGAAATTGTCTAAGAAACGAGGACAGTCCTCGCGAAAATCAAGGGAACAGGCCCTCTAGGAAGCTATTGTTTTCTTTATTTATCCTTTAGCTTTTCTTGGAGATCATGACAGAGGTGTGTGAAATCTGCTCTGCATTTGTCTAGTAAAGATCACGTGAGGAGTTCATTTCAGGTCACACTAGCACCAGGAAAGCCAGACTCCAAGGAAGATCCAAGATGTTTCCTTGTCCCCAAGATTGAAAGCTGGATCTGCCAGGGGCCCAGTGGACCCAGGTGGCTCCTCCAGTTAGGAAAACGAAGCCAGGGATCATGAGGGAGGAGCTATTATGAAGCTGTGGTTGGAACACTGAGAAACCCAGGCTGGCAAGGAGGGGCTGTGCCCACCCTAGGCCCAATGGATGAGCAGAGGGAGCAGCCACCAGAACCTGCAGGAGGAAGAGGCCTCTTGGACAGGGGCAGTGGCTTCTGGCCAGGACACAGCCAGCCTCACCAGACAGGCCCTAGGCAATGGCTGGCCTCTGTGTCCCCTCCCCCATCCCCTGCCAGGGCTCCCCATGGTCTGGGCCCCACTGAAGGTCAAGGCCTGGCATCTCTACACAAAGTGAGTGAGAGCAGAAGGAAGCCCGGAGGAGCCGGGGAAGCCTCAGGCACAGAGCTCTTTCCCCTTCTGTGTGATGAGAAGCTCAGCGTCAAACGGGAGGTATTTTGCTTTCTCCTTCCTTGATCCTTACAGCAGCCAATACAGTGATGCCACTTTTTCCAGGTGGATAACAATGTCTTATTGTTTAAAACTTACACCTGCTTATCATAGGGACAAGGATGAAAACCAATATCACCTTCCAAAAAGTGGCCACCTTTGAAATAACCTTGCCACATCAGGTGTCCAGATAGAGACCCAACAGGAAAACATCATGTGGGGTTTACCTCCCAAAACAGGGTCTGGGTTGCTGCAGTTTGGATATTTGTCCCTTCCAAACCTCATGTTGAAATCTGACCCCCAGGGCCAGACGCAGTGGCTCATGCCCGTCATCCCTGCACTTTGGGAGGTGGAGGCGGGTGGATCACCCGAGGCCAGGAGTTGGAGACCAGCCTGGCCAACATGATGAAACCCCGTCTCTACTAAAAAATACAAAAATTAGATGGGTGTGGTGGCACGTGCCTGTAGTCCCAGCTACTCAGGAGGCTGAGGCAAGAGAATCGCTCGAACCTGGGAGGCAGAAATTGCAGTGAGCTGGGATCGTGCCAGTGCACTCCAGCCTGGATGACAGAGCGACACTCCATCTCCAAAAAAAAAAAAAAAAAAGAAGAAGAACTCTGACCCCCAGTGTGAGAGGTGGGGCCTAATGGAAGGTGTTGGGTCATGGGGGTGGGTCCCTCATAAATGGCTTGGTGCCATCCTAGCAGTAATGATGGAGCTCTTACTCCAAAGCTCCTGTAAGAGTTCCCCCAGAGCTGGTTGTTAAAAAGAGTGGGACCTCCCTGCTACCCTCTCCTACTTCCTCTCCCCGTGTGACCTCTGCACGCCAGCTCTCACTGCCTTCTGCCATGAGTGGAAGCAGCCTGGGGCCTCACCAGAAACAGATACCGGCCCTGTGCATCCTGTGCAGCCTGCAGAACCATGAGCCCAATAAACCTCTTTCTTCATAAATCACCCAGCCTCAGGTATCCCTTTATAGCAACACAAAAACAGACTCAGACATGGGTTTCTCTGTAAAGGGAGGCAGGCAGGATGAAGAAGTGTGGCCATCTGGGAATGCATCCCATCCAGAGAGCTGGGCCAGGCCCACGATAGTCACAGCCTGCCGCATGGGCCTGCTTCCTTATTTACTTAACAGGAGCCCTCCCAGAATCTATACAGAAATACCTACAACCATCCACCAGGCGCAGTGCCCTGCCTTGTCCTCAAAAACTTCTAAAAGCCAGATTGTCAAAAGCAATTTAATTTTTGGAGGAAAAACTGCATACGCAGTACAACTTATATCTCAGGCGAAATGTCTCAGAATCTTCCTGCTCATTGGACAGAAACTCAGCTTCACCACATTGCCAGCCGGGAGACCATGGAAGGGAACTGGCGCCACTGCCCCCAGCTGCCCTTCCCAGGGGCAACTTCACCAAGATGTGGAAATCCTGGGCCCACCCCACAGTCAGTCATCGCTCCATTTCTTCCTGGCACCACCACCTCCATCTGGCCTGCTCCCCAACCCCCCAGAAGCAGGTGGGCCCAGGCTCCAGGCCAGTGCCCCCATCAAGATCAGACGTAAGGCATCTTCCCACCGTCGCTGTGCTGCGGGGACTTTTCCAATCCTTCCTTCCTCTCTGTCCAGAGGCTGCCAGGCTGAGGGGGCCACCGTCCAGGTGGAACAGGCACAGGCATCGGGGAATCAGATGGTATCAGTGGGGATAGGGCACAGCACTTTCCTGGGAGCCATGTGACGCCAGATCTTCCTCTGGCAGTTCCCACTGGCTGTGGGAAGTGGTTTTCATAAAGGGGGCCAACTTCCAGGAACATCTAGGGCTCGGGAGCAACCCAGCATTGACAGTGAATCAGAATCCACCTAGAGCTGGCCATGGCCCAGGCAGGGGGTGTCTTCCCCACAGCCCCCAGGAGTGGCTGCACCTAGTGGGCGCAGCATTTGGCCTGCCTCGCGGGCCCCTTGTTCAGAGCCACAGCTGCATCCCCCCGTAGAGCCTGGCCCTCCTCGTCGCTTCTCTGCAGTAGCTCTTGGGCTGTGAACAGCAAGAGGAGGGGGCTGGCTAGGGAGGGAAGTCGCCCAGCCCAGCACAGCCCTGCAGACCAGCCACCCCAGGACCCGCCCCTCCTGTGTTTACCCTGAACCATAGAACAAGGGCCTCCTGCCCCTCCTGGTCACCATCCAGTCCCTAAAGACATTCTATGGGATACCACGTCACCAGCAACAGGGACCCAGGGAAGTTGGTCAGGGACAAGCACCTCCCCCTTGTCTGGCCCACGGGGACGTGACTCACCCACTGTATTGAACACCTCCGACACCTGGTGGTTCAGTTTGGCCGAAGTTTCCATGAACAGCAACTTCTGGCTGTCGGCAAACTCCTTCCCTTCCTGAAGGAAACAGCCACAAAATCCAGCGCTGTTTATAAGAGAGTTTCCTAAGGACACCTGGTTCACTTCCAACAGTAAGATCCGAGAAAGCTGCAGCCGTGGAGCCCGCACTCCTCCACGTTTCGTGTCCAAGTTGTGTTTCTTGGCACTCCTGAGCAGCCAGGACCAGGGAGGGGCGGGGTGTGCTCCCTGGAAGAGGCTCTTCCTCTAGCTGGCGGGGTGCGGCCTTCCTCCTCCTGCAGGGCCTGGAAAGCCAAGTCCCCACCCCCAGGTTCCCCTCCCATCATGCCTGTTGGCACCTGTGGGCTTTGATGCTGGGCAAAGAACCAACTGAGAACCCAGGAAACATGAGGCAGAGGGAGGCCCCTGGACGGCACCCACCTGGGCCCTTCTTCTGGGGAACCCTCATTTTCCAACACAGCTCTCCTCTGGGGAGAAATGGATGTCCCAGAGCAAAGGCAAACCAGAAAACAGCAGGCTTGCAACGGGTGACCAGGAGAAAGCATTCATGGGAAGGCCACAGCCTTGCCCAGGAGTCGAGGGTGGCCGAGGAATGGGGGCCTTCCTGTGCAGGCCCCTCCCCTGGCCTCCGGGACTCTCCCAGGAAGAGGAGCCTGTGGTGGATCCCAGAGGGCACAGCTCAGGCTCCTGACTGTCCAGCCAGACATGGAGCTGGCAGCAGGTGTGGCCGGCCATGCCCCCAGCTCTCGCACCATCCACCATCGTGAGTGCACTCCTCCTGTCCTGGCCCGGAGATCCCTCGGCCGGCCCTGCATTTGTCCCCACTGAGCTCCCCAGCCAGCTCCCCAGACAGACGCTCCAAACCCACCCTGGCCGCCCACTGCCCCTCCAAGCCTTGAGTAACCTCGTGCCCATGTTTTTGTGCCTGCCCAAGCACACAGCCCATGTAGTCACTCTCAGAGGGCACAGCTCTGCTGCCAGGATCCTCTCTCCCCCACCCCAACTTGCAACGAGGGCTCAGACTGACGCTGTCTCCCTTTGCTCCCCTTGCTCTCCCCCGAGATTCTCCAAAATCTTCACCCCACTTCTCCATCTCTCCACAGCCTCCATTGAAGCTGGGGCCTTTTCTCTTTGGGAGGCGCGCCCGTCGGTCTAAGCCCTGAGTTGGGTCTTCCCCTGCGCCAGCCTCTAGTGTGTGTGGGGTCTCCCCATCAGCCACTTGTCTGCAGCTGTTTACACGGTCTTCGTCCTAAATGTGGTGGGGGAGGTGGGATGCCGTGGAAGAGAAACAACAGCGACACCTGGGTGACCGCTGCCTCTGCCTGTAAGGAGGACTGACAAAACTCGAGTGAAGGAGGCTACATTTGCACAGAAGCCCCTTCTGGGAACAGAGTAGGGAAGGGAGCCCTGCTGAGGAACTAGATCACTTTTCTCGTTCAAGCCGAGCCCACCCTGCAGCTGCCGCCCTGCCCTTCCCTCTGCCGGCCACTGGGCTTGAACTGCCATTGCACTGGGCCTGAGTTTTTCAGGAAAGACCGGAAATCTTTGACTAAAAGAGAAACTCAGGTGGAAAGCTGTGTGTGTGTGCGTGTGTGTGTGTTCACTTGTAAATGTGTGTGGGTGCAAGTGAGAGTGAATGTGGGGGGTGTGCATGTGTGTAAATGCATGTGGGCGTGTAGAGGTGTGTGTGCACATGTGTAAGTGTGTGCGTGTGTGGGTGTGCGTGTATGAAAGTGTGAGTGCCAAGGTCTTGACACAGGCGGGCAGGGCTCTCTCCTGCTGTGGAAGAGCAGAGCAGGGTCTCCTGGGCGGTACCTGGAAGGTCACCTCCCGCTCCTGGCTGAGGTCCGTCTTGTTGCCCACCAGCATCACCAGGACTTCTCCTGGGTGCAGCTCCTCCTCCAGGTCCTTCAGCCACTGCTGAGCCTTGAGGAAGGAATCCTAGAAAAGAAGAAAAAAAGTAACATCAAACAAAACTTATAGGTGGTCATTAGCTATTCCGGGAGGGGGAAGCCAGTGTTGCTGATCACGTTGTGTAAAATGTCACAGAATCCAACTGGCCATGGGCGCACCTGCAGGGCTGCTCCGTTCCTCTGAGGAGGGCACGTTCCTGTCCTGGGTGACCTGTGCGGCCAGGCAGAAAACTGCTAGGACACACATCAGATCCTTCACCCTGACCAGGCCCAGGAGACTGCCAGCCACGGGGTATTTCAGGTCAGGCCTCGAGCTCCTGAATCTCCCACGCCTAGCTGTCCTCAAAGGACCACTTTGTGCAAGAGAGTCTGGGGGACTGGCCACCACCCCAAACCCTGACCCTAATGCAGCACCAGGAACTACTGAGTGGCAGATGGCAACGGCATGTTCTTTGTGGACCACGGAGGAGCAGAACCCCACTGTGGAGGAGGATGGGGGGTTGTCAGGAGGCCATCCTGGAGGAGGTGACTGTTGCTCACTAATGGAGTCTCTGTTCCTTGTGATTACGCCATGGCATCATTGCACTGGAGAAACCAGAAGGCAGGTGCTTGGGAAGGAGGGTGGGACGTGCCTCAAGGCGGGCCCTACCTTCCTGGTGATGTCGTACACCAGAAGCGCAGCGTTGGCACCCCTGAAGTAGAGGTGGCAGACGCTGTGGTACTTCTCCTGGCCAGCTGTGTCCCAGATCTCAAGCTTCAGAGAGGTGGCACCCACATCCACCACCTTTGTGAAGAACGCACCTGAAACAGGGAGGCCCAGAGGGCTTACTCAGAGGACGAGGTTGCCACATGCGGCTCAGGTGGGACCACGGCAAGCCGCAGGCACAGCAATGGGCTCAGAGGGACAGCTGGCCATGCATCTCCCACGCCCGCATGGCCAGGAGGTTGAGCAAACAGTTCTTCTGGGAGATGGAGCCTTCCACATCGAGCAAAGTGTTGGGAGTGATTGCTATGGGGCCTTTGGAGAGGCTTTGGATGGGAAGATAAATCTCTCCAGGACCTAATACAAAAGCTCTGGGCTACATATGCCGTGAAAGGGATCTCCACTTACTGGGAGTCCGATGCATCCCTGCCAGCTTCCAGCGATGCAGCTGGGCTCTGGGAACCCCTAGAGCCCTGGGCACCCCCGGCCTACCGGCCCCTCGCCTGCCAGACCCATCTTGCACAGAGGCAGTCACGATTGCATAGGCTCCTCCAAGGCCTTCCTCGCCTCCTGCTAACCTCCCCACTTTCCCAATGCTGCTCCCCACCAACACCCTTCTCTACTGTCCCCTCTGCATGGTATCCTTCCTCTTGTTCACCTAGAAAACTCTTAGGCATCCTCTGAGATCTTCCAGCGGCAACCCCGGAAGGGCTGCTGGGCCCCCTGCCTCCACGGAAGCCTCCCTGCACCCCATACACACCCAGAGGCAAGGCCTCCTGCGTTCTCCACCTGTCTCCCCCAGGAAGGCAGGGGCTTTGTCTTACTCAGCCATGTACCTGCTTAACACACACACACACACACACACACACACACACACACACACAACTACTCCCAAGCACTTTAACATATTGGGCAATGCACTGTTCATTTAAAGATTTTCTACCCTTTGCTTTCCAAAGTTATATGATTTTAAAATGGTTATTTTATAGATCTCCAAAATGTTTTGCCCCATTGTGTGTGGCTTGTCAGGAATGTGTTATACACAGAACTGGAGAGGACGGGGCGGGGGAAGGCAAGGTGTCTGGGGCATGGAGGAGCCACCAGCACCGACAGGCTCCTGTCAAAGCTGCTACCCTGCCTAGACCCTGGATTGGGTTTGGGGTCTGTTGGGGAGATTCTGGCAAATGGAGCCACATGTTTAAAATAAAAACTTACACTCCAAGGACAGTGCATGAGTGTCCTGCGGCTGCCAAAACAAAGTCCCATGAGCCGAGTGGCTCAAATTAGCAAATTTCTTCCTGCAGTTCTGGAGGCCAGAGGTCCAAAACTGATGCGTTGGCTGGGTTGGTTCCTTCCGGAGACTGAAGGAGAATCCATTCCAGGCCTCCTCCAGCTTCAGGGGCTGCCGGCAACCCTGGTGTTCCTGGTGGCTGCATCACCCCCATCTCTGGCTCTGTCTTCACGTGGCTGCCCCTCTGTGGCTGTGTCCTCTCCCCTTCTTATAAGGATGTCAGTCACTGGACTTAAGGGCTATCCTAAGTTCCATCTTGTTGGCCTTAATTAATTACATCTGCAAAGACCCTCTCTCCAAATAAGGTCGCACTCACAGGTTCCGGGGGTTAGGACTTAATCGCCTCTTTACGGGTGGGAGAAACTCAATTGCACCCACTAGACAGAGAACAGGAGGCTGGACAGAGAACAGGAGGCTGGACAGAGCTTTCCAGCATGGTGCAGCAAGACCGTGCTTCTCTATCATGAGACAACCTCTTCCTAAACGGAAACCACTGCCTGGGCTCTTCTGCCCGCATGTCCTGCAGTTCCCTGCAGGTCCAGGAACTTGAAGTCAGACCAACTCCCCAGGTCAAACAAAGCTGCAGTCTCCATCCAGACAGTAGGACCAGTGATTTCCAGCTTAGATGGGGCAACTGTCGGGACTGAACCGGCTATAAACCTCTGAACACACCAGATGCTCCACTGGATTGACAATGGTGCCAGAATGAAGACCGTGCCCAGAATATAAATGTACACCCATCAGCTGATCTGATGGCAGCTTGCTTAAACTTTCTAAGTCTCAGCTTCCTCATCCATAGCAGGAGCTAATGGTGCCCTTCACCCAGGGTGGCTGTTAAATCGCCTGAGCAAGGAGAGAAAGGGCATATGAATTTTGCTTCTTCTTTCTGTCCTCTTTGCTCTTTGTGGACTTGTTGTCTTAAAACGTGGGCCTTTTATCCACATCTTTCTGTTTCCCATCACTTCAAATCACATTTCTCAGTTTGAATTTGGTTTTATCTTAAAAGCTGGCGCAGGGTGAAACGTGAGCATAAAATTCAGGTTTTCTTCCTCCATTTACCAATCTTAGCCTCTCATATTTTCCTTTTCCATGTTGAAAATGATGGCTGGAGGCTGGGCACAGTGGCTCATGCCTGTAATCCCAGCACTTTGGGAGGCCGAGGTGGGTAGATCACTTGAGGTCGAGTTCAAGACCAGCCTGACCAACATGGTGAAACCCTGTTTCTACTAAAAATACAAAAATTAGCCAGGTGTGCTGGCATGCCCCTGTAGTCCCAGCTACTCGGGAGGCCGAAGCAGGAGAATCGCTTGAACCCAGGAGGTGGAGGTTGCAGCGAGCCAAGATTGTGCCACTGCACTCCAGCCTGGGCAGCAGGAGACAGAGTGAGACTCTGCCTCAAAAAAAGAAGGGGGGGGAGGAGGGGAGGGAAAATGATGGCTGGTGGTTGAATTTACACTAATGTAAAATTCCAGCAAATTTCCAAGGAGGGCATGGGTTTTAGTCCAAGCAATGATAATGCATAATAATAGTCAATGTTTGGCTATTTACAGAACATAGACCCTTCCCTTCCCTGCAGAGATGTAAGGCCCTCAGGTGGGCCCCTGGACAGGTATTTGAGGCAACCTAGTCTCGTGCACTCCGTGGCTCTGACCCGGAAGACAGCATGCATTTATTATCATAACCTTTTTCAGAAACCCACTAACCACATTTCTATATCTCCATGGCTAAGGCCAAAATGTAATTAAAAAATAAAGTTTTGGCTGGGTACAGTGGCTCATGCCTGTAACCCCAGCATTTTGGGAGGCCAAGGAGGGAAGATCAATCTAGCTCAGGAGCTTAAGATCAGTGAAACCTTGTCTCTACAAAAAACACAAAAATTAGCTGGGTGTGGTGGCGCACACCTGTGGTCCCAGCTACTGAAGAGGTGGAGGTGGAGGCTTGCTTGAGCCCAGGAGGTTGAGGCTACAGTGAGCTGTGATCATACCACCACACTCCAGCCTGGGCAACAGAATGAGACGCCATCTTAAAAAAAAAAAAAAAAGTTCCTCTACTAAATTTTATTTTTTTAATTTAATTTTATTTTTTTAGTAGAGACACGGTTTCACCATGTTGCCCAGGCTGGTATCCAACTCCTGAGCTCGGGCAATCTGCCCGCCTCGGCCTCCCAAATTGCTGAGATTATAGGCATGAGCCACTGCGCCCAGCCTCTCTACTAAATGTTAATATCATTTAAGTGGTTTTGCTTTTTTTACCTTTTAATTTAAATAAACAGCCAATTCTGCTCATTGAAGCCCTCTCTGTAGCACTTGGCTGTTTTGTAAAAATAGTGAGCTGATGACAAATTGAAAGGAACATGAAATGGAAACTTATTTTCTGGGGGCTCTAGGACGTCAGCCACGTTCTCGATTTAGAAGGGAAGTCAGCTGGTGCCAAGTTGAATGTGCTCAGTACCTGTTTGTCACCGTCCCCTTCCTGGAAAAAGCCCAACAAGTCTGGGGTTAGTTGTGGCTTCAGCTGGCAAATGTGCACACAAGCACTAGATGTCACCATCCTTCCAAAAGATGTCATGCAGAAAGTCAGCAGCGCACAGAATCTCCCCTGCTGTGGCCTGTTAGGACAGTGGGGGCAGTCCATGGGGAGGTCCAGCCCCCGTCCCTGACACAGCAGGGGCTCCTAAAGCTGCCACCTCCGCAGCAGGCCCTGGCGGGGGTGGGCGGGAGGCTGCGCTCACTTGGACTCCCGTCCCTCGGACTCCCGTCCGTTCTGCCTCTGCTCCTGCCTGCTCTTCTGGCTCCAGCCAGCACGTTGGCTTTCCAGCTTCAGGGCTCGAGTCCATGTCCCTTTCTGGCTCTGCTTCCTGCTTCCTCTGGATGGACGGTGTCTTGCCAGGAGCTGAGCCCACCACCTGTGTCATGTCCTGCTGTGGGCCCCACCCCACACACCTGTCGACTGAACCAGACCCTCGGGAGGGCCCCAGGGACCTGAGTCAATCCTCCTGAAGGCTGACCCCTCGGACAGGGCCGGCCTTGGTGACCTTAAGCCACCCAGGGTGACAGCAACCTTTCATGGAGAGGCCACTCCAGGAAGGTGTTTACACTCCCGTTTCACAGGGAAAAAATCCAGACGGAGGGAAGGAGTGGCATGCCTGTGGCCATCCATCCTGTCCCTCCCTCGGGGATCCTGCAGCCAAGCACTGGGCGTGCTGCCTCCTGCATTTCCAGGCCGCCTGTGAGGACAGCACTCCCATTCTCCTCTGAGGCTCTGCTCCTGGCCTACCCTCTCCCCTGGACAGGAGCCCAGTGTTCTTGATAAAAGCTGAAGCCACACGTGACAAAAGAAGCAGGAGTGTCTGCTCTCAAAGGGTTTTTGTGCAACACAGATCACTCTTCCCCCAAAGCACGTAAGTTAAAGGAGTGAGCACATCCCATCTCCTCATCCTAAAAGTGGCAATATCCACATTTATAATATGTGATCATGTAATTATTATAATGAGGATTAATAATTAACATACACTTTGGGAGGCCAAGGGTGGTGGATTCCTTGAGGTCAGGAGTTCAAAACCAGCCTGGCCAACATGGTGAAACTCCGTCTCTACTAAAAATACAAAAATCAGCATGGTGGTATGCACCTGTAATCCCAGCCACTCGGGAGGCTGAGGCAGGAGAATCACTTGAACCCAGGAGGCAGAGGATGCAATGAGCCAAGGTTGCACCACTGCACTCCGCCTGGGCAACAGAGCGAGACTCCGTCTCAAAAAAAATAATAATAAAATAATTAACATAGGCCGGGTGCAGTGGTGCACACCATGGCAAAACCCTATCTCTACAAAAAATATAAAAATTAGCTGGCTATGGTGGTGCGCACCTGTGATAGCAGCTACTCTGGAGGCTAAGGTGGGAGGATGGCTTGAGCCCAGGAGGCAGAGGTTCCAGTGAGACACTGCACTCCAGCCTGGGTGACAGAGCAAGACTCTGTCTCAAAAAAATTAACATAATGATAATAATAAATTGCATGACATCTATCCATAGTTACAGTAATATCTACCTCTAAAAGCTGTAATATTATCCCAAGGTGTGACGCAGACACTTGGATGGAAGCAGAGGAGACCATGGTTCCCACAGGGGACTCAGCCAACAGCAAAGGAAGGAGCTTCCACATTTCTAACCCCGCAACCCGGCACAGCTGCCCACACACAGAGGTGCTCAATACAAAAGTGCGGACCCCAGGGTTGGAGGCTGATGGGATGAAGGCAGCTCATGAGCCACAGGCTAACCTAATCTGGCTGTTCTCCTCTCCCCGTTGTGCCACGGGCCACAGCCCACAGCCTCCCACCCCGGCCCCATCACAGAGACCCAGAGTGGGAACAAAGACTCCACCCACCAGTTCTGGGTGAAAGGCAGAGCCCAGCCTGTAGAACGGTCCTTCCCCTCAGAGAGAGGAGATAAACCCAGGCCTGGAAGAGAGGGGCTTGGAGGAAGGGAGGCCCTGGCTTTCATCTGAAAGCTGCCGGCAGGGGGATGGCCCCTGCGGGGCCAGACAGAGGACCAGGAGTAGAGTGAGACATACAGGCCTGCCCCCCAAGCAAAGACCCCCAACCTGGCCTAGGACTCCCCAGCAAGCCCAGCTTTGTTCACCCCCCGACCCTGGTAGGCCCCCTGAAGAGAGGGCAGGCAATTGGTACAGGCAGGGCAGGTGTGAGGGGGATGCTCGGACCCTGGCTTGCTGGAATGAAAGGAACTAGGGCCTCGCGCCTCATTGTCGGGGCCTCCATCCCCCTCACCTGTAAAATACAGAATGCCCGGCACCACCCTGAAGCTTCACAGACCCCACACATCACCCCCCCACCCCCACCCAAGAAAGGTGGGTGCTCTGTGGGTACAGCTCTCTGTGGGCTGAGCACGTCCAAGCACGTCTCAATGAATCCAAAGCACCCTCCTACGCTCCAACCGGGCATCTCGGAATCTCTCAGCCCTGCTTGCGCTCACCTAGTGAGTGCCTTTGGGCGCTGGCTCCTGCAGGCTCTGCTAGGGTGGCGTCATGGAGTCCTTCTGTAAAAGGCCCTGTAGCAGATACTTTAGGTTTTACTGGCCATGGGGTCACTGCTGCAACCACTCAACCCTGCTGCCATTTTAGAGTGAATAGAGGAGGAGGAACAGCAAGAATATCATTTACAGAGGGTAAGTACCTGAAGAGGTAGAGTTGTGTCTCCACAGAACCTTACTCACAAAACAACAAGAACAGCCAGAGAGCCACAGTGTGCAGACCTCCGTGTCAGAGTGAGATCCATCCCCAGTCCAGCTCACCTGGCCTGACACCTGCTGCCTCTCTCTGCATCTTGAATACCAGCCACCCAGGTACAAAGCTCTCAACATCCAGGCCTGGTGAGGCCCCCATCTGTGTGCTCTATTCTCAACTGAGGCCACCCTCAGGCCAGCCTTGGCATTTTGATGTATTTTTAAAGGAAGCCAAGTCCAATATCAGGACTTGGGGGGTGAGGGGTACAGATCTCCTTGCTAATGGAGAAGAGGATTGTACTGCACACCACAGGGTAACCTTGACTCTCTCCCCAGGGTCCCCCTCTGCAGACAGCCTCTCACCATCACCCTGGCCCTTCTCACCACTAGCTCTGGGAGTCGGGCCAGGCAGACCCCTGCCAATTCCCCTGTATCCCCTGGGGATCCTTCAGGAACCACCCCCCTGAGAAAATGGAAGGGCTCCCTAAATAGCTAACGTCATGTGCCACATCTTGCAATTGTGTTTCTGTGTTTGGTGCATCTGTTTAGCTGGTTATAGAATCCATCCCACCTAACGCAGGCCTGCAAAAGGGTTCATGCTCAACAGATGCCTGTTAGATGAGTAAATGAATGAGTGAATTTGGAGATGTGCAGCTTATCCATGTCAGAGTCCGAATTTGAAACCGAGGCTCTGATTCTGCATGTGTTCCCCCAGGGGGAATGGGCATAAAGAACACGCTGGCTTTCCCCATTTCAGGTGAAAACTGGGTTTCACTGCCTAGGCAGACTGTGCCCACAGCAGGATGGGAAGGAGGCCAGCAGCCTGCAGATGCCCCATACAGTTACTCCTGAGCTTCATGACAGGTTAGCCTTTTTAAGAAACACAGAGAGAAGGTCTCCCTCCCCGCCCACCCCCAAAATGATCTTCCCACCCCCAATCCAGGCCAAGCTGGTAAACCAAGTCCAGGCAGGAAGGAAGATGCTGTTGGGGTAAATAAAGCAAGGGAGCAGTGTTAGCAGGAGGGCGGCCTGGGTGGTGGGAGAGGACAGCTGGTTTAGGCCGCTGAGTGGCCAGGGCCCAGGAGGCTTCTTCCGGGCTGTCCCTTCCACCAGCATAATCCCTCGCACCCAGCCCGACCCTTTGGGGCCAGAGGTCCTACCCCAGAATCTCCACCCCCTGCAGACTCCAGCTGAGCTGAAACCTGACCCAGAGCCAAGGGCATTTCCTGTCTTTGTAGATTCTGTGGCTGCCCTCTTGGACCTCACCCCCTCCCCTCACGCACTGGACACAGGCAGCTCAAGGTCCCAGCATGGGGATTCCTAGGTGGGCCTCGTCCCCATCTGCCCCAGGTGTGGGTCAGCAGCCCAGACTTCTGCACTGAAGACCAACAAAGGGGTGCTCTGCCCTCACTTACAGCCCACCGTAGGCAGGATACTCTTGAAGTCGTTCTTCACGTACCGAAGAGCCAAGCTGGACTTACCCACGGAGCCACTTCCCAGGAGAACCAGCTTGAACACACGGGGCTGGCTGGGGGCAGCCCTGGGCTGGGGGGTCCTGTGTGCCTGTGCCATGCCCTGCAAAGAATCACAACCGTCTGAAGCAAGTGGAACATCGGAGCCACATCATCTCAGCAAGCTCAACCCCGGGGCTGCTTCTCGGTCAGGAGCAGATGGCCCAATACAGAGCTCCCAACTCAGAGGCCACCTAGGTCCACACTCCTGCTTCCCTCTGCACCCCATGCCCCATCTCCCCATCTGCAATTTTTAGGTCCATTTTTAGGTCTGTGGTAAGGAACAAAAGGAGCTTTGCTTGGAAAGCTCCGGGCACGGGTCATTGCAGACCCTGAAAAGCAATGATTACATGTGACGGTCTCAGGGCTTGTTGTCCTCCTTCCATTACTTTCAGTTTTTACAAATCTATTACTTGTCCCCAAAGTATCTAATGCAAGGAGAGGTAAAAAGCATCTGAGCATTTCTTGGGTGGTTGTTCATGGATTAAAGTTGGTGTTTCAGAAAAAATCTACCTAAAAAAAGGTTGGTGTCTCAATGATCTCAAAACATCGTAGACACATTCCCATTGTGTCTAAAGCCTCAGAACCCACAGTAATATGCCCCAGAGAAAACCAACTTCGTGATCAAAATAAACGTGGGCGACCCCTGCGTATTTTTCATCATAGAAACTTTCATGTACACACCACAATAGAGAGAACGGTCCGATGGGCCCATAGACCCACCTCCCGCTTCCCCAGTAATCAGCTCAGCCATTTGTATCACTCACACTCCCAAACCTCCCCCTGCAGGGTACTGTGTAAAGCAGATCCCAGGCATTCTATCATCTGCAAATCTCAGTAGAGATACAGGTATTTTTTTTTCTTTGCAGTTCATGTGTTGAAGAAATCAGGTTGTCCTGTAGATTTCCAGTACGGATGTTGCTGATTACACCCCTGTGTTATTGAATAGAGTCCTATGAACTCTGTATTTTTGATACCGCGGTGGTTCAGGACATAAACCTGATTAGATACAGGCTATTTTTTGGCAAGATTGCCATGAGAGTGTGCGTGCACTTCCCACAGAAGGCAAATAATGTCCAGTTGTCTTTCTGTGATGTTGGCAGTCACTGAAGACTATTACTTCGACCCACTATTTTACTAAGGGGTTGCAAAATGGTGACATTCTAATAATGTTCTAATGTTATCACTTTGTGTTTATTATCTAGGAAGAGAAGCTCCCCACAAAAAATATGAAACCCATCAGGGGCAGCTGGTCCTGGGAACAGAGTCTCTTCTCCCTTCCTCACCACAGTGGGCAAGAGGGAGGCTCCCTAAAGGGGGAAGGGGAGGAATTTTGAAAAGGAAAGAAGAAAAGCAGGAGTGGTTGGAAGCAGCCCACATGCCCTCACTGCCGCCAGTAAGGAGCCATGGCCACAGACTGGTCTGGTCTGCCCTGCAGGGATAAGAGGGGAGGGAATCAAGTTTGGAATCAATCTCAAAACAAATAGGACTGAGTCCTAGATACCAAGAAGATCGTTCTAGAGAGAAAGTGACTGAGAGTCATGGAGTCCAGAACAGGAGGGTTTAGGGCTCTCTACCCATCAGAGAAGAAGGGTTCCACATAGTAGACTCGGGTGGTTATCCCAAACATGCCTGGAACCCCATCTTAGCTGGAAATACTCAAGTTTCACCATCAAGTATGATGCTGGCTTCAGAGACGGATAAAAAACATAACATTAAGTTTTCCATCTGTGTTTCTTAAAAAAAAAAAAAAGAAAAGAAAAAGAAAGAAAAAGAAAAAGAAAAGCTCTCCAGGTGATCTCAGTATGCAGCCAAGACTAGGAATCACTGCTAGAATTCTGTTTTCCTTGGAGCTGGGAACAGTGTCTAGCACATAGTAAGTACTAATTCCTAAGAAATGAATGAATGAGGCCAAGCATGAAGAGCACATAACACAGCACCTGTGCTTTGAAATATCCACCTGGATTGAGGATGATTTCTTGGGGCCAGCTATGGTTTGCATGGATCTTCCAAAAAGCAGATTTGGAAACTTAGTCCCCAGTGCAACCATGCTAGGAGGTGGGGCCTAATGGAAGGGGGTTGGGTCATGAGGACTCTGCCCTCGTTAATCCACGCCCAGCACAGATTAACACTGCTGCGTCTTGCACATCCACAAGCCTGCGTGTTCTCTTGCCCTTTCACCTTCCACTGTGGGATGACACAGCAAGAAGGCCCTCAACAGATGTAGACCCCTTGGCCTTGGACTTCCCAGCCTCCAGAACCATAAGAAACAAATCTTTGTTCTTTATACATTTCTGTCCCAGGAATTCTGTTAAAGCAGCACAAACAGACTAAGACAGCATCTGAGGCACAGTGAGAGTGCCTGGGGTGGGAACTTAGTCCAGCAGATGATCCGCTCAAGTCAGCTGGGGACAGGCTCTCAGAGGTCAAGGCACGGCCCAGACTTTCCACCCTTTGGTGGAAGGGGAAAGGGTAGCGGGGGCGGGGTGAGGGAAAAAAGACTACTCAATGGCTACAGTGTACACCGCTCTGGTATGGGGTGCAACAAAATCTCAGAAATCACTAAAGAACATATCCCTGTAACCAAATACCACCTGTTCCCCTAAAATCTATTGAAATAAAAAATAATTTAAAATAAACAGAGATACCCCTTCAAGTTCTCTTTGCTATTTATTTGCATAGGTTAATAAAACCTTTCCTAAGTCAAAAAATCTGTAGCCCGAAACATGTCTGAATTAACTGAAACAGGTGGACTCTGAAGGAATGCACCATGACCACTGGGATGCCGGCGTCTCATTCCTTTGACAATGATATGTCTCTTTGTTTAATGAAGTTATTTTATTTTTGGGCTGGGCGCAGTGGCTCATGCCTGTAAAGGCACTTTGAGAAGACGAGGCAGGTGGATCACTTGAGGTCAGGAGTTGGAGACCAGCCTGTCCAACACGGTGAAACCCCATCTCTACTAAAAATACAAAAATTAGCTGGGTGTGGTGGCACACGCTTGTAATCCCAGCTACTCGGGAGGCTGAGGCAGGAAAATCGCTTGAACCCAGGAGGCAGAGGTTTCAGCGAGCCAAAATCCCACCATTGCACTCCAGCCTGGGTGACAGAGCGAGAATCTGTCTCCAAAAAAAAAGGTTATTTTACTATAAACATACAAGTGTCAATATAAAAGAAGCAGCTACCCATAACTCCACCCCCGTAATACAACCACAAATGGTATTTTTGCCTACTTCTAGTTTTTTTCTATGACTCCTAAAAACAAACCAAAACCCATAGTTTTAACATAAAATTATTATCCGATGGGTAAGAAATACTTAATACCAAAGGCAGTCTCACACATTGCTTCAAAATCATGTTTAATGGACATATAACATTTCTACAACTATCTCAACTTGCTGAACCATTTTCCTAATACTGGATTTTTACTTAGTTTTAATTTTTTCTCTGTAATAAGACTGCAGTAAACATTTTCTTATATAACTTTTTGTGTGATTGAGTGTTGTAAGCTTTCAATAATGAGAGGTTGGAGCCTTCTGTCCAAAGAGAAAATTAAAAGTGTGGCACCTGACCCCCACCTCCAGAATTTAATCAAGATGGGGTTATTAGTAGTGAAAGATGTTATTAGGTTGTTGAAGACAAAGATGTTTTCAGGAACACCATATTCAAGACTGGCGCTTCTCTAGTAATCTTAACTTGGGGCTTTTTAATCTCTTGCACCTCCCTTCCACTAAAGGGAAAAAAAACGGAGAGCAAATCCCACATTAGTCTTTTTTGCGGGGAAGGGGCCATTCCAGGGAAGGGTCTGATTGATGAGTCTATCGGCAACTGTGATCCTGTGTCACCCTTGCCTGGGGCCTGTGAAGAATATTGAGATTACGAGAGGTACACCTGTACATTGCATTCAGAATACAGCCATCTGATACAGAAAACACAATGTAGATTGTAAAAAGGAGTTTACAAGAAAACCTGACAAGCTTCCTAGATATCACTGGGTATTAAATTGGGAATGTTGATGTCATTTGAAATGGATTTCTTTAAGAGTTCTTCTCATTACCAGAAGTTTTTTGTGTTTTTTTTTTTCAAGACCTTAAAACCGGAACTTTCCCGAAGAAAAATGCAAATAAGAATCTCCTTCTGGGAATCCGACTTAGTGAGCCATCAGAAATCTGAACTAGGAAGTCTCCGCCCCAGCTTTGTCCTTTGATTATACACACATGGGCACATGCACAGACACAAACAAATACAGACATGGGTACAAACACGTGAGCACACACACAGACACACAGAGACTCACACACAGAGAAGCAGAGACACACACACACACAGGCAGACACTCCACAAAGGGCACAGAGGTTTAAACAATGACTCACCTGTTCCCCAGGCCCGGTCACTTGCAGGGAGCTGAAGAGCCTGTCATCACCAGTCCACAGCGTTGCTACCTGTCTCCGCTTTCTCCTCTCTCTGGTCCAGGGGAAGGTTTGCTTCCCTCCACAGGCAGGACAGGACAGGAGGAGCCTCTACTCCAATGGAAAACAGCCGCAGAGCAGAGGTCAAGAGCAGCAGCCTCGGACCAGAGCAATGCCCACTGGACCCCAGCGCCAAGGTCAGGCCTCTTCTCCTCCCAGAAGGTTTCAGGGCAAAGTCCACAGTGGTCATGTGGTCACCTGAGGCAGGGCAGGAGGCTGGACCTCAAAGCAGGTGACCCGGGAGCACCTGCGCGCTGCCGGAAGTCAAGTCACATTCCAGTCCTGCATTTCCTGGCACCCAACTGGAGCCCGTTTTTCAGCTTTATTCCGGGGTTTCACTTCCAGGATCTCACTTTGGCACAGAATGTTTTTCTTGGCTCCTTCCTTGGAGCTGTATGGAATCTTTGTTGCACTTGAAAAACCAACAGCCCAGAAGAGAAAAGAATATTCCGGTCAGATGAATTAATTCCTCCCACTGTCAGCTAGAAGCCATCCCTGGCTGAGCCCTGCACTGGCCAGAGGCAACTGAGTGTGAGCCAGTCCAGGGTCAGATCCTGGGCTGATGCCACCTGAGGGCGGGGTGGGGGCGTGGCCTCCGTGCACATGGGAGACTCCAGGTGCAGGAGAGGGGGAGGTGGACTTCCTCTTGGTCTTCCCAAGCCATGAAACTTCCTGGCTTGGTGGTAACAGAAGAGTCTCCTCCAGGTAAGATTTCCAGAGCCTCTGAGTATGGCTGGGGTAGCAGGGTTGGGCCTGAGGCTGAGGAGATGGAAATCTGTTGCCGTGAACATTACTCCACACAGCCAGTATACGGGAAGCCAGCTCACTTTATGTCCTCCAAACTCACCCTAACTTCTCGTTTGGGTCTCATCCCGCGGGGCTGCTGGGAAATAAGCTCCGCCACCACAGTGGTTCCTCCGCCCTGTGGGAGTGGGGGGCTCTTATGCTGGAGGGGGGACACTGGCCTGGACTTCTGCTGAGGCTCTGCCCCTCATCCCTGCAGGACGGACTAGCCAGTCCTAACACAGGACTAGCGTTGCTCTACCACGTCCAAGCCTCCTCTGAGATTCTTCCTCCATGCAACCACTTCCCCTGGGGCGTGGCCACCTCCCTGGAAGCCGCCAGCATGCTCGGCTGGGCCCCCGCACTCTGGAGGCTTGAGAATCTCTCTATTTTTGAATGACGTCCTTATCCTCTGCCCCCAGGCTGGTAACCAAAGGTCTGGGGGTGGTGACGTGCTGGGAATGGTGTAACTCGTGAGATGGAGGCTGAATGTGGAAATACATGAATGTGCTTCTCTTCTCTCCAGTTCCCTTGAAGAATCCACCTTCCTGCAGGGTTGGGGGAGCGCAGAATGGGAGGAAGATACAAATACCAATTTTATAGCAAGAATGCAAAAAGAGGCCAGCGCGGTGGCTCGAGCCTGGAATCCCAGCACTTTGGAAGGCGAGCTGGGCGGATCACTTGAGGTCAGGAGTTCGAGACCAGCCTGACCAACATGGAGAAACCTCATCTCTATGAAAAATACAAAAAAAAAAATTAGCCAGGTGTGGTGGCATGCACCTATAATCCTAGCTGAGGCAGGAGAATTGCTTGAACCTGGGAGGCAGAGGTTGCAGTGAGCTGAGATCATGCCACTGCATGCCAGCCTGGGCAACAGAGTGAAACTATCTCAAAAAGTAAAAAAAAAAAAAAAAAAAAATTAAAAAGACAAAATGGTTAAGAACCAGCTTTTTACACCCAAAATGGGAGGTTTGTACCTACAGTCAGACAACAGGTTTGAAAGCCAGGCCTTGTGTGGAGAAGGGAGTTTTGGAATCAGCTAAGCTCAACTGTGATTATGTCACAGCCCATCGCTCATGTTAGAGAGGGTCCCGACTCCCTAGAAGGCGAAAACCCCTCAAAGACCCCAAGCCAGTCCCCAAACAGCACAGAGCTGTGCCACGTGGCACCCCAGCCACCCTTTGAGCAATGCACATGCGTAAGATCTCAGAAGTGACCGGTGACGGTGCAGAGAGGCCCTGAGGGCCAGGCACGGGACAGCAGAAGGAGACACCAAGACAGGCAGGCTCAGGAGCTGGTGCAGGCAGGGCCAAGGTGCCTCAGAGGCTGGCGGTCCAGGCAGACATTTTCAGCAGAGACCACGGGGAAGCGAGGACCTCTCACAGATGTAAGGACACACATCCCCTCCCCACACTGCCACGAAGTCACCGGCCATACTCCCAACCCAGGCACCAGTGTCCATGTGAGAGAGAGGGGCAAGGTGGCGGCGTCCGGGAGAAGCAGCGTTTTACCTGGTGATCCTTTACGTTACTGTAGGACAGCAGATCTACAGGGTTGGACGGACTGAAATTTAAAATCCCCCCCTCCTCTGTTTCCCACTAGATCAAGCCCCTGGAGAAGATCTCCTTCATTAACATGAGGTAAAACACATGAAGAAAGTCTGTGACTTGTGGCAGGGGACAGGGCACAGAGCTTCTGCAGCTCAGAGGAGAGAGCCCTGTGTTCACAGTGGCTCTCACCATGGCCTGGAGTAAAACCAGCACAGCCCCTCTAGCATCCCCGGGTGGACAGGGTCGATGCCTGTGTAGTTATCTCTGGATGTGTAACACATACCCACTGACTCGGCGGCTTACAGTAACACGCAGTTATGGCCTCACAGCTCCTGCGGCCCGGAGTCGGGGCTCAGCCTCGCTGCTCAGGGTCCCACAGGCTGCAGTCAAGACACTGGCCAGGCTGGGGTCTCCTTCTGAGTTCAGGGTCCTCTTCTGAGCCCACATGTTTGTTGGCAGAATTCAGTTCCCTCAGTAGGCTGAGGTCCCCATTCCTGCTGGCGTCAGTGGGCAGCTGCTGTCAGCTCTTCAAGGCCCCTTCACACAGGGCAGCTTGCTTTCTCAAGGCCAGCGAGAGATGCTCTCTGACTTCTAGATCCTCTTTTAAAGGGCCCACCTGATTGGGGCAGACACCCCCAGCACAATCTCCCTTTTGCTCAACTCACAGTCAATGGACAAGGGACCCTAATTACATCTGCAAAATCCCTTCACCTTTACCATGTAATATAACCTGATCTCAGGAGTGACACCATCACAGTCCCAGCCCTGCACACACTCAAGGGGACAGACATGTCCACCAGGGGCTTGGAATCTTGGGGCCCATCCTAGAGTCCGTTGTCCACAGTGCCTGAACCAAAGCTCACACAAGGGAGGCCCCCCCAGCCCAGGTGACTTCACAGCCCACTGGCACACGCGGGCGGGTGGCAGGGGAGCCAGTGCCGAAGCCCGCCTCCTGCTTGGCCAGTGTGGCAAGGCCTGGTGCTCATGCTGATCTCAAGCAACCTGACACCCTCCTCATGAAGGCCCAAGGGTACAGTGAAAGGCCAGAACTCAGATACTTAAGAGGGTCTGGGGGCTCACAGCTTCCCCTCCTGCACAGAGGTCATCTGGGAGCAACCTGCCAGATCCTCCCTCGGGAACCAGTCAGCTCCTCCCAACACCAATTTACTCGCCTCCAAAGTAAGGGGGCTGAGCCAGATGGTTCTAAACCTCCCTCCGCTTCCAGCCTCTGTGACGGATCACTCTATGCACTAAGGGCCATCCAGCGTGAGCAGGAAGCCTGTGGTGCGCTCGTGTAAATCAGAAGGTGCATTCCCATGGGGACATGGGATGGCAAGCTCAGACACAAACCTCTCGTGGAAGGCGGGTCAGGACTCACCGCCCAGACAGTATCCATAATGCCACATAGATGTGGTATCGTGCACAATCATCATTGCTTGTAGTGGAAATGAGGCAAAACGGAACATAAGCAATTTACTTACAGGACCAGAATTAATATTATTTTAACACATACCAATTTTTAAGTTTGTCTCTGGCCATTTTATCAACTTTTCTGTGTTACCATTGACAGGGAGAATATTCGCAATGCCACTTACACAGGCCACGTAGGCAGGCATGCACACATTCTCCTTCCAAAACATGTAAAATTATATCATTGTGGAGCAGGAAGGGCCCCCTGGGGAGGATGTGGCCTGAGTGCCCGCCCAGGGGCTGAAGAATCTCTGCAACTCTCCTGCCACCTGATGTCTCGGGTTCTGCTCAAATATTGACAGTGATGGGATTTCCTCTGAGAGTTTATCCCATGTGGGTTCCTTTCTAGCCAAGTCAGTCCTTTGTAACTTTCCACTCTTTACTGCCCTGGGGTTGCGTGGAGAGCCAGGCCTACTGCTGCATAAACATTTCAGAGATGTTGAAGCAGCTCTCAAGGCTTGCAACAGGCATTGCTAACGGCCTGCCCCAGATCCGTGCCCCCCTTGTTCCTTATGAGGAGATTCCCCACTGTGGTTCAGGTTGTTAGTGCCTCTCCGTATCTTCTTTCTTGCAGATGTGACCAGGTGACCCCCCTCTGGCCAGGGAACAATGGGCCGAAGTCCTCAGGGGATTTGTGGGGAAGCGCGCCCCCTCCTCCTTGGGGTTTTCTTGCGGAGCTGCTGTGAAGACTCAGCTCAGCTGTGATAATTACCTGAGGTCAGCTTCTCCAGAATGCCCTTATCTCCTAAGGCCTTTGAGATAAGCAGGAATTGTGGTGTCTGCCTTGCCTCCAAACCTTTATCCTTGCTTATCTCAGTGGAAAATTCCAGCAGGGATTTCTGAACACCAAGTTAAATTCCTCCACTCAACAATCAGTTTGGCACGTGGCTGCCCGCCAGTCTGGGCAGAACAGAGGGGAGCCAAGGGAATAAACCCAAGTCCTGCCCCCAGGTGCCCAGAGCCTGGCGGGGATGGGACAGTTGCCTGCAGAGCAAGAGGCTGCCACCCAGTTTCACACAGGCCAGAGAGGCTGACCTACCTGCCCAGAGGCAGGGGAAGAATCCAGAGGACCTCTCCCGGAGGAGGCACGAGAAGCCCACGTGGCAGCCAAGAAGAGGGAGAGCATCCTGGGCCCCGGAAGCACAATGCCAGGGGCAGACATGCACTGGGAGGCACGGGGCCAGGGACACCTTCAGTGAGCACAGGGTCTGGGTAGGCTTCGGGAGGGGTGAGGGCGGAGAGGCAGCCAAGCCGGGTTGTGGGAGGCCCTGCCTAATTCTGTAAAGACTAGGATTAGAAACATGACAAAAATGGGTTAGGCACGGTGGCTCACACCTGTTATCCACTTTGGGAGGCTGAGGCTGGTGGATCATCTGAGGCTGGGAGTTCAAGACCAACCTGGCCAACATGGTGAAACCCCGTCTCTACTAAAAATACAAAAATTAGCCGGGCGTGGTGGCGCACACCTATTAATCCCAGGTACTAAGGAGGTTGAGGCAGGAGAATTGCTTCAACCCAGGAGGCAGAGGTTGCAGTGAGCCCAGACCATGCCACTGCACTCCAGCCTGGGCAACAGAACAAGTCTCTGTCTGAAAAATAAAATAAAATAACAAAAATGAAGGGCCGGGTGCAGTGGCTCACACCTGTAATCTCAGCACTTTGGGAGGCCGAGGTGGGAGGATCACTTACACTCAGGAGTTTGAGACCAGCCAGGGCAACATAGTGAGACCCTCATCTCTAAAAAAAAGTTAAAAAATTAGCTGGGCATGGTGGTGCATGCCTGTGGTCCCAGCTACTAGGGAGGCTGAGGCGGGAGGATTGCTTGAGCCTGGGAGGTTGAGACTGCAGTAGGCCATGATCATACCACTGCACTCCAGCCTGGGCAACAGAGCGAGATCTTGTCTCACCAAAAAAAAAAAAAAAAAAAAAAATACACTGCTTTTATTGAGCACCTACTATGTGCCAGGCACTGTGCTAAGTCCTTGGCTTAAAATATCTGATTCAGTCCTCACAGCAACCCTTCAGAGGAGCCCCACCCTGTGACCACACCCTAGAGGGCCCCACACTGGCCTTCCTCTGGCCATGCTCTGGCTTCTAGGTGAGCAGTCCTCCAGGCCAAGGGACAACACTTCTAGATCACACTGCCAGATTCGGGAAGCGCAGAATTGCCCACCCAAGCCCACTTCTGAGGCCTGCAGGGGCCTCTGTTCCGGGTCCACTCCCCAAGAGCAAACCACAGCAGGCCCCACGGCAAAGGCACAGCTGTCAATAGGAAGCATGGCTGGAGGCTGGATGTGTGGGCCAGGCACCCACGTGCTTATCCTGAGCTCCTCCCAGTGTGAGACAGGCCCAGGGAAGGAGGCTGGCTGGGGCTGGGACACCCCATTCTGGCCAAGGAGCCCCAGGGTTCTAAGTGCAACCCTAGGCTTCCAGGCTGTCAGGAACATGTTTCTAGCAAAGTAGCGCGTGGGGCATTGTGTTCAACAAGGCATTTGCTTGGCTTTTTTCATGAATTTATTTATTCACATGGTGCACGGAGTACCATTTGTACTCCTGTCCCAAGCCCTGCAAATGTGAGAGGGGGGATCCCTTATTTTTATCCTATTTTATGAGTGAAGAGTCTGAAGCCCAGACCCACTCCAGGCCACAGAGAGGAGGACAAGGGTAGGAACCCTGTGGTCCGTAGGAGTGAACAGGAGGAACTGATCAGACCTGGATCAGCCTCTGAGGAGGTGCACAGCTTCACGCTACTGCTGTCCCTCGGGGAGGAACCTTAGCTCTTCCTGCAGAGGCCTCGGCGCTTCTCCCAGAAAGGGGGCAGATAAGCTCGGCCATTCTTGCCCTGGGCTGCACAGCCCCTGGCCACTCGCCCCCTAGGACGGATGCTGCTCTAACATTCTCCCAGCCAAAGCTGTCCTTTCTATTAGGGGGTTCCCATGGGCACGCACCTGCACTCTAGCTTCTCTTGTAATTAAATTTAAAAGCACGGCTCCCGGCCCCACACCCCCAGCACCATTTCGCCCTTTAGAGTGGCCTCCGCCCTCGGTCTACACTTCCTCTCTCCTGGGTCTCTCTTGAATCTACTCCACCGGGGCTGTGGCCTCCTTCACTTCACCCAGAAGGCTCCTGGACAGTCACCCAGGGCCTCTGTGTTACCAAACCCTCAGTCCCCGCTGGCATAGCCGTGAGCACCACGCGGCCTGGCTGGCCACCCTCTTGAGCAGGACCCCGAGAGGCTTCTGACAGCCTGTCCTGATGGCCCAGTACCACTGGCTCCCCTCCTCCTCCTCCCAAAACTTCTCAACACTGGGGCAAAAATTCTCAGGCCTGTGCCTCTTCCCTCCTCTTGCTCCCTGCCCCCCTTGGAGATCCACAGATGAAAAACACGGACCGACAGACGATGCTTGGACACAGGCCTCCATCCAGGCCACCCTCCGGCTCCAGAGGCCCAAATCCGCCTCCCTCCCACGAGAGGCATCTCAGATGCACAGGTCCACACTGGCGCTCCTGATGCCCAAAACCTGCCCCACCTGCAGCCCTGCCTCACTTCACGGCAACTTGATCCTTCCAGGCGCTCAGGCCAAAATCCCAGAGTCACCTGTGTCCTCTCCTCCTCACATGTCTCACGTCTAACCCACAGGAAGTTCTTTCAGCTCCACATTCACACGTCACACATCACCAGCCGCTTCTCACTGCTGCCATGTTAGTCCCCCATGCCCCACCTCCACTGTTCCCACCTCGGTCCCCTCTCCGTCCTCCACTGTCCCCACCTCGGTCCCCTCTCCCCTCCCCCACCGTCCCCACCTCCCCACCTCGGTCCCCTCTCCCCTCCCCCACCGTCCCCACCTCCCCACCTCGGTCCCCTCTCCTTCCTCCACTGTCCCCACCTCAGTCCCCTCTCCCTCCCCCATTGTCCCCCCCTTGGTCCCCTCTCCTCTATCCTGGTTCCCTCTCCCCTTCTCCATTTTCCCCATCCTGGTTCCCTCTCCTCTCCTTCATTGCCTCCGTCTTAGCCCACTCCCCTGCTCTCTCTCCCCTGGGTGATGCAGAGCCTTCTGATCAGCCTCCCCGTGCCTGCCTTGTTCTTCTCAACACAGCAGCTGTGTGAGTTTGTTTACAAGCAGAGTCCATGGGCAATGGCACCTAGCATTTCCCATTTCACTCAGAGCAGCAGTTCGGTTTTTAGCGTAGCCTGGAAATCCCTGTAACCCGCCCCCTTCCCTACCCTCATCACCTCTGACTTCTGACCTCATTCTTCTCCTCTCTCCCTGCTCCGTCCCCTCCAGCATCCCTGGCGACGCGCAGGTCATGCTTGGGCCTGACTCTGGGCCTTTGCACCTGCTGTCGCTTCTCCCTGCGAAGGTCCCTGGGAAGTACTTTCCCTGTCTCCCACTGCAGGTCTGTCACTGTGTCCTGTGGCTGCCAGAACATATAACCACCAAGTTAGTGGCTTAAAAGAAAGCGTGCTTACCTTCTAACAGTTTTGGAGAGCACAAATCCAAAATCAAGGCCTTGGGAGGGCTGGTTCTTCTGGGCGCCCTGAGGGAGGAGCCACCCCTGCCTCCCTGTGAGCTTCTGATGCCTGGGCTTACAGATGCACCCTCCAGTCCCTGCCTCCGTCTTCACATGGCTTCTTCCTTGAGTCTCTGCTACTTATAGGAACACTTGCCATAGGATTTAGGACCCACCTGGTTCATCCAGGATAATCTCCTCTTGAGATCTTTAAATCAATTACATCTGCAAAGACTCTTTATTCAAATAAGGTCACATTCCCAGGTACCAGAGGTTAGAGCTTAGACGCATCTTTTTGAGAACCACCATTTGAGGGTCGCCATTCAATCCCCCTACAAAGTCCATGCTGAAAATGTGACCCCCTCCTCCACACCCAGTAAGTTCTTCTCTGACTAACCTACCCAACCACAGCCTGGCTTGATTTTTCTGCATAACACTTATTGGTTTATTGCAGTTTTCCCAACTAGAATATAAATTTCCCAACTACACCTTTAACTGTTTGTTTACTGTTGTAATGCCAGGGTGTTCTGTTTACTGTTATAACCCCAAGTCCTAGGATGAATCTTAGTCCTGGTACATGGTCTTTGAGCCTAAGCGGAGGCCTTTCTGGGGTTTTAATGGAAAACCTGAGGCGCCTACTTGGCAGGAGTTAGACTCCAAATTGTTTCCCTGCAGTGGGCAGCAGCTGAAATCTCTGCTCAGCCTTCAGCCTTACAGGCATTGCTTCCCACTGAGCTGCTTGGAGTCTCACTTGGGTTTTGCAGGGTAGGCTAAAGATTTGAGAATTAATGTGGGCCGGGCACAGTAGCTCACTCCTGTAATCCCAGCACTTTGGGAGGACAAGGCGGGAGGATCACTGGAGTCCAGGAGTTCAAGACCAGCCTGGGCAACACAGCAAGCCCTTGTTTCTACAAAAATAATAAAATAGAATTAATGTGTAATATTTTGGGCCTGTCTCCTTCAAGCTCCCTTCTTTCTAAGACTTCACCCTCAGTTTCCAGCCACTCCAGCAGCCTGAACACCATTCCCTGAGTTCCTGGGCCTTACATTCCAGCCTCCCTGCCCCGAGCAGCCTGGAGAGGGGCCTCGGAGGAAGGTCATCTTAGCGTGAATTTCATCCAGAGCAGTTCCTTTCTTTCAAGGGTCGAGTCCTCTCCATTCTTTGCTTCTTTGGTCAGTTTGCTTCTTTGGCCACTGTCCAGTGTCCTTCAACGGTGCTTTACATCTTATCCAGAGTTGATCATTTTTCTTTGCGGGAGATTAGTTCAATCCATGCTCCTGCAGTTCCTACTAGAACTGGAACTCTCCCGTTTTTTTTAACATTACCTTTAGTGGTTGGCTTGTGCTTCTTTAAAAGCGAAACCACGCTGCCACTGGGCCATGTGGGGCCCTGGGATTTATCCAGGTTAAATGCCGACTTAGAAGTTGGGAGATTGCCTCCATACACAGACTCCTTCACAGCACGTTTTACACATGCACTCAGCCGCTCTGATTAGTAAATCTCCTAAAATAAGTACTGGGCTTATGTTCACTTCCGTTTTGGAAATCAGTGACTCTGCCCTCTGAGCTGCAGGCCGGTCTGTGCCTCTAGCAGGAGCTGCAGTTCTGTGAATGATCCCTCTTCTCTGAAAGGCAGGCAGCCGGAGCTCTGGAGCCCTCCGGGCGAACAGAACAGATTGCTGACTGTGGGGTAGGTCCCCTTCTGCTCTGAGCTCAGCCTCACCACCTTGGGCAGACAGTAAACACAGTCCCGTGTGGTGTCGGCCGGCTGGAGCTCATCCTACAAAAGGTGGCAGAGATGGCGGTGCTGGTGGCTCCGTTTAACCCCAGCATGAGCAGAGGTGGGAAAATCTATGGCCCACGGGCAGGCCTGGGGACTCCAAGCAGGTGGAACAATAACATGAACTTGCCAAGATTGGCCAGGGCACAGCATCTCCACTAGGTCATCTCACAGATGCCCCAAATTCAGTGTGCTCCAAACAACACCCTGGTTCTTCCCGGCCAAATGTGTTTATCCCCTAAGCTCCCTCCTTCCAGGAAAGAGAACTGTCCAGTGAGTTAGGCCAGAAAACCTGGAGTCATCTTAGTCTACAATCCTTGCATCCAACCCATTATCCAGTCCTCCCAATTGTACCTCTGAAAGATTTCTCGAAACCGTCTTTTTCTCTCCATCTCCTCTACCACCAGCATTTAGAAGGGAGTCACATTGCCAATGGCCTCCCGCTGGCTTCAGTTCACGACCGGTTCCGGCCCCAGGAAAGAGTTTGGAAATAAAAGAAGGTAAAAACATGTTTTGCAGGAATTGTTCTTTGCTCTGCCTCTTCCTCCCCCAATCCAGCCAAGCTTTGTGCTTGTCTTTTATCCCTTGAAGACTATCCCCCAGCCATCCTCTCACCCTGCACAGAGGTCACCAGGTCTATGGTAAAGAGCCAGGAAAGAGGTCGGGCAGTCCTGGGTTCAAACCCAAGGTCCAGTGCTGACTGGCAGTGAGTGTGGTCATGTAAGCTCATCTCTAAACCTCAGTCTCCCCCTTTCAGAGAGGAAATAATATTCCTTGGTTTTTAAGGTTATCGTGGAGGCTAGAGCCTGGCACGTGACAGGTGAGTGTGTGATAAACTGTGTTCCTTACCTTTGCAGTCACTGTCAATCGTCATCGTTTAATGAGTGAGCATTTCAGAGGCCCTTCAGTCTGCACGGGACTCTGTGGTTGCTGGAGCCCTGGACCTGGGGCTCACCTTCCCCGACTGACTGAGGCCCGACTACCGTCCTCTAATCTGGGTTGCTATTTCCTGCCCTTCTGGACTCTGGACATAACTTCCTTTGCCTAATACATAGAGCAGTCCTGTTCCTCCTAGCCTTGGCAGCTATCACTGGCCACCTATCTTAACCAGCTTGGCTTTGGCCAGCTACCCCCAGGATCCCTCCTCTGGGCGACTCCCCAAGCTGCTCAAGTCCTGCCTGGCCCAAGACTTGGTAGCCCTACACTCAGCTGACGTGCTGCCACTCTCCACTGCCCCCTGACTAGCATGAAAGCCACTGCGGAACCTGCAACATTCAAGCTATCAAAGGGGTCACATTCCAAAGCACTGCTTTGTCTCTCCACTGAGGTGATAAGCTGCAGGACTTAACTGGAGGTGAGGTGCACGGGGGTGGGAGCCGCAGACCAGGCCCTGCAGTTTACATGGGCAAGTCCTTCACGGCCCCTCGGGGCCTCCATTGATGGATTCCTCCAGGACCACACTGATGGTCCCTTCCAATCCTGCTGGTCGCCTAAGTGCAGAGCATGCTCCCCAGACAAGGGTTCTCTTCTCCTTTCCTTCAAGAACAGGACCTGCGTCTTGAGGTCTTCTGTCTTTCTCAAGATATCTAAATAGTAGCTGATGAACCACATCACATTTGTTGACTTAAAATCAAGGAATATGGAAAGGTATCATTTATTAAGTGCTTATTACACTCCCTGCCCAGTGTTTATGTAAATTATAAAATGACCAACTCTGATGTTCATATATATATATATGTATATATTTTTTCATCCACAGTTTCTGGCTCATAGCTCCACTTAGCCCTTGTTACAGTTTTCTGTTATAATGTTGGATGTGCTAATCCTGGGCGCCACCCTCAGGTAACAGAACCTCTCTGACCCTCTCGCCTTCCTTTTTCCTGCCACAAGGCAGGACTCTAACCTTCCCTCACTTTTCTGACTGTAGGTCTTAACAGCCTCCCCTGGGAGGGTCCCGCCTCATACCATGCGGGAAGGAATTCTGTCAACATGAAGCTTCCATAAAAACCCAAGAGGACTGGGTTCAGGGAGCCGTGGAGAGCTGACTTTGTGGAGGTTCCCAGAGGATGATGTGTCCAGGGAGGGCTTGGAAGCTCCCTGCCCCTTCCCCCATACTTCGCACTACGCATCTCTTCATCTGTGTCCTTTGTAACATCCTTTACAATAAGCCAGCAAACATAGTTATTTCCCTGAGTTCAGTGAGCTGCTCCAGCAAATTGATCAACACAGAGAGGAGGTCATGGGAACCCCAACTTGAAGCCCATCCGTCAGAAGTTCGAGAGGCCCAGGCTTATGACTGGTGTCTGGGGTGGGTGGCAGTCGTGGGGACTGAGCCCCCCACCCAGTGGGATCTGGTGCTATCTCCAGGTGGACAGTGTTAGAATTGAACACCCAGCTGGGGCCCACTGCTTAATGTGTGGGGAAACCCCCACGCCTTTTATTGCAGACGTCTTCTGTGTTGATGATTGTGGAGGTGGTGGTGGAGTGAAAGAGGAAAAACGCAGTTTGAGAGAGTTTTTCCATACACACCAACAAACCAGGGAGGTGGATATTGTTATCCCCATTTTACGGATGAGAAAATTGAGGCTCAGAGAGATTAAGTACATTCCCCAGAGTTACGTAGCTATCGAACAAGGATTCAAATCCACAACTTTCTTAACCTACCCCACAGAGGCAAATGCAAAAACCAAACCATAAGAGGGAGGAAATAATGACCTCTGCAAATGAAAGCCACCTGTATATCAAGAAAAGCATATGGATAAAACAAAATGCTGGGACAATAACTGCCACAAACATGTGGCTTTAAAATCCTTGATTTATAAATCAGCAAAAAATGGACAAAGGCACAGCCAGACAATTCGCTGAAAGTGAGTCCCAGGTGTGCAGGCAGCGCTAGCAGGAGCGTTCGGCCTCACCAGCACGTGCAGGAGCCGGTCAGCATGGAGGTCAGATTGGCAAAGCCTCATCACATCCAAGCTTTGGCAAAACAGTAGAGACTGTCCACCAACCGTTGCTGAGACTGTCTGGCAGTGCAGTTTTCTGAGAGGGCAAACCTGGGATGCGTAGCAATGAATTCAACAACACAGCCTTTGACTCGGCAACTGCACGTCAAGAAACGGAACTGTCAGGAAGCATCTAGAACCCAGAGGGCAGAATCCAGGAAATGACTCTGTTCCGGAGTTCATCTGTTGCTCTGGGCTACACTTGATGCTACGGTAAAATCACTCACCCTCACATCCAGCCAGCGGCAACACACACAATGAAAACCGTTCTGAAAAAGCAAAGCTGAGAGCCCCGGGAAGATGCAGGAGGTGTGGGTGGGGGTTGGAATTCAGCTCGGTTTAGATAAACAACTGAGACCCGAGATGTTGATCTCTAAGGATTATCTCAGCCCCGACCTATTTCAACTTCCTTGTCTTCTTTCTTTGGCTCCTTACTTTTCATTGAAATTCCCTGACTGGCCCACTAAGAACCAGGCTCTGGCCAGCACGGTGGCTCACTCTGTAAGCCCAGCACTTTGGGAGCCTGAGGCGAGAGGATGGCTTGAGGCCAGGGGCTCGAGACCAGCCTGGGCAACATAGTGAGATCCCCCCAATCAATTTTTTTTTTTTTTTAAAAACACCCTTTTTTTTTTTTAATTAGCTGCCAGCTACTTGGCAGGCTAAGGGAGGAGGATCCTTTAAGCCCAGGAGTTCAAAGTTGCAGTGAGCTATGATCGTGCCACTGCACTCCAGCCTGGGCAACAGAGCAAGACTCTGTCTATAAAATATATGTATATATATTATAGAAATTTTTAAAAGAACCAAGCTCTGGAATGGACTTGCTCCAGCACCTGGCCCATCCCAAGCCTGGAGGCTCACTGGAGGAGGCCACATGGGGTCCACTCCATGTGCAGCAAGCACACCGAGGCCACAGGCTGCTGGGCCCACCTCCCCACCTCCCCACCGTGGGCGAAGTACGTGGAGGATGTGAGGGAGGTTCTCAAGTGAGATGCTCACTCACAGTTATCCCCAAAGGACGGTCCAAACATGTGGAAAACATGTCTCCCGTAGAAAATGGAGAAACGGCCGGGTGTGGTGGCTCACGACTGTAATCCCAGCTTTGGGAGGCCGAGGCGGGTGGATCACCTGAGGTCAGGAGTTCAAGACCAGCCTGGCCAATATGGCGAAACCCCGTATCTACTAAAAATACAAAAATTAGCCAGGTGTGGTGGCACGTGCCTGTAATCCCACCTACTCAGGAGGCTGAGGCAGGAGAATCGCTTGAACCCAGGAGGCCAAGGTTGCGGTGAGCCGAGATCATGCCACTGCACTCCAGCCTGTGTGACAGAGTTAGACTCCGTCTCAAAAGAAAAAAAAGAAAGAAAGCGGAGAAACAATGCTGCCCCCAGCCCTGTGTGTGACTTTGCCAGGGCTACTGTAACCACCTATCACAACCTGAGTGGCCTAAACAATAGGAACTGATTGTCTCGCAGTCCTGGAGGCCAGAAGCCCGAGAAGAGGCCAGAAGGTGGCAGGGCAGCTCCTCCTGGAAGCTCTGCAGAGAATCTGTTCCATACTCCCGGTGCTTCGCTGGGAATTCTTGGTGTTCCTTGGCTTGTGGAAGCATCACTATCGCCGCCTTCATGTCACATGGCATGTGTGTGTCTGCGTGTCTAAATTTACCCTTTTCATAAGGACATGGTCATATTGGTTTAGGGCCTATCCTGGTGACCTCACCATAGAGACCTTCTCCCCAGGTAAGATTACATTCTGAGGTATGGAGGTTAGGACTTGGACATATGAATTCTAGAGAGAGACAGTTCAACCCATAATGCCTTAGATGTCATAAATATTCATGACAAGGTCAGCCTTTTGTGGAGATTTGTCTCTGTGAAAAGCAAATTGGTTGGCCAGGCACAGTAGCTCAGGTCTGTAATCACAGGACTTTGGGAGGCCAAGGGGGAAAGATCACTTGAGCCTAGGAGTTTGAAACCAGCCTGGGCAACATAGACAGATCTTGTCTCTACAAAAAAAAAAAAATACAAAAATTAGCTGGGATTAGTAGCGTGTGCCTATAGTCCCAGCTACTTGGGAGGCAGAGGTGGGAAGATTGCTTGTGCCTGGGAGGTCGCGGCTGCAGTGAACCGAGATCATGCCACCGCACTCCAGCCTGGGTGCTAGTGCGAGACCCTGTCTCTTAAAAGAAAAGCAAATGGGCCAGGCGCGGTGGCTCAGGCCTGTAATCCCAGCATTTTGGGAGTCTGAGGCAAGTGGATCACGAGGTCAGGGGTTTGAGACCAGCCTGCCCAACATGGTGAAACCGTGTCTCTACTAAAAATACAAAAACTAGCCGGGCGTGGTGGCACATGCCTGTAATCCCAGCTACTCGGGAGGCAGAGGCAGGAGAATCACCTAAACCCAGGAATTGGAGGTTGCAGTGAGCCGAGATCACACCATTGTACTCCAGCCTGGGTGACAGGGCAAGACTCTGTCTCAAAAAAAAAGAAGCAAATTGGGCATTTATGCCAGGCCCTGTCCTTTGGGAGTTCCCAAGCCATATAGGAAGCTTTTATACTCTAGGAGCTTGTGCTGGGTTGAAGAGTGTCCCCGCAAAATTAATGTCCACCTGGCACCTTAGAATGTGTCTTAACATGAGGTCATCCTGGATTCAGGTGAGCCCTAAATCCAATGACTGGCTTCCTCATGAGAAAAGAGAGATTTGGACACAGAAACGCACACAGAGGGAAGAGGCCATGGGAAGGCAAAGGCAGAAATTGGGTGATGGTCCACAGGCCAAGCAGCGCCCAGGACCACCAGGAGCACCAGAGGCCAGAGAGAGGCCAGGAATGAATTCACCCTCGGAGCCTCCAGAAGGAGCCACGTCTGCTGACACCTTGATTCAGTCTTCTGGCCTGCAAGACTTGAGCCAATACATTTCTGTTATAAGCCACACAGCTTGTGGTAAGGTCTTATGGCAGCCCAGGAAACTAACACAGAACGTAACATAACTAACTCCCTTTGGGAGGTTATTAGCCTAACACAGAGCATCTGACCCAGCCTGGGTCCTTCTGAGCACAGGCCCCGAGGGAATGCAGGGGTGACATGCCTGTGCCGCCGGCCCTGCATTAGGCTCCCCCACCCCAGCTGTCAGGCCTCTGAGCCCAAGCTAAGCCATCATATCCCCTGTGACCTGCACATACACATCCAGATGGCCAGTTCCTGCCTTAACTGATGACATTCCACCACAAAAGAAGTGAAAATGGCCTGTTCCTGCCTTAACTGATGACATTGCCTTGTGAAATTCTTTCTCCTGGCTCATCCTGGCTCAAAAGCTCCCCTACTGAGCACCTTGTGACCCCCTCCTCTGCCCACCAGAGAACAACCCCCCTTTGACTGTAATTTTCCTTTACCTACCCAAATCCTATAAAATGGCCCCACCCCTATCTCCCTTTGCTGACTCTCTTTTCAGACTCAGCCCACCTGCACCCATGTGAAATAAACAGCTTTATTGCTCACACAAAGCCTGTTTGGTGGTCTCTTCACATGGACGCTCATGAAATTTGGTGCCGTGACTCGGATCGGGGGACCTCCCTTGGGAGATCAATCCCCTGTCCTCCTGTTCTTTGCTCCATGAAAAATATCCACCTACGACCTCAGGTCCTCAGACCCACCAGCCCAAGGAACATCTCACCAATTTTAAATCGGGTAAGCGGCCTCTTCTTACTCTCTTCTCCAACCTCTCTCACTATCCCTCAACTACTTTCTCCTTTCCGCTCTTCAATCTCTCCCTTCTCTTAATTTCAATTCCTTTCATTTTCTGGTAGAGACAAAGGAGATGTGTTTTATCTGTGGACCCAAAACTCTGGCGCCAGTCACGGACTAGGGAAGGCAGACTTCCCTTGGTGTTTAATCATTGCAGGGATGCCTCTCTGATTATTCACCCAGGTTTCAGAGGTGTCAGACCACACAGGGATGCCTGCCTTGGTCCTTCACCCTTAGTGGCAAGTCCCGCTTTTCTGGGGGAGGGGCAAGTACCCCAACCCCTTCTCTCTGGGTCTCTACCCCTTCTCCGCCTTTCTGGGGGGCAAGAAACACCCAACCCCTTCTCCTTCCCCCTTAGTGGCAAGTCCCGCTTTTCTGGGGGAAGGGCAAGTACCCCAACCTCATATCTCTGCGTTCCGATCCCTTATTTCTGCACCCTGACCTCTTATATCTCTGTGCCCCGATCCCCTTTTCCATGCCCCAACCTCTTATATCTCTGCGCCCCAATCCCTTATTTCCGTGCCCCAACCTCTTATATCTCTGCGCCCCAATCCCTTATTTCTGTGCCCCAACCTCTTATATCTCTGTGCCCCGATCCCTTATTTCCATGCCCCAACCTCTTATATCTCTGCACCCCGATTCCTTATTTCCGTGCCCCAACCTCTTATATCTCTGTACCCCGATCCCTTGTTTCCATGCCCCAACCTTGTATCTCTGCACCCCGACCCCTTCTCTGCTTTTCTGGAGGGCAAGAACCCCCCACCCCTTCTCCGTGTCTCTACTCTTTTCTCTGGACTTGCCTCCTTCACTATGGGCAAGCTTCCACCCTCCATTCCTCCTTCTTCTCCCTTAGCCTGTGTTCTTAAGAACTTAAAACCTCTTCAACTCTCACCTGACCTAAAATCTAAGCATCTTATTTTCTTCTACAATGCCACCTGACCTCAATACAAACTCAACAGCAGTTCCAAATAGCCGGAAAATGGCACTTTCAATTTTTCCATCCTACAAGATCTAAATAATTCTTGTCATAAAATGGGCAAATGATCTGAGGTGCCTGACGTCCAGGCATTCTTTTACACATCAGTCCCTTCCTAGTCTCTGTACCCAGTGCAACTCATCCCAAATCTTCCTTCTTTCCCTCCCACCTGTCCCCCTCAGTCCCAACCCCAAGCGTCACTGAGTCTTTCTAATCTTCCTTTTCTACAGACCCATCTGACCTCTCCCTCCTCCCCAGGCTGCTCCTCGCCAGGCCGAGCTAGGTCCCAATTCTTCCTCAGCCTCTGCTCCTCCACCCTATAATCCTTTTATCACCTCACCTGCTCACACCCGGTCTGGCTTACAGTTTCATTCCGTGACTAGCCCTCCCCCACCTGCCCAGCAATTTACTCTTAAAAGGGTGGCTGGAGCTAAAGCCATAGTCAAGGTTAATGCTCCTTTTTCTTTATCCCAAATCAGAAGCGTTTAGGCTCTTTTTCATCAAATATAAAAACCCAGCCCAGTTCATGACTCGTTTCGCAGCAACCCTGAGACACTTTACAGCCCTAGACCCTAAAAGGTCAAAAGGCCATCTTATTCTCAAAATACATTTTATTACCCAATCTGCTCCCAACATTAAATAAAACTCCAAAAATTAAATTCCGTCCCTCAAACCCCACAACAGGATTTAATTAACCTCACCTTCAAGGTATACAATAATAGAAAAAAGTTGCAATTCCTTGCCTCCACTGTGAGACAAACCCCAGCCACATCTCCAGCGCACAAGAACTTCCAAACGCCTGAACCGCAGCGGCCAGGCGTTCCTCCAGAACCTCCTCCCCCAGGAACTTGCTACAAGTGCCAGAAATCTGGCCACCAGGCCAAGGAATGCCTGCAGCCCAGGATTCCTCCTAAGCCGCGTCCCATCTTTGCGGGACCCCAGTGGAAATTGGACTGTCCAACTCACCTGGCAGCCACTCCCAGAGCCCCTGGAACTCTGGCCCAAGGCTCTCTGACTCCCTCCCAGATCTTCTTGGCTTAGCGGCTGAAGACTGACGCTGCCCGATCGCCTCGGAAGCCCCCTAGACCATCACGGACGCCGAGCTTCGGGTAACTCTCACAGTGGAGGGTAAGTCTGTCCCCTTCTTAATCAATACCGAGGCTACCCACTCCACATTACCTTCTTTTCAAGGGCCTGTTTCCCTTGCCTCCATAACTGTTGTGGGTATTGACGGCCAGGCTTCTAAACCTCTTAAAACTCCCCAACTCTGGTGCCAATTAGACAATACTCTTTTAAGCACTCCTTTTTAGTTATCCCCACCTGCCCAGTTCCCTTATTGGCCGAGACACTTTAAATTATCTGCTTCCCTGACTATTCCTGGATTACAGCTGCATCTCATTGCTGCCCTTCTTCCCAATCCAAAGCCTCCTTTGCGTCCTCCTCTTGTATTTCCCCACCTTAACCCTCAAGTATAAGATACCTCTACTCCCTCCTTGGCGACCGATCATGCACCCCTTACCATCTCATTAAAACCTAATCATCCTTACCCCACTCAGTGCCAATATCCCATCCCACAGCATGCTTTGAAAGGATTAAAGCCCGTTATCACTTGCCTGCTACAGCATGGCCTTTTAAAGCCTATAAACTCTCCTTACAATTCCCCCATTTTACCTGTCCTAAAACCAGACAAGCCTTACAAGTTAGTTCAGGATCTATGCCTTATCAACAAAATTGTTTTGACTATCCCCCCCATGGTGCCAAACCCATATACTCTCCTATCCTCAATACCTCCCTCCACAGTCCATTATTCTGTTCTGGATCTCAAACATGCTTTCTTTACTATTCCTTTGCACCCATCATCCCAGCCTCTCTTTGCTTTCACTTGGACTGACCCTGACACCCATCAGACTCAGCAAATTACCTGGGCTGTACTGCCACAAAGCTTCACAGACAGCCCCCATTACTTCAGTCAAGCCTAATTTCTTCCTTACCTGTTACCTATCTCAGCATAATTTCATAAAAACACACGTGCTCTCCCTGCTGATCATGTCTGATTAATCTCCCAAACCTCAATCCCTTCTACAGAACAACAACTCCTTTCCTTCCTAGGCATGGTTAGTGCAGTCAGAATTCTTACACAAGAGCCAGGACAGCACCCTGTAGCCTTTCTGTCCAAACAACTCGACCTTACTGTTTTAGCCTAGCCATCATGTCTCCGTGCAGCGGCTGTTGCCGCCCTAATAGTTTTAGAGGCCCTCAAAATCACAAACTATGCTCAATTTACTCTCTACATTCCTCATAACTTCCAAAATCTATTTTCTTCCTCATACCTGACGCATATACTTTCTGCTCCCTGGCTCCTTCAGCTGTACTCACTCTTTGTTAAGTCCCACAATTACCATTGTTCCTGGCCCGGACTTCAATCCAGCCTCCCACATTATTCCTGATACCACACCTGACCCCCATGACTGTATCTCTCTGATCCAACTGACATTCACCCCATTTCCCCATATTTCCTTCTTTCCTGTTCCTCACCCTGATCACGCTTGATTTATTGATGGCAGTTCCACCAGGCCTAATCGCCACACACCAGCAAAGGCAGGCTATGCTATAGTACAAGCCACTAGCCCGCCTCTTAGAACCTCTCATTTCCTTTCCATCATGGAAATCTATCCTCAAGGAAATAACTTCTCAGTGTTCCATCTGCTATTCTACTACTCCTCAGGGATTATTCAGGCCCCCTCCCTTCCCTACACATCAAGCTCGAGGATTTGCCCCACCCAGGACTGGCAAATTAGCTTTACTCAACGTGCCCCGAGTCAGATAACTAAAATACCTCTTAGTCTAGGTAGACACTTTCACTGGATAGGTACAGGCCTTTCCTACAGGGTCTGAGAAGGCCACCGCAGTCATTTCTTCCTTTCTGTCAGACATAATTCCTCAGTTTAGCCTTCCCACCTCTATACAGTCTGATAACAGACCAGCCTTTATTAGTCAAATCAGCCAAGCAGTTTTTCAGGCTCTTAGTATTCAGTGAAACCTTTATATCCCTTACGGTCCTCCGTCTTCAGGAAAAGTAGAACGGACTAAAGGTCTTTTAAAAACACACCTCACCAAGCTCAGCCACCAACTTAAAAAGGACTGGACAATACTTTTACCACTTTCCCTTCTCAGAAGTCAGACCTGTCCTCAGAATGCTGCAAGGTACAGCCCATTTGAGCTCCTGTATAGACGCTCTTTTTATTAGGACCCAGTCTCATTCCAGACACCAGACCAACTTAGACTGTGCCCCAAAAAAACTTGTCATCCCTACTATCTTCTGTCTAGTCATACTCCTATTTACCGTTCTCGACTACTCATACATGCCCTGCTCTTGTTTACACTGCCGGTTTACACTGTTTCTCCAAGCCATCACAGCTGATATCTCCTGGTGCTATCCTCAAACTGCCACTCTTAACTCTTGAAGTAAATAAATAGTCTTTGCTGGCAGGACTATGCTGAATCTCCTTAGGCACTCTCTAATTAGATGTCCTGGGTCCTCCCAATTCTTAGACCTTTTATACCTGTTTTTCTCCGTTATTCCATTTAGTTTTTCAATTCATACAAAACCGTATCCAGGCCATCACCAATAATTCTACACGACAAATGTTTCTTCTAACATCCCCACAATCTCACCCCTTACCACAAGACCTCCCTTCAGCTTAATCTCTCCCACTCTAGGTTCCCACGCCGCCCCTAATCCCGCTCGAAGCAGCCCTGAGAAACATCGCCCATTATCTCTCCATACCAGCCCCCAAAATTTTCACCGTCCCAACACTTTACCACTATTTCGTTTTATTTTTCTTATTAATATAAGAAGACAGGAATGTCAGGCCTCTGAGCCCAAGCTAAGCCATCATATCCCCTGTGACCTGCACATACACATCCAGATGGCCAGTTCCTGCCTTAACTGATGACATTCCACCACAAAAGAAGTGAAAATGGCCTGTTCCTGCCTTAACTGATGACATTGTCTTGTGAAATTCCTTCTCCTGGCTCATCCTGGCTCAAAAGCTCCCCTACTGAGCACCTTGTGATCCCCCACTCTGCCCGCCAGAGAACAACCCCCCTTTGACTGTAATTTTCCTTTACCTACCCAAATCCTATAAAACGGCCCCACCCCTATCTCCCTTTGCTGACTCTCTTTTCAGACTCAGCCCACCTGCACCCATGTGAAATAAACAGCTTTATTGCTCACACAAAGCCTGTTTGGTGGTCTCTTCACATGGACGCTCATGAAACCAGCCACAGCTGAAGAGTACCTGGCACCAAGTGTAACCAACATCGATAATGATCACAACACAAATGCACGTTCACCGTGTGTTGGGTGTTGTGCTCCAAGTGACCAACTGGACCACCATATTTTCTGGCTAAGCATTTGGCCATGATGGCAGAAATCAATAAGACAGACAGAGAAAAGGAACAGGAGTGGGGTTGTGACAGCGGTGACACTCTAGAGAGGAGGTGGATTATAATTTGGTACCTAGAACTGAATTGCTTCACGCTGGCTCCCATGAGACCTAGGCTATGGCTAGAATTCCCCAACAGGAAAGTCCCCATCACTCCTTGCAGCTGAAGCTGCAGCTGGGCAGAAGGGGGCTGAGCTGACACTGCAAACCTGCATGGGTGGGCTTTGGGCTCCAAGCAGGGGCCTTTGCCTGGGGATCACTCCCCAACCACCACCTGGTCTCCCAGCCCTGCGGGCAGAATGGGCTCCAGGGTAGCTCTCAGAACAACAGAGCCCTCTCCTCTCCCCTCTGCAGATGGAACCCCCGGCATCTGCTCCTAGTAGAGGCCAGTCTGGGCCTGACCTGGCATTCCACCCTGCAGATAGCGAGGTAAGTTTGGCAAGCACAGAGAGAGGCACCAGACTTGTCCTGATGGTCTTGGGTTTGGAGCTCACTGCCCTCCTTGCTGGAATAAGCTGCTGGGTGCAGTTTACTCAACCTCTCAGGGGCTCAGTTCATCTATCTGTAAAAGTCAGATAAATCTGGGCCTAACCTATGGGAGGGTATGAAAATGAACCTCCTGAGATCAGGTATGCACAGAGCTTGGCACTAGTAACTCAACGGTGTACTTTTATTTTTTTAAGACGGGGTCTCACTTTGTTGCCCAGGCTAGTCTTGAACTCCTGGAGTCAAGCAATCCTCCTGCCTCGGCCTCCCAAAGTGCTGGGGTTATAGGTGTGAGCCATTGTGCCCAGTCTCAACAGTGTATTTTAAAAAGTTCTTTGGTTGCAATTTATCAAACCAACTCAAGGTAACTAGAGTAAAGGAGATTTTATTAGATGTCTGCTGAGGTTGATCATGGAAACTGGGGACAGCTGGGCCTGGAATCAGTAAAGGGAGAGCTGTCATCCCTGTGATGGGGATAATCTCTGTGCCTTTTGTCTGGCTGCTCTGCTTCTCTGTGCTCACAGCAGTCCACAGCTCAGGTGTTGAGAGGGGACCAGCCCTACCAGGCTGTCAGTCACTCCACCCCATCCCAAATTCACATGGGGTCATCAAGGGCTGGGAAGCTTGGGGAGGTGGGTGGAGGAGCAGGAAGCACATGAACAAACATGGTGGAAGGAGGAAGCTCTGAGCAAAGGGGAGTTCTCAGCAGAACAGAGACCCCACAAAGGGATGGCTGTCACTTTAATAATCATCATTAAACCATGCATTGCCTGCAAACTCCAAAGCATGACGACTGACCTGGTCATATACTGTTTCAAGTTATCAGAACAAATGTACCTAATAGGCATTCTGATTCCAGGGGGGAAGGAAAGACGCCAGTGGTTGTTCAGAAAGCCACAGGAAGCACCAAAGAGGGGGCCCGGCTCAGTGGTTGCGTCACTCTGTTGCAGGCTTACAACGGGAAAGGCCCTGGGCCCATGTGTTGTCAGACAGACCCTGTACTCTGTTATCTCCATAACTGGCCTCTGTGAATGCTCAACCTGTATGATGTGTTTCCAAGATAAGGGGTCAAGTGGGTTTGGAATGACCATTCCTGGCATTCCTTCCTAGAGAGTCAATGCACAATTGCATATCAAAGACCTCCAGCAGTCTCACAGTGCTGAGACCTATTTACCTTTGTTAACTGCAGCATTCCCCAAAGGTACTGGAGCTGAAATGCATTTTTCATAAAACACCTGTTATCACGCCCTGGAACTAGCGCTGCCTGACACTAGCGCCTCCTCTGGGCTGTCTCTGACGGCACATCCTGTCCTGAGACCCTGTGCTGCCAAGAAACCCCATTCCGCCCTCAGGCTCTGTTCTGAGAGCAGCCCTCCTCCCATTGCATTGGGAACCTCACCCAGGCCTCCTCCTCTGCCCTTGGTAATCCCGACAGTCCACTCTGCTCAGCTTCATCACAGCATCTAACCCCCAGTTGCTCTTCTGTACACTCTGAATTTCCCATTTAAATTTATTCCCAGGACTAAACCAAACTCCCAGGAGCACTGTGACCAGCACAGGATGGAGTCAACGCACCCCTTCTCTTGCATAGTAGATCTCATCCTTCATTAAGTACTTATCAGAAACCTTCCCAAGCTCCCAGAACTGTGCCAGAAACTGTGGGGCCACACAGAAATAGAAAGCAATCCCTGTCCTCAGAGAGCTTATTGTCTATCGAGGAGCCCAAAGAGAGCTTCGCAAGTTAAATAACAATATAAAAATTAAATTATTCACATGGGCACTAGACGTGTTGTAGTAACAGTATATGGTAAGCCCCTAAGACATAAGGAGCTGTTAGAATCATCAGACGCGCTCAGCCCCCAACCCCAACCCCCAGGAATGCTATGGATGCATTGGAAGAAAATACCAATTTAGAAACCAGGCAAGTGGGAGCAGAAACCTGGTCTGCTTCCATTTATCTTTTTTCCTATCCAGGTTCACTGGGGAGGATTCTTCTCCCTAAATACTGAGGCCTGAGTAGGAAATTATCCTCCCAGAACATAGCAGGGTCCGGAAGAAGACATTTTCCAAGGAGGCAGAACTGGGGGAGAAGCTGGAGTGAGACTGCACAGAGGAAGGTTTTTTATTCCAAGGATGACAATTGTGGGAGCCCTGATAACCACAAGATATGCTATAACGGGGCAAGAGAAAAGAGGGCCTTTCAAGTATCCTGGAGGCGACTTGCCTTCACCTTGAGTTCAGCCAAAGAAGAATGCACCACTTCTCCTATTCCCAAGGGTCACTCCGTGAATATTGGTTGAATTTGTGAGTGAGCGAGTGAATGGGTGGGTAAATGAAAAATACAAAAACAAAAAGGTCAGGCTTCCCACCTGGAGCACACAGGGACCAGCACAGGACTCAATGGCTATGTGAATGCAGGAACTGCCACATCCCTTTAGGAAATGAAACAATTTGAAACAATCTGAGTATACTGTTTCAATGGCTTTTCCTAAAATCCATTCATCAACCAGCAGGAAAAGACTAAAGCAAGTTCTCACCCGAGATTGGGAAGCAGAAAGTTAATGAGCTACCTGACATTCTCTCTCCTCTCTCTCTCTCTCTCTGACACGCACACAACACACACACACACACACACATGAATATCTGTCTCCTTTCTGAGCCAGACACTGGCACATCTTAGTCTTTGTCCCGTTATCTGGGCTTGCTCAGGAGGGCTGTCCTCTTTCTCGGGATCAGGCCTTGACCCATCCCACCTCCTCTCCAGTCCAAGGCCAGAGGCCCTCCTTCTTTTTGGGAGGGGTATCTTATCTCTGTTCCATCAGGGCAGGCAGCAGTGTTGGTCAACAGCTAAGGTCTCTTGCTGAGCAAGGATCCTGAGTCCCCTTCTTAGAGTGACCAGACAGGAGTTTCCAAAGAGGATGCAGAGACAGTTTAGAACTTCCACGCTTACTATAGTGAAACCATGACCCGTGAGGACCAGGTGAAATGGAGGCTGCAGGGTCCGGCTTCCTCTGCCTGGACTCTCCTCTGCTACAGCCCGTCCAATATCCATCCTTACAGCAAGTGCTCCTTCCTGATTTTCCCAGCGAGATGCAGTCATTGCACAGGATTGGTTATCTACACACTCATCACTCCTTTGACATCTTGAGACCCACTGAAGGCAGGGACTGTGCCTCACTCATCCCAGTATCTCTCCTTCCACACACTGCACACAGTAGGGGCCCTATTGTGCACTTACAGCGGCACTGAGCTTTGTGCCAATGGACCACACAGGGGTGATTTCATTTCATCCTTTCGATGGCCCTGTCTTGCATTGTGATAACATTTCAGTGTAGGAAAAATCTTCCATAGGAAGAAAACCCACATCATCTTTGTTCTGCTTGAGGCCAGCCTGGATTTTATAAACTGTAGCTAATTTTATGAACTGTTCTTTGTCTGGGGATGTTGATAGAAAGAATTCTACTTGAGCACAGGATGCAAATGAGTAAGTGGCAAACTATTTTCCTATTATGTTCCTAAAATAGACTGGAAGCTGGCACAGAACGCTTCAGATGGGCCTGTCCCCTTGAGCGTCGTTTATGGCTGAGACTAAAATAAAGCAAAGCCCAGGCCTCTCCAGAAGGTGTTCAATTGTTGGGTGCTATCTCAATGTAGAGAAATCTCAAGTGATTTTCTCATGAAAAAGTCTTCAGAGCATTATTCAGCACAACAAAAAAATTTGATGAAATGTTTGTACTATTTTAAAACTGGCAAGTCAAGGACATAGAGTGCTTTTAAAAGCCACTGCCAAAAATATGGTAAGCGTCTTCCTATAACATTGAAAGAGATCTGAAACATCTGTGCTACATTTCCGTTCTGGAGGACTGCGGTTGAGTGATTGATAAGGATGGTGTTTTGCTCAAAAATACAGTGATTCCTCAAGGGGAAAAGCTGCTTAGCTACATCGGAATGGTGGAGGAACATCGTGATTCCATACTCAACATGCCCCACGGGATGTAGGGATGTGTGTGAACTGTCGAAGGCTGCAGGAGCCATCTTATAGCGAAAATCAGCTGTGTGACAGTTCATGGAAAAACAGCAGCAAAATCCACACACAGCCTGGCATACCCTGGTTCTGTCTTCTGGGTTACAGACACTCAGTCAGTGACCAGGAGTGCAGAACAGCCCCTAACCACCACGGGAAATGGGATTAACTGTGATTAACTGGCAGAGGGGCAGGGGAGACGCGAGCTTCATTATCCTTTTCACAAATGAGACAGTAAAGCCAGCCCGGGACTGTGGGTGAGTCTCCTCCTTATCGTCGAGTCCTGATGATACTCACCTGTGGTTCTTCTGTAGGAGAACCGAATGCCATGGGTATCTGAGGCCCTGTGAAAATGGAGAAGGGGCAAATAGATGGAACTACTCCAACCCCCAAGCTCTTCTAGAAAACGGGAGTCAGCTGTGCAAAACACTAAATGTGCCTCCAGAGCACCTGTTTATCCAGCATCTATTGTCTGGGTCTCCACAGCCTGGAGGAAGTGATGAGTCAGGCAGCCCCCTACATTATGGACCTTTCAACATTTATTACAATCAAACTGTGAGTTCAATATGATACCTCAAAGGCAAACACCCTCTTCTGTTGCTTGCTTGTGATTTCACTGGTTTGGTTGTTTTCCCACCATGATTTTTTTAAATACTCTTTTTTTAATTGAAGTATGATTTAGACATAATAAGAGGCATAAATGTTAAGTGTGCATTTGCACATGCAACTTTTGGCAAACGTGCACATGCACACCATAGAGGGGTCCAGTTTTAAAACTAAAGTCCCATCCTTCGGGAAGCCCCTTACACCCAGATAAACTGCATGGCTGGTCACCCCACATAACCACAACCTCAATGAAGATACAGAATATTTCCATCACCCCCAAAATTTCCTTGTGCCCCTTTGTAGCCAACCCACCCACCCACCCTCCAAAGGTCACCCCTCTTCTAAACTCTATCATCATAGCATAGGTTTTTCCTGCTCTAGAATATCATAGAAATGGAATCATTCCATATATATGGTTTTGTGAGTGGCTTCTTTCACTCAACACGTTTTTGAGATTCATTCACATTGCTGCCTGCATTAGGGGTTCATGTTATTGCCACATGGTATGGCATCCGTGATTTAGGATAATTTGCTTATCCCCTCACCTGTTAATGGACATTGGATTGTTTTCAGTTTTTGGATATTGTGAATCAGATTTCCTTGTACATGTCTGTTTATGGGCATGTTTTCACTTCTCTTGGGTAAATACTTAGGAGTTGAATGACTGGATCATATGGTAGGTTATGTTTCCAAGAAACTCCCAAACAGCATTCCAGGCTGGCTGTGCAATGTTCCACTCCCACCAGCAATGCATGAGTGTTCCAGCTGCCCCGCATCCTCACCAACATTTGGTCTTGTCAGTCTTTTTAACTGTAGACACTCTAGTGGGTGTGAAGTTATATCTTACTGTGGTTCTATTTTGCATATCCCTGATGATAAAGATGGTGAGCACCTTTCTTTATATCTCCTTGGCCATTTGTATATCTCCTTATATGCGGTGTCTGCTCAAGTCTCCAAGTCCTTTGCCCACTGTCTAAATGACTTGTTCATCTTTTTCTTGTTGACTTTCAGGAAGTCTTTATATATTCTGGAGACAAGTGCTTGATCACATCTACATATTGTGGAGATTTTCTCCTGGTTTGTGGCTTGTGTTTTCATTTTCATAATGGAGTTTTTTAAAAGGCAGAATTCTAAAATTGTGATGAAATTCAAGTTATCAATTTTGTATTTTCTGGCCGGGCACAGTGGCTCATGCCTGTAATCCCAGCACTTTGGGAGGCCGAGGCGGACGGATCACCTGAGGTCAGGAGTTTGACACCAGCCTGACTAACATGGTGAAGCTCCGTCTCTAAAAATACAAAAGTTAGCTGGGCGTGGTAGCGGCCCCCTGTAATCCCAGCTACTTGGGAGGCTGAGGCAGGAGAATCACTTGAACCCGGGAGGTGGAGGTTGCAGTGAGCCTAGACCATGCCATTGCACTCCAGCCTGGGCAATAGAGTGAGACTCCGTCTTGGAGAAAAATAAATAAATAAATAGTTGTATTTTATGACTGTGCTTTTTGTTAATTGTCCAAGAAATCTTTGCCTACCTCAAGGTTCCAAAGATATTCTCCTACATATTCTTCCAGAAACTTAATAATTTTTGCTTTTAAGTTTAGGTCTAAACTTAACTCTATACACAATAAGTATCCTGATTTACTTGTTGTGTGCAGTGTGGAGTAAGCATCAAAGTTCATTTTTGTCATATAATGGTCCTGGCTTTATTTACTAAAAAAGACTTTTCTTTCTCCACAGAATTATTTTGGTGCCTTGTCAAAATTCAGTTAACCACTGTGGGATCCTGAATCCCTGGAACCTGTTCTTTTAAAAAATATCGTTTCTTGGCCGGGCGCGGTGGCTCACACCTGTAATCCCAGCACTTTGGGAGGCCAAGGCGGGCGGATCACCTGAGGTCAGGAGTTCAAGACCAGCCTGGCCAACATGGGGAAACCCCGTCTCTACTAAAAATACAAAAAATTAGTTGGGCATGGTGGCGGGCGCCTGTAATCCCAGCTACTCGAGAGGCGGAGGCAGGAGAATCTCTTGAACCCAGGAGGCGGAGGTTGCAGTGAGCCGAGATCACACCATGGCACTCCAGCCTGGGCAACAAGAGTGAAACTTCGTCTCAAAAAAATATATATATATTGTTTCTCCTGATTTCAACTATTCAGAATTGTGAAAGTTTTTATTTATTTATTTATTTGTTTATTTTTTGAGATGGAGTCTCGCTCTGTCACCCAGGCTGGAGTGCAGTGGCGCGATCTCAGCTCACTGCAACCTCCGCCTCCTGGACTCAAGTGATTCTCCTGCCTCAGCCTCCTGAGTAGATGGGATTACAGGTGTGCGCCACCATGCCTGGCTAATTTTTGTATTTTTAGTAGAGACAGGGTTTCATCATGTTGGTCAGGCTGGTCTTGAACTCCTGACCTCGTGATCCACCTGCCTCAGCCTCCCAAAGTGCTGGGATTACAGGCATGAGCCACCATGCCCAGCCCCAAAAAATTTTTTAAAGAAAAAAGTTTTTTCCTCTCTGTCCAGTTTGGGTAATTTTTTTGACCAGGCCTCAAGTCTACAGATCCTTTCATCTACCTTATCTGACCTGTTGTTAATATTATTCAATAAATTTTTCATTTCAAATATTGTAATTTATAGTTCTACAATTTCCACGTTTGCAATTCCCAGATCTCTGCTGACATTCCCTATCTGTTCATCAATTATATCCATCTTTCCTATGGTTATTTTATATGACTTATCTGCTAATTCCAACATCTAGGTCATCTGTGAGTATTTCTCAGTTGACTATTTTTCCTCCTGCCCCAAGTCTCATTTTCCTGATTCTTCTTGTCTAGGAAGTCTCTGCTGTGCTGGACATGGTGGGCAACACTTTACAGAGGATCTGGACTCTGGACTCTGTTCTTTTCTTCTGAAGCGTGTTGAATTTGGTTCAAGCAGGCAGTTAATAAATATACCTCCATCATGCATCTTGCCTTGATCTTACTGAGACTTGGTTCTAGGTTTGCGCTCCTTTTGTTTTGTTTTGTTTTGTTTTGTTTTGTTTTTCTGAGATGGAGTCTAGCCCTTGTCGCCCAGGCTGGAGTGCAATGGTGCGATCTCAGCTCACTGCAACCTCCACCTCCCAGGTTCAAGCGATTCTCCTGCTTCAGCCTCCCAAGTAGCTGGAATTACAGGCGCCTGCCACCACACCTGGCTAATTTTTGTATTTTTTAGCAGAGACAGGGTTTCACCATGTTGGCCAGGCTGGTCTTGAACTCCTGACCTCAGGTGATCCACCCACCTTGGCCTCCCAAAGTGCTGGGATTACAGGCATAAGCCACTGCATCCAGGCCCATTTTGGTTTTTCTGTCATAGCCCTTAGTCCTATGTCTCACTATTAAGGCACAGTCTTCTGAGATTTCAATGGAAAGATTGTCTAACTTGGTGGGACTTGAATTCCTGACTTTATCTCCCCAGCACTGGGCTGAAATCTTGAAATCTCTGCTCAGCTTTTTCAGGCTTCCAGCTGTTGGCTCCTTCTGCATTTCCTGGCATCTCACCGCACACATGCGTAGTTCGGGACTTAGCCATGGATTCTGGATAAGTTAGTACACAAATCTTGAGGCCCAACCTTCTATGGTCCCTCTTCTCTGGGATCTTCCCACAATTTCCAGCTGCACTTATAGCCCCAGACCCAGACATCTAACTCCTCGGTCCAGTCATTCTCAAGGCCTCCCAATGTGCCTTGCAGGCTGGGGTATGTCCTCTGGGAAAGCAGACGTCTTCTTATTTACTTCTCTTCCTTCAAAGGTTGTGTCCACTCCAGTCCCAGTGTGCATTTGTTTACTCTCCACGGCCTCCAGAGGGCTGTTTTCCAGACTTTGTTTGAGGTTCATGATTGTTAGAAGGAGGGTTAGTTTCCTATAATGTTTATCCCCATTGCTGAAAGTCCTGTAGCTGAAAGTCCTGTCACTTTTTTTCTTAACCAATTGAATTAATAGTTAATAAATCCCACGTTAGGTGAAAATTGATTACATTGCTAGTCAATAAGTACCTACATTTGCATCATTACTCTTCCCCAAGTAAAAAGAAAATTGGTTTTCACATCCTGTTTGATATAGTACCTTAAGAAAGGACTCTTCATTCAGTCAAGCCACATTTTCTAAGCATCCAGAATAAGGCTCTCTGAGGGACAAAAAGGCAATCTTGGTCCCAGCTCTCAGGAAGCTACCCTAAGAGAGCTACTTGAAGGTGCTCTAGGGGTTTGGCTACAGAACTGGCACTGTGTGCCAAGGACCCACCACCCTCAGCGAGCTTCCCAGAGGCACACATGGCATGTGATCATCCCAAGCCTGACATCTTCCTACCAGGCACTTTCCTGCTGCGAAATTCCTGGCACCCAGTAGCACTTAGTGAAGGTGAAATTTTATGACAATAACATTTAAAGCAAATAATCTCACAAACTTCAGCACTGTGACTATCACTCATCACAAGTGAACTGATGCATTTCGCACCTGCTTTTACCCTCCAGAACTGCTGCAGCAGCCGCCCTAGAGCCATTCTGCAGTTCTGATGCACAGCATGATGGAAGCATATTGCAGAAGATTATTCTGGCTTTTGTAGATAGTGGATTAAATTGGGACAGTGTAGAATGGGAATTCAGATAGCCCATGGATGGACTTCAAAATATCACCCTCTAAAATTGGACTCAAATTTCATGTTCAGATGCCCGTTTTCCCCACTGCAAGAGGAATCCAACTTTCATCAGATCCTTGCATCAATTAAACTTTCTTTACTGCAAAAAAAAAAAAAAAAAAAAAAATGAATTCCTGGTCTAGAACCCTTTTTTTTTTTTTTTTTTTTTTTGAGAGGGAGTCTCGCTCTGTCTCCCAGGCTGAGTGCAGTGGCGCAGTATCAGCTCACTGCAAGCTCTTCCTCCTGGGTTCAAGCAATTTTCCTGCCTCAGCCTCCCGAGTAGCTGGGATTACAGGCATAAGCCATGGCACCTGCCCTTAGAACCCAGATGTTTTTGATAATGGAAATGATCCGCAAGTATTTTTAAACTCCCACAAGTATTTGCATATTTATGTACAAATTATGTTCCTAGTTTATCATCATTAGTTAATAAATAAAGGCACAATATCCACTTAGAATGAAGTTAATCATTAATGATAGGAAATGTAAATTAATGTTTAAATAGTTTTGATGGTTACTAAACGTTCTTATCCTGTCTAATAACCTTATACTGAGGCCAGTGAAGACCTCCTGCCTGAACTAAGAAACAAGTCTCTCATTTTCTTGTTTATTTGTGGCTTTTGGGAATCTTTTAAATCTTTTGAAGCCATTTATCTACTCTTTGAGTTTTAGTTAAAACTAGGTTAGGCAATCCATAAATCCTTTTAACCTGGTCCACCGAAATATATCAAAATATGCAGAAAATGATGTAATGAGAGAGCACGCCACTGCCAGCCCCTGAAATGCTTTGAGTGAGTGACCGCTTGAAATAAGCTTATAGACCAAAAATTAGTAACATTGGATTTCTAATTTTTAGTTGAAGATATATATAACAGAAATTCTATATTTGCTTCCCCTACCCCATAGATTGTCTCAGACACCCTACCCTGGAGACACCAAGTCCAGAAGGTGACTTATGCTAGTAATCCACAGATGAGGGATAAGGGGGACCAGCTGCAGAGCTTGGTGGTATCAGCAAACATGCCAAAGGAGGATCAAAATGATCAGATAGAGATGAAGGAAAAGACCAGCTGGGTATTTGATCAGATTTAGTAGAGAAAGGAGAAAGGATTTCAAAATGGTTCCAAGGTTTTTACTCCAAAAAACATGAAAAAGTTACTGGAAGTGATGGTGTCCTGGGAAGGAAGAGGCATTTATTGGGGCAGGCATCATCCACTGATTTATTTTGGAAGTGCTGTGATTGAGCTACTGAAAGATGCACCTGAAAACGTCCAGCAGGACAAAGGAGACACCATTCACCTCCTGAGCAACACATAGACCCTGACCTCAGCCAGCCCCACTTCTGGGCAGAGTGCTGGCTCCAAGTTCCATGCGTGAGAGATGGCTCTCCTCTACGGGTCCTTCAGCATTCCTGGGGGGGGGCTGCAGTTCTCCTGCCCTGCTCCAGCTGTAATCCAAAGCAGGGCTTTCCATCCTCTGGGAACTGGAAGAGCAAGGCTGGAGTGCTGGTGAAAGAGGTTTGAGGTAGGCCCACGCGGATGATGCTCTCAATGGACCCAGAGTGAGTCACGTTATGGCCCACATGATGGCTCAGATGGCTCTCTGCCTGAGAAGCTCTGAGTCCTCATGCAGACTGGACGCCCCTCCGTAGCTGCTCATCAACTTCCTTTCCCAGCCAGCCCCCAGGGCTTGCCCACTGAGCTCCTGAACCAAGGCAAACTTGCGCTGGGGACGGCGCCGCTGTGTGGTTTCCCTTGCCAAGGCTTCCCTGGCTGCCTCCACTTTCTCGTGGAGGCTTCCTGAAGGTGGCATCTGTATTTTTGTGAAGGGACTTGGTACCAGGCTTGGAGATGAACATGTTAATTCTCTGGCCCTGGACATCAGATCTGTGATATAGTTTCTCAATTTCCTGCTCTGAAGTAAGCCCTGGTGGGTAGTGTCACCATCTGGAATAGGAAAAGGGCTAGATGGGAGGGGTCAGTAGTGCTGGTGGCAGAGGCCAGTCTTCTCAGTGGAAACAGGCTCATGCACTTCCACGCAGGGAGGGCCGACGGTCAAGGGTGGAGGAAAAGCCACAATTTTTCGGTGAACCCATGGATCAGCATGATGGAGTCTTGCAGGTCTTTATCTTCCTCCAGGAGGCACCCCAAGCACGGAGAAGACCCACCAAGCTGCCTGATACCTCTGTCTAGCTCCCCTCTGCCCAGACAGGAACTGCTGTTCACCATTCATTCCAGACCTGGGCCTTTGAGGACAGGAGCTGTAAGGATGATTGATCGATTGCCTGTGTGTGAAGCCCTGGAAGGGCTCTTGCCTAGAATACTGTCCCTACCCTGACAAGGTAGAGGCCATGGTCTGGATGGCGGTGGCCCCCCCATTCATATGTCAAAACCTAACCCTCAATGCAAGGTGGGGCCTGCAGGTGACCAGGTCCTGAAGCAGAGACCTCATGAACGCGATGAGTGCCCTTACACAAAAGCCTGGAGGGAGCCCGTCTTCCACCATGAGATGACACACAGAAGGCACCATCTGTGAGGAATGGGCCTCAACCAGACACTGATTCTGCTGGAGGCTTGATGCTGGACTTCCCAGCCTCCACAGCTGTGAACAATACATTTCCGTGGTTTTATAAATGACCCTGTCTAAGGCGTTCTGTTACAGCAGCACAAAGGAACTAAGACAGTGGGCACCCGTATTTCCATTTAGAGGCGGAAACTGACTCTGAAGTGAGAACCGGTCCACTCTGAGAGCACATCGCCAGGGGAAGAGGACTGTAGCCAGGAAGTTGTTATGTCATGGGGTCATGGGAGGACCCAGCAATGTTGTTTCTGATGATTTCTGAAAGGCGGCTCTTTTCTGGAAGTGGACAGATGATGGGGGAGGGGCAGGAAGCTGAATTCACCACAGTGTCCGAGAACACTGTCTACCAGCGGGAGCTGTTCAGACACACCTCTGGCCAGTCCCCACGGCAGTGAATCTCCTGTCTCTGGACAACAATCCAACAGGGAAAGTGGGGAGGAGGGTTGGGAACTGAACTCTGTTCCACAAGTTCAACCACTGCACTCCACTAAGCAACTGGCACAGCCAGTCCCTGGTGAAGGCTTAAAGATGAGGAAGATGGGGTCAGCGCCTGCCCTCCTGGCCTCAACACATCAGGATGGAGGATTTAGGTGTTAGCAAAAAGTGGCTCAAAGTTCCAATGAAGGACAGGGAGCAAAGGGAGACTTCTTTTAGAAAGGAGACGTTGGAACTTGGATATGGCTTTAGTTAAGGAGCTCCAGGCATCTCAAGTCAGCCCTGAGAGGCAGCAGCCGTGTCTGCCTCTCGGACAGCTATGCCCCAGCCTCCAGCTCAGCAGCTGGCAGGCAGCAGGTGTGGGTGCAGGAATGAGTGAACTCATGGGGACCAGCCTCGGCAAAGACGCACAGTCCCCACAGTGCCCCAGGGGCTGGGAAACAGTGAGCAGCCACCAGCAAGACCAAGGCAGTGCAAGTGGCCACGGCTCAAGGTTTCCCCCAAGGAGGACTATGTCACTTAAGGAGTATGGCCTCTGAAGTAATGTAAATATGGCCTGGAAGATTCAGTCAACACCTATTTCCTTAGTGCCTACAATGTGCAGGTGCAGTTTCTGCTCCCGGAGTTCAGTCATGAACAATGCCACAGTCAGCCCTGCCAACCCACCTGCGTCAGCTCAGGCACCCAGAGCAATGTCACCTGGATCTGCCCTCCCTCCCATGTCACTGGACTCGCTGTCTTTTCCCTGCAATGAAACCTCCAACAGCTTTCCCTGCCACTGTGGGTGGAAGGGCCCTCTTCCTCTTCCCACCTTCATACAGCTTCCAGGCCACCTCCTTAAGAATCCAAAGCAATCTGGTCACACCACTTGGTGGGAAATACACCGAAATGTTAACTGTCCTTATCACTGGGGGAAAAAAATCACAGGTGACTTCAGTACAGCCTCCTCTCCTCTACCATCACTACCCTCCCTCCCATCCTTCCCCAGGTCCAGCCACACTGAAGTTCTCCCCATACCCCAAACACACCAGTAACTTTCCCACCCGGTGCTCCTGCCGTGCCCTAGGCAGGGGCTTTTAACCCCTACCTAATCCTCCGATTTGCTTTACTTTTAAATCCACCTCTGGAGCATAGACTGTGAGCTTCAGAGAGCACAGGTAAGTTCATTACTTTTTCAACAACTAGGAGAGAGCTGCGACGCACCTGCCCCGATCCTAGAGGCTGGGGACCCACCAGAGAAGTGACAAGTCCTTGATCTCAGGGGGCAGACAGCGGGGAGAAGGATGGATGCTAGCACGGAGAACACGCGTGTAAAGACAGAAACGCACACATCCACACCATGCCGCTGTGAAGCCGGCGCCCAGGAGGCTGGCCAAGGTCACAGGAGCGGCGGTGGCGGGCGGATCCGAGCACCTCTCGGCCTGACCCCAGAGCCTAGCTCTCACCCCGGCGAGGGACTTCCACCCCGACTCACCGCGGAATGGGGAGCGCCAGGCTGAACCAAATCCTGTGCTCACCCCTCCGTGCAAACCCCTCAAGGCAACTCAGGCCTCTGAAAGCCTTCCTACCCCCCCGCTCTCCGCTCAGGTCCCCACTCAACCGGTGCCCACCGCCCTGGCGCGCGTCGCTCCGCGATTACCGGCCCGCCAAACAGTCCCCGCAAAGTCCACCCTCCGGGGCTCCCGGTCCCTCAGGTCCCGCGTGCCCGGCCCTGGGCATCCGCAGCGTCCCCGTGGTATCGGACCCCCATCGTCCCTGACACCTGGCGTCTCCGCCCCCCGCCCCCGTCCCCCGCCCCGCCGTCCCTGGCCCCTGCAGTCCCTGGCCCGCGCTGCGGACCTCCGGCTCTGGCTTCCCCCGGGTCCCCGCGGCCCCCGTCCCCCCGCGTCCCCGCGTCCCCGGCCCAGCGCCCGCTGACGCCATGACGCCGCGGCGGAGGGAGGGGCCGGGGCCGGGGCCGGGCCGGGGCGGCGCGAGCGGCTGGAGCAACGGGCCCCGCGGCAGCTGCGGGCGACGCGGTCGATGGACATGGGCACCCAGGGATCGGGGCGCAAGCGGCTCCCCAACCGGGAGCGGCTCACGGCGGAGGACGACGCGCTCAACCAGATCGCGCGGGAGGTGAGCGCTCCGGGAGGGCAGCCGGGGGGCGCCGGGCGGGCGCGGGGGCCGGACGGCTGTCAGGGTCTCTCCGGCGTCCGTCTGTCCCGCTGTGCGTCTGTGCCACTGCGCGTCCGGCTCCAGGCGGGTGGGCCGGGCAGGCGCGCGCCGGGGCGCTGATCCCCAGGCGCTGCGCCCCGGCCCCGATCTCCGAGGCCTGCGGACCCCGCACCCGTTCTCCAGCCCCGGGCCCAGCCCGCGACGCTGCGCGCCCTCCCCCACCCCGGCCACCGTCGGCCGCTGCGCCCTCGGGAGAGGAGCCGGGCGCCGCCAGCGCGCGAGGTGGCCCGGGCTGGCCGGGTGGGGGCGAGCGCCCCGCTTTGTTGTGCGGCATGGGAGGAGGCGGGGGCTTAGGCCCGACCTGGAGGCAGTGGACGGTCGCCGGAGGCCACATGGCCCTGCTGAAATGGCCGAGTCGCTCAGGTGACCATTTGTCATCCATCCATCGATGTCACTCAAGGTGCAGCTCAGAGATGAACTTGGGGATCACTGTGATTTTTCTTTCAGGACTGAGCCTGGAAACGGGTCCAGGCACACTGAAACGTCTTCATTAAAGTTTCCTGGACAGAGTTTATTGTAACTAAGATCATGTTTGGTGATGAACTTTACCTGTGACAAATTGAAGGCGCACTAGAATGGGTATTTGTACAAATGCCTTTTTTTTTTTCCTTCCGCAAGGATTCTACCTTAAGGCTAAAGAATGTACATGACATCCAGAAAGCCGTACAGGGACAGAGAGCAGCAGCTTGGGAAAAGGGGAGCCAATAGGTTGCGGCCCCAGGGGGACAAAGGAAGCTTAATTTTTGACTGTGTTCCCTTTGTACCATTTGAACTGTGTGCCAGGTGGGTGTATGAATGCAAAGAAAGTCTCTGCCTTGTAACCCGCCTTACAGGTTCTTTTCCGTGTTGGCTTTTCCACATGTGATTCTTCCCACAGGAAACACCTCCAAGCCATTTGGACTGTGGTGTCTGGCTGTATCCGTCAGATATTCTGGGGGATCTACTCTGTAACCAATCCTTAGGTGTTTGTAGTTGTAAATACCTGATTTTGCTCTTACGGACATGTGGCAGTCACTCAGTATTTGTTGACTACTGAGTGAATAAAGACTTCTGTTTTTCTCTGTATGATACAGAAAAGGGCTTTCCAGGCAAACCCTTATTCATTCCTGGAAGCCCACTGTGACCTCCAGGAGACCTTCCAGACTCAGCCCTCTCACATCGCACCAGGCCTAAGTCTCCCTGGCTCCACGGCCCTCCATGGCATGCCCGCGCCTGGCATGGCAGTCAGGATACCTTATCATTATTTGTCCACCTGTAGAAGGTGACACCCAGACAGGAAATATCTTACTTTTGTATCCCAAGAGCTCAGCACAGAGCCAGGCACATACTAGGTGTTTGTCTATGTCTGTTACATTAATTAATAAACAAAAGAAGTACAAGGCATTTAAAGGACCTTTGGCTAAATATAGACATTTGCTAAATATAGTAGCTTGAGTATAACTCCCTCCTGTGAAGACAGTCACTTATGTATGCATTTGACCACAGTGCCTTACAAGTGTTCCCTGCAAGGGCCAGAGGTGGCCAGTGAATCGCAAGCCTTGTCTTGATGTCAGTGGTTATGGGGCAGAAGAATGAGAAGAATGAAAATTTCCAGAGTTTGCCTTTTATCCACTGGTGTTTCTTTCTTCTTTTTTTTTTTTTTTTTTTTTTTTAACACAGTCTCACTCTGTTGCCCAGGCTGGAGTACAGTGGTATGATCTCGGCTCACTGCAACCTCCACCTCCCAGGCTCAAGAGATCCTCCTGCCTCAGCCTCACCAGTAGCTGGGATTACAGGCACGCACCACCACACCCGGCTAATTTTTGTATTTTTAATAGAGACGGGGTTTCACCGTGTTGGCCAGGCTGGTCTCAAACTCCTGGCCTCAAGTGATCTTCCCGCCTTGGCCTCTCAAAGTGCTGGGATTACAGGCGTAAGCCACTGCGCCCAGCCTATCTGCTGGTTTTTATAAAATAGATTGAAAAGGAAGGCAAGGGAACACTCCTTGGGTTGAGAGCCCTGAGGTCCTCCCTCCCACCGAGGGAGATGCAGTTGGAGTTACAGAGATAGACTTGTGAGTCAGAGCTGGGCTTTCAAATGACATAGTTCTTAGCCAGCTGTGCCATCCTAGGAAGGTGAGTTACTCACTCTTCTCTGGGCCTCTGTTTTCTCGTCTCTAAAATGGAGAAGAAGAAACCTCCCCTGGCTGTCAGAATTAAAGAAAGTGGGTAGCAATGTAAAGTATGTAACTAGGCGGTGGGTAAATATGAGAGCTTCTTACACGCCCCTCCCGGTAAAACCCAGCCGTAGGTGCAGCTGTTACTAGTGCTGAGTAGCACAGATTGATAGGGTTGGAGGGAGCAGGTGTGACATCTTATGTTTTAGTACAAATTAACTTCTATTTCTCAACTGTGAAAATGAAAATCACTATTCAAATGGCAAATATCTACTCCTTGAATTCATCAGGGTTCTTATAGAAATCAACAAAATCGTCTTGGGTTCAGTACTTTCTTATTCACTCATTGACTCAACAGATACAAGCCATGGTATCCAAATTCCTGTCCTGGGGAGACTGGAGAGTCAGGGAGGAACCCGGCGAGGACCTGCCTGCCCTCCAGGAGTTGGGTCAGAAAGGGGTTGACACCTGTAGATCAATAATGCTAACCGAAGACAGGAAGGGATCTGATATAAAAAGGGCGTAGACAGTGTTCTGAAGGTTTGGACATGAGAGAGAATCACAGCCGGCCAGTGGTCTCAGAAGTGGCTTCCTGGAGGAAGTGGCATTTTGAGTTCTTGAAGGCTGTATGTACCAGTCAAGATGCTTTGGCTGCTGGGACAGAAACCCTGACTGGACTGACATTGACAAGGGGAAGTATATTGGCTGGAGCACAGCAAGCCCGGAGGCAGGGCAGGATTCCCCGCCAGCCTCACCAGTGGCTCCGGCCTCTTTTTCCCACAGCACCTGCGCAGCTGGTTGGGCTGGGCCATCCTCTGTGGGTGGCCTCATCCTCAGGCTGACTTGCTTCATGGAGGCCAGCTGGCCTTGGCTTTCCCGGGCTGCCACTGTGGAGCCCACACACCGTCTCTTCTGGTGGCTCTCTCCAGAGAGCTAGCAGTATCTCCCTGGTAAACTTTCATGAGTCTGTCTGGCCACTCCTGCACCAAGCTCTTTGACAAGGACCATGGACTTAGGGGCTCAGTGCCTGTGGCAAAGGGGGGTGGGTCTACCCTGTGACCTGTCAGACTCATCCTGGGACTGGGGAGAGCCGGCCTCCCTGAAACACTTGGGAAGGTGGGGGCCTGAATGGAAACTGGGGAGGCTTCAAGGAAGTGGGAGGGAGTGGGCTGCCACTTGGGCCTGGCACCCAAGAACATGCCTTCTGGAGAGTAAGTGGAAAATTCTGGGCTGAGGTCATTGGGAAGCCTGAGTCACCTGGCAGGGACGTGGGTTCCAGTTCGCTGGAGCGAGGGGAAGAGCTAGGCTGCCCTGTGCAGGCAGGGCTTTGCACTCTTCTGGGTAGAAGCAGGACTCGTGGTGGGGGCAGCCTTTGGAGGGTGCATTTCTGCTTCTGCAGCCGGTGTCCTGCTTCCATGTGATGGTTTAAACTCTAGGCAAGCGTGTATAGTAAAGGGAGTTATTTGCAAATGCTGTATTATCGCAAGTCAATTATTTCTCACTCTCTTGTTGCAGTGGAATTCAGGCGGGATGTTATCAGGAGAAAGGTTTAGTACGCACTTGCAGAAGCTCATTAGCACCAAAGGCATGAGCTGCGCCTCCCACTTCTGGGGAGGGGTGTTTCCAACGCAGATAGATTTTCCTCTCCTACCGCATTTCACATTCTACTGGTGCATTTTGGTAGCATCCCAAACTTCTCATTCAGCACTCTGCAGCTGAGTAAAGCGATACTGGTCTCACCATGCAATTCAAAGTATTGCTCTCAAATGAAGAATGTTTTTCCCAACAGGAACAGTCATTTGCGCAGGCTGCATTAGGAACTCACCGTGGGGCCTTGAGACAGTGCGGTGAGCTTATTATCCCCTGGTGGTGCCATAGGTACCCCTTCCTCACCCAGCAGGACGGAGGCCCTCCCCCCATAACTGTTTCTGCAGCCTCCTCTCCAAGCTGGCCCCTCTGTGGCCTGCGGCCTCGGGCCCTGATCCATGGCAGGGGCACTGCTGCCCCACCCGGCTGCTTCACCGGCCCCAAGTTGACTCGTGGGCCTGCGGGTGCTGTTGGTTCAGGCCTCACAGCCACCGCCTTTCACTTGAGCCACGGCCACACAGGAGTCCAGTTGCGGAGAAGGGGTCGCACTGCCCCCAAGGAGTCCAGTTGTGGAGAAGGGGTCACACTGCCCCCAAGGAGTCCAGTTGTGGAGAAGGGGTCACACAGCCCCCAAGGACTCCAGTTGTGGAGAAGGGGTTGCATTGCCCCCAAGGCAGCCTGCAGCCATCAAGTAACCATTTTGTGAGGTCACAAAATGTCCCCCAGGCTTGTTTCAAGATGCAACCAATTCTGTGGTACGTTTCCTGCTCCGGAGCTCTCTGCGGGCCAGGCTGAGGCCAACTCCTGCCGAGACCACCTCCCTCCCCAGCCCTTCCCTGACTGGCCTGCCCCCCTCATGCCCCTGCTGGGACAGGGCTCACATCCAGTCCTGCCATGGGCTCTGCTTCTGGAACCCAACATAAAGCCATGCCCCTTGTTTCAGGTAGTTCGTAAATATCGGGTCTTTTCATCCTAAGTCCCCCTTTCATTCATCTTTTCTCCCTGTCCTTCCCAAATAGCCCTCCTATATCAACCTGTGCGGAGGGAGCCTGTCTCTCTTCTCCTCAAGGCTGTTGGAGAACCAAGCTGGGGATGGGGTGCACGTGTTCTTTTCCAGAACAGCCCAGAAGTGGGGTTCAGTGTGGAAACTTCGCTCTACCTCTCTCCAGCACTAACCTGACCTGGCTCCTCTGGGGTGGAGAGTCCAGGACTGAGCCCAGCTGCAAAGATGCAAATCTGGGTCCCCAATGCAGTCCCTTGCCCTCTGGTGAGGTGACCCTGGGGCCAGAATTCACCTGCACGCAACCAAGATGTCAGACTTGTCCCTAGGCCTATTTCACTTGATTTGAAAGTGAATTTCATGACTTTTTTCTCTATGAATTTGCTTTTCTGAGGCTGGCCAGCAGATTGCACACCAACTGAGTGCTGCTGGACACTGGTTTGCCATTGGGGCTGGGCCCTGCCCCTTTGTTCCACAGGAGTTGGGAGAGGTGAGGGGCGTTCAGTGCCCGGCAGGACACAGGACTGTCCAGCCTGAACAACATCCTGCCTCCAGTTGGAACCCAGCCGCAGTGGAGTCACTGAGGGCTGTTCTGCAGCTGATTCTCCTAAGCCAAACACCCATCTTGGCAGATCGTCTACAAGGTTTTAGGAATGTGACAAGACTGGTGTTCCAGACGGATTTTTACCAACAGTCTGAGCTGTTGGAGGGCGTGAACAATGTGCCTGTGACCTTGGGCTGTTTGTGCGATTCCCAAAAGATGCTTCTGGGTTTCTGAGTCCACAGAAAACTCAGCTGTGGACAGGCCTGCTGGTCCCCAACGGCCCTGGGCCCCACCCCACAGCTATTTCTGTCAGAGGGCCAGCTGTCTCCCTTCTTCCTTTTCTGGGTGACTCTTGAGCCACTCGTTGGCCTGGTACTCAGGGTTGGGATGTGTGTGTGGAGAACATGACCTGGCTTCTAGCCCTGCCTGTCCCCCGTGAGCCCTGCCCGTCCCCAGTGAGTGTGAGACGGGAAAGGAGAGAGGGGCGAATGGAGGTTGCTTCTAAGACCCAAGGTGTGCCAGGTACTCTGGAAGCTTTACTCCCATAGTTTGTTTAAATCCTGTGAAAAGAGTTCCGAGTCTCTCTGTTTGACAGAGAGAAAACAGACTCAGAGACACCATGGGACATGGCTGAGGCCACCTATTAATTAGGGGCTGCCAGTTCATGGCCCAGGCTGCTTCCTGGATCAGCCCCTCAGCTCCCTCCAAGACCCCATTCAGGCTATGTCCTGCAGGCAAGCCACCTTCTTCCTATCCCTGGCACATGTCGTCCCCCACTGACCTGTGAACCACCAGGGGTGACATTTCAGGAGAGAGAGTCCCATATCTGTCTCTGCCTTACTGTATCTCTCATCTTCTTTTTCCATCCTTTCATCTTTAAAAAATTGATTTTTATTTCATCAGAGTAATATATGTTTTTACCCATATTCTCAGGCCGTTCCCCACACAGTAGGCTGGGCAGTCCTTTTAAAATATGTCAGATCATGCCACTTCTCTGATAAAAACTTTCCAAGGGTGTCTTGTATCACTCCGTAAAACCCAAGTCCTTAAACAAGCTACAAGACCCTCAATGATCTGGTAATGATCTCCTTGTTTATAAATAACATACATATGTATTACACATTAGTTTATCAATTGCAGATGCTGTCAGCTGGCTCCTGCATTGAAGGACGGGACTTGGTGTGCATGGGCCCAGTTCAGGCCAGCTCCCTACTTTCCTTCTCTGCATCACACTATAGTTCATTGTAGTGTGGGGCTAAATGAATATTCACTGGCAGGACAGACTGCTTAAGAATATGGGTGCTAGAATCAGATTTCCTGGGTTCAAATCCTGATTCTGTCCCTTATACCATGACTTAGGGCAAGTTACTTATCAACTTTGTGCCTCAGTTCCCCCATAGGTAAGATGGGAAAGTTTTAGGAGTATACTTCACCCAGGGCAGTTATGAGGGTAAATGAGATCTTTCACAAAAAGACCTCTGAACAATGACTGTCACATAGTAAATGCTCAGTAAATGCTGGTGATGATGATGATCTTGCCAGCTGTGTAAATAATGTCAATTGCAGAGCCAAGCAGTGTACTATAATCTTTCTTTCCTTATACAACTTTCTGCTTCTTCTAGAGTTAATGATTTATTTTCTTTTTCATTGCTCATCTGCCTACATATCTAGCTTATCTATCTATATATCTACATATCTCCATAAAGTTTTCAATAGAACCCATCAAAATGCTATGTTCTATATGATTAAACAAAGCAGATAATCTATCAATTCCATTTTATTCTCCCATGGAAATCTACCCACTAGAGACCTCTGTCCTCTAGATCCAGTCTGGTCTGGATGTTCTCCTCAGGGTTTCCTGCACCTGCCATTCCCTCTGCCACCATTCTGAGAATTTCTTTTACCCCCTTTTTATTGTTGTTGTTAGGTCCCTATTTTCTGGATTCCATATTATCTGCCTTCTTGGATTGCTGTCTTATTTTGCTGGAACACATCCTTCAGTAGCTTTCGGAGCAAGAATGCCTTTTCTAAGTATTCACATGTCTGAAAATGTCTTTATTCTACATTCATACTTGATTGATACTTTGGTTGTGTATAGAGTTCTAGGTTAAAAATAATTTTCCAAAAAATGATGAACTCTGTGTCTTCTTTGACATAATTTCCAGTAAGTATTGTTAATTGGAAAAAGTAATATACAGAAAATAAAGATAGCATGCTGTTCCTTGTGTGAGAAAGGCTGCAATTTTCCTGCATTTGAATAAAAATCACTGGCAGAACACAATGAAAGGAGTGTGGGGATGGAGGTGGAAGCAGGTTGTCAAGTGCCACTCTTCATGCTCTTGATATTTGAACCATGTGACTGTATTAACTAGTCAATAAAATAAACTAATAAATATCAAAAAAGTAAAATTAGGAGCCAGGCATTATGGCTCACACCTGTAATTCCAGCAACTCAGGAGGCTAAGGTGAAAGAATAGCTTAGGACCAAGAGTTCAAGTCCAGCTTGGGCAACAAAGTAGGACCCTTCCTTTAAAAATATATTTTTTTTATTTAGCTGGGCATGGTGATGCATGCCTGTAGTCCTAGCTATTTGGGAATCTGAGGCAGGAGCATCGCTTAAGCCCAGGAGTTCAAGACCAGCCTGGGCAACATAGTGAGACCCCCATCTCCACAAAAAAGAAAAGAAAAAGTGAGTGGGTGTGGTGGCTCATACCTGTAATTCCAACAATTTGGGAGGGCAGTGAGTGGATCACTTGAGCTCAGGAGTTTGAGACCAGTCTGGGCAACATGGTGAAATCCCTTCTGTACTAAAAATACAAAAATTAGCCAAGCATGATGGCTTGTGCCTATGGTCCCAGCTAGTTGGGAGGCTGAGGTGGGAGGATCACTTGAGCCCAGGGGACAGAGGTTGCAGTGAGCTGAGATCACACCCCTGCACTCCAGCCTGGGTTGACAGAGCAAAACTCTGTCTCAAAAAAAAAAAAAAAAAATTTAAAAGAAAAAGTTTGGAAACTTTTAGGATCTTCTCTTTATTCTCAGAATTCTGGATTTTTCCCCCACTTATTGAGCATTCATTGGGTTCATTCAATCTGGAAACTTGTATCCTAAAATTCTGGGAAATTTTCTTGAATTTTTTCCTAGCCCCATCATTTTTTCTGTTCTGTCTTACAGTAATTTCTGTAAGACAGAACAGAAAAAGAAGTAATTTTTCATTTTCCTTTCTTTTCTTTTTTTTTTTTTTTTGTCTTTTGGTAATACTTCAAGGAAGATTCTTCAACTTTACCATCCACTCCCTCTACTAAGTTTACCTGTTTTATATTGAATTGCTAAGTTTTTTTATTGTTCTTTATCTCTATAGCATCCTTTCTTGACTCACTAATGCAGTACCTTTTCTTACTACTCTAAGGATATTAAGCAAATTCACTTAATTTGGGGGTTTTCCTGAAAATTTTTTTGTTCCCTGCATCCTGGTCTGTTTCTTTTCCTCCTTTGTGTGTTTTGGCCTCTGTCATCTTGGAGCCTTTCTCAGATGTGTGGTGATCCTCAGCTACCCTTTCATATTTTAGAGGGAGGCACTAAACATGGTGACTACAATTTGAGCAAAGGCCAGGAAGAGAGATGTCACAAAGTGTGAACAGGAAGCCACACAGGGCGGCTGAAGTGTTGGTACCAGACAGTGGTTCCTCAGGCAGGGGCAAGCAGCTCTGATTTGAACCCAGTCTCTTGCCTTTGAGGCCAGTGCCCTTGACCACCATGTCAGTGTTAGGAGGAAACATTGCTTAATGTTAACCAGTCAGACTTCTCTAATTTGGTGCCTGCAGGTGGAGTTTTGTTTTTGATTAAGGGACTAGTAAGGCTGGAAAAGAAAGTTGAAAATTAATCTGAGACATACACCAGGGAAGAACGGCTAACCTCTAGTGTCTACACAGCTCAAACAAAGGAACCCATCATTATGGTATTCTTTTACTGAGAGCGAAATAAAATGTCAAATTAGCTGAGCAAATAAAGATAGTAAAACAAAAAAATATGAGATTTTCATAGCTTCAGGCATCAAGAATTGGGCTGGGCATGGTGTCTTGTGCCTGTAATCCCAGCACTTTGGGAGACCAAGGCGGGTGGATCACCTGAGGTCAGATGTTTGAGACCAGCCTAACCAATATGGTGAAACCCCATCTCTACTAAAAATACAGAAATTAGCCAGATGTGGTGGCTTGCACCTGTAGTCTCAGCTACTCGGGGGGCTGAGGCAGGAGAATTGCTTGAACCCAGGAGGCAGAGGTTGCAGTGAGCCAAGATCACACCACTGCACGCCATCCTGGGCAGCAGAGCGAGACTCCATCTCAAAAAGAGAAAAAGAAGAAGACAAAAAGCAAAGGAATAATTCATTTATTTGCTTGGAAAGTTCTCTAAGATCTGAGATATACTTTCCATAAAACAAATAAAATACCTGGAGAGTTTAGGTAGGCAGAATGTGATATGGCCTTGGCAGCAGGTAAACTCTTGGATCAGCAAGTCTCTGAGAGCCAGATCTGTTCAGAGCCTCCACTGGCATATTATATTACAAACTCTCCATCCACTCTTGGCTTGGGGAGTGAATGAAAAATCACATAGTGGTCATGATCATATTTAAACATAAAGAAATCAGGAGATCTAAAGTTGTTCATGTATTTTTAACCTCCATCATGTAGGTTTATCAATTTTGCCCTCATTGTCCTTGATTTCTTTCATTTTTATTTTTCACTTTCTTTGATGACATTCCTTAGGCATCTGGGAAGATGTGGGGTTTTCCAGGTTGACACTCATCGTGGTTTCCATGCTGACCAAACAGCTAGCATGGCTCTACCCTGTCTTCCCTAAGACAGCAGCCCCCAATCTTTTTGGCACCAGGGACCAGTTTTGTGGAAGACAACTTTTCCACAGACCAGGGTGTGGGGATGGTTTTGAGATGATTCCAGCACATTACATTTATTGTGCACTTTGTTTCTATTATTGTTACACTGTAATATATAATGAAATAATTATACAATTCACCATAATGTAGAATCAGTGGGAGCCAAGAGCTTATTTTCCTGCAACTACACGGTCCCATCTGGGGGTGATGGGAGACAGTGACAGATCATCAGGAATTAGATTCTCATAAGGAGCGCACAACCTAGATCCCTCATATGCGCAGTTCACAATAGGTTTCGCACTCTTAAGAGAATCTAATGCTGCTGCTCATCTGACAAGAGGTGGAGCTCAAGTGGGAATGCGAGTGATAGGGAGTGGCTGTAAATACAGATGAAGCTTCGCTCACTCACCCGCCTGCCGCTCACCTCCTGCTGTGTGTCCCAGTTCCTAACAGGCCATGGACTGGTACCAGTCTGTGCCCCAGGGGTAGGGGACCTCTGCCCTAAGATATTGCTTTAAATTACCCCCAGCATATTTTTAAATCACCCAAAGCTGTGCTGTCTATAGGACTCTGTGCTCTGTGTCTGTGCAGTGCACTGTGGTAGCCACTAGCCCTCTGTAATTACTGAGCACTTGAAATGCGGTTAGTACAGTTGAGGATCTGCATGTCAAATTAACTTTACCACAGTGCATTTAAAGGTAAATAGCCATGGAAGTCTTGGGGCTGCCGTGTCGACCAGTGTAGCTCCAGAGCAATTCCCTTGTGGAAATACATTGCAATAGAGGTATGTTCTGCAATGTGGGATATTTATTGACTGCTTACACATGGGGCTGCATACCACTCATGACCAATGCAGGTAGACTGGACTGATCGATGGACTGATCTATTGCAGGTTGGAACCTTTGTGGGGCTGTGGCCTCAGAGACCTGTGGGTCAGCCTTTTTAAGTTGTGTGACCGTAGGCAAGTGAATGCAGCCCAGTCTTCTTTTTTTTATCCGAGAAAGAGGAATGCTATCGTGTGGGGCAGTCATGGTAAAGAGCTAGAGCCCACAGGCTGCAGGGCGTGCTGCCTGGCACCTGGTAGGTGGCAATTAAATGGTGGTGGTCGTTTGCTACCTTCAGGTGGCTGTGGTTAGCTCTAGAAGGAGGCAGTTGTGCTTCTTGACTGGTTGGGATGTGCCCCAGGGCTGAGATGGGGGTTGGGTGGAGCTTGTGAGAAAAATATAGGAAAGATGATCTCCCATGCCCAAGAGGGACACAGACGGCCCTTGGGACTGATGAAATGAACTCAGAATAAAAGCGCGAATGGCTGTCGCTGTAAATATGTGTGTCTTTAGTGTCAGCGTCCCTGGGGACTTCTTATAAGTTTGAAGCATGTTACCATTCTTGGCATTGAGACAGCCAGTGTCACTTTTACTTCTTGGTCTTGAATTCAAGCATCAACAGTAAGGTACCATCAGATTTTTCAAGCTGCTTCACCATCAAGCAACCTAGCCTTGGTGCCCAGGTCTTTGGTTGGCTTCCCAGAAATAATGGGCCACTTCACCCCAGCCTTGTTCTGCACGGTTTATCTTTGGGCTTATCTGACCTCTTAGAAGCTACTAAATTACCCGCCTATTTTTAACCAATGCCTGGAGCCGGCTCCAGAGGAATTGCCACATGAGTTGAGATGAGGTGATGACCACATGGTCTTCCAACTCTTCATTTCAACATCTGAAGTTTTTTCTTTCTTTTGTCTTGTGTTAGGGTTTCTCAATCTGGGCACTACTGGCATTTAGGGCTGGGTAATTCTCTGTCCTGGGGGGCGCTGTCCTATGCATTATAGGATTTTGAACGGCATCCCTGGCTTCTGCCCAGTAGGCGCCAGGAGCTCCTCGCTATTCCCAGCTGTGACCACCAAACATGCTTCCAGACATTGTCAAATGGCCCATGGGGAACAAGATACCCAACTGAGGATCTCTGTGTCAGGTTTCCCCTGCCACACTGCTGGGTTTGTACCTTGAGCTCTGAACCACTCCCCTCAGCTAGAGAACTCTGAGTCTGACAGTGACTACGACTGTTTGCCCTCCTGCAAGGAGGGTAAAAAGCCCTAGCTGACCACATTACATTCTTGGCGTTTCCTGCATTTAAACCTCCTGGAAATTAGTACAGAGGGGGCCACATACCCTGGAAGCTGAGATGGGGCCATTTTAGAAGTCGGCTGCAGGCTCAGGGAATGGAGACACGAGCTGCCAATGTGATTACACTTTGCTGGCTTTGGAAGTGTGCTTGAGCTGACAGTGGGGCTGGGGACCGTCTATAACAAGATACCACAGACTGGGGGCTTTAGCATGGAAGTTGATCTCTCCCTGTTCTGGAGGCAGGAAGTCCAAGATCTAGGTGCCGGCACATTCAGCGCACACCTCTTGTCTGCATCTTCAGATTACTCAAAATCCAGGTGTGGCTGCAGGAGAAGGGACAGGGAAGACCCTCAACTTTAGTCTCACCTGTGGAGGTGGGGCTGGAGACCCAGTCGTCCTTCACCCCCCAGGACCACCCCCCAGATGAGAAGGGGGACTGGATGTTGGACAACAGAAAGGTCAGTGACTGCCACATTTCCACAGGATTAAAACCGTCCCCATATCTCCCGTAAAAGCACATTGCCGAACTTCTTAAAATAGATGACCAGATCATTGTCTTGTTCGGAATCCCTGCTGCCTCAGCCCTGGGCCTCCGCAGCTCTCTGCACGATACTCTCCTCATCACCTCTCAACTGATCTCCAGAAAGTACTGTGTGGCCCCCGCCCCTCCACTCCTGTTCCCAGCGAGAGAAGCCCGAGAACCTGCAGTCTCTATCCAAAGACTCCCCCTTCCAACCCCTGGCCTCTCTTTTCGCTTGGCCAAAAGGCGTGCATCTCAGCCTGCTGGGATGGGACAGGAAGGGACCATTAACCATGTGAATGTTCCAGCATATTCACCTCTGTGGTTTCTACCTCTTGCTTCTGTTTTTATGTACAATTTGCAAAGGAAAACACCCACATACACTGTCCCTCTCACTAATTGAAAATTCAGCTTTAATATTCTGTTTGGTTTCATCAATAATATTCTTTTAAAAAATGGTATTCCTCCCAGCACTTTGGGAGGCTGAGGCAGGAGGATTGCTTGAACCTAGGAGTTTGAGAACAGCCTGGGCAACATAACAAGAACCCATCTCTATTAAAAAAAAAAAAAAAAGGCCAGGTGCAGTGGCTTACAACTGTAATCCCAGCACTTTGGGAGGCCAAGGCAACCGAGTCACCTGAGGTTAGGAGTTCAAGACTAGCCTGGCCAACATGGTGAAACCCCATCTCTACTAAAAGTACAAAAATTAGCCAGGCATGTTGGCAGGTGCCTCAGGAGGCTGAGGCAGGAGAATCGCTTGAACCCAGGAGGTAGAGGTTGCAATGAGCTGAGATTGTGCCATTGCACTCCAGCCTGGGCAACAGAGTAAGACTCTGTCTCAAAAAAAAAAAAAAAAAAATTGTGTTCCTTTTGGTTTAAGACTTAGTCAATCTTTTCTCCTTGGATTTCTGTTTTTGTGATTGGTGTTAAAATTTCAATCTATTTTTCTTTCCTAAATATCTTTTCCAATTTTTCCCTATATAGAACATGATAGTTAATAAATTATACTGAATATACGTGTGGTGGGAGGACTGCCTTGCAGATCCACAGGTTGCACTCTGTATTACCAATAGCTTGTTTTTTTAAATATGATTTTTAAAAATATGTTAAAGTATACCAGGTGAAAATAACATATAACATGCACAATATATTGTACAGTTTTGTGTCTTGCTTTTAAATTTTTTGAGTTATTTCAGATAAGGATACTCCTGACACTTGGGAGGACTTCCAGGGCGTCGTCTTAGATGGCTGTGTGCTTCCTTTCTTGGGCCCTTGCAGAGTTCAGGTTTCTGTTGGTGTGAAGTTTTCCTCCTAACTCCCATGACTGGAGACACTTCGCACACCCATGAGAGAATCTTTGGGGTACCCAGGGAGAGTGTGGTGTAGAGGGTCAGCATTGGGTGCTGCGGCCAGGCGACCTCCTCAGACAAGCGACAAGCATCTCTGAGTCTCAGTGTTTCCACCTGGCAAGGGGAGGCGATACTGGGTGGCTGTGAGGAGTCTATGAGGCAATGCAGACACGAGGCTTAGGATGGGCCTTCAGGGAATCATGCTGGCCAAGGACCGCGTGTGTGCAGTTGCTGCTGTCTGCCACCTGTGCTCAAAGACTTTCAGACTCAGAGGCCGAGGCCTGGCTTCTGTCCCCAGCTTCACTCCAGGTTCTAGGCTGCACGCCTGGTTCCAGGCTCTAGGCCTCAGGTTCCCAGTCCCAGGTTCTAGGCTGAGGGTTTTGGTTCTGGGTTCCAGGCTCCAGGTTCCAGGCTAAGGGTTTCAGCTTCCGGGTTCCAGGCTCCAGGCTCCAGGTTCCAGGCTGAGGGTTTCAGGTTCCGGGTTCCAGGCTAAGGGTTTCAGGTTCCGGGTTCCAGGCTAAGGGTTTCAGGTTCCAGGTTCCAGGCTCCAGGCTCCAGGTTCTAGGTTAAGGGTTCCCAGTTCCAGGTTTCAGGCTCTGGGATAAGGCCTCCCAGTTCTAGGTTCCAGACTCCAGGCTTCAGGTTCTAGGTTCCATGTTTCAGGTACTAGGCTAAGGGTTTTGGTTCCAGGTTCCAGGCTCCAGGCTTCCAGTTCCAGGTTCCAGGCTAGGGGTTTCAGGTTCCAGGTCCCAGGCTAAGGGTTTCAGTTGCCAGGCCCCAGGTTTTAGGCTAAGGGTTCCTATTTCCTGGTTCTAGGCTCCAGGCTTCAGGTTCTGAACTCTAGGTTTTCGATTCTAGGCTCCAGGTTGCAGGGTCTGGACTCATACACCAGCTCCAGGCTACCTGGAGAGGGAAGGAAGGGCTGCAGGGCCAAGTCCGCCCCCGTTTTACCACCTCCTCTATAAGGTGGGATAAATCCGCCTGCTAACCTCACAGAGTTCACATGAGGTCCCGATGAGGCAACATTTGAGATGATGCACATAAAGCCTAAAGGGCTTTGCAGCTGTGAGATGGTGGTGATATTATTGTCAGAAAGGTTTAAAATAAATTCTTAAACACTCAGATGTTTCAGGCTAGTTTGTAGCTGCTTCTGAACATGCAGCAGTGTGCTCATGGGCCACAGGGCCGCCGCGCACTCGCTACACCTCTTTTGGCAACGCTGTTGCTTTCCTCTCCAATTGGAGGAGAGCTACACCACCCAGAATTTGCTAGAAATGCTGGGTCTTGAGCCCCACCTGTGCTACTGACTCAGAACCTCTGGGGGTGGAGCCGGGCATTTGGGCTTCTGACACACCCCCGGACGATTCTGGCGCACCCTCGCCTTCAGAAGTTCTGCCTTCGGTAGACGGATGCCGTTGGTGTATCTGGCTATACAGATGGGAGAATCCATTTACTCTGATGTTCCTGATTAGCAGAGGGTGGCTTTTTCCTGCTCAGACGGCTGAGGAGTGAATGACTTCGGTCATAACCGTTACCATTGCTGTGACCTTCCCGCTGGGCGAAGCTGCTAGTTGAGGATCTGCTCCCTCTCATAGGCCTCCCTCCCTTCTCCCAGGGGAGAGCCTGGCCAGGGCCCCCAGCCCGGTGGGTCTGCACTTGGCACACAGCAGACCCTGGATCACTAGCGTTTAGTGGCAGAAAAGTGAGTGAGTGAATGAATACAGGAACAGATGAATGAATGAATGAATGAATGAATGAATGGACTTAGCTTGACTTCACATAACATTTGGAAATTCTGATTGTTTTCAAACTAGAACAAGATTTGAAAAGGCTTGTCAGAAATCGCTTACATATAAGTGAAGGTTTAAGGAAGCGGGATTTAATTTGGCCAGGTGTGGGTTCTCAGAAATGTTCTTTTTGATTCCCCTTCACTCTGGCCAGGGTGGTTTGCGACCTTACCCCTCCTTCATGTAATAAGATATAGAGGGGAAAATTAAAGCAAGAAACCAAATCCTTTTCCTGTTTACTCCTACAGTTTTTCCCTCTTTCCAGTTCCTTGTTTTTATGGTTTTTCCTGCCTTGTGTTTCTCCGTTGGCTTTTGTTGCAATGTATGCACTTGGAAAAAATCTTCTGAATGATCCTAGTGATGGGGCTTTGGCCTCATTGGGCGTTGTGTGCACGATCGGGTTGCATTGCACACTGCCGGCGCGATGAGCTCGCACTCCCTAAAAAGGCAATCATTGTGTCCAGGAAAACTCTGCTAGGTTAATGGCACATGCCCAGGGGCTGAAGTCACTTGGACCAAGGTTTGTAGAACATGCTCCGTGTGGCTTTCCTGTTGGGGCAGGGGGATTGGGCCAGAGGAATTTAGGTGTATTAACACAGCCTGCCAGGTGCAATAAATAGCCACCTTTGCCTGACCTTAACCTCACCTAAGCGCCATGCTCCTCAAGAGCCCTGGGCACCCCAGGAGTAACTGAAAACCTTTGGAGGAGAGTTACGCTGGTGTTCTTGGGTTAGAGGCGGGTGGCAGGCTGGAGAATTAGGTTGGAAATAAAAATGAGTCAGTGTTGGTGATGCGTTTTGTGAAACCGGAAAGCTTAGTTAGAATGATAGAGAATACATAACCTGTTCTCAGCAACTTTGTTTTAACTGACAACAGGATTTTCCCAGTTTTCCCACTAATGTCTCTTTTCTGTTCTAGGATCCATCTGGGATCCACATTGCATTTTGTCATCAGTTCACCTTGGACTCCTCCAATCCATGACGATTTCTCAGTATTTACTTGTCTTCCCGACCTGGTGCTTTTGAAGAGTAGCTCTTAGGTATCTTGTAGAATTTGGATTTGTCTGATTAGACTGAAGTCTTGGATTTGGGGGAAGAATCGCACAAAGGTGAAGCGCCCTTTCCCTCACATCCTACAGGGACACACGGCACCAATGTGGCTTCTTACTGAGGATGCTGACCTCGATCACCAGGCTGAGGTGGTGTCTGCAGGTTTCTCCTCTATAAAGTTACTGCTTCTCCCTCTCCCTGCTCTGGAAGCAAGTCACTAGGTCCAGCCCACATCCAGGGAAGTGGACTTAGGCTGCCCATCCTGGCAGGAGGAGGATCAAAGAATTAGTGGGCCTGAGGTTAGAACCATCACCATCATTAGTAAATTTGGAGAGAGATACTCAGAGGCTATGCAGATATCCTGTGTCACCCTGACGTATTCATCCATGGATAGGTCATTCTTCTTTTAGTGTGAGTATCAAAAGCAGGTTATTCGGTGCAACCAGTGAACTTGAGAGCAGGGACTGGGAAGCCCTGGAGTTGTCGTGGCTCAGCCCCGTGCCCCTGGCTGTGTTCCTTCCCTCCTCACTGCCAAGATGCTGCTGAGCCCTGGTCTCACAAACACCTTTGAGTGGTCTGCTCACTGCTGGGGACATGGACTCCGACACCTTCCTACCCCTCACCGTTCCCCTCTCCTCCGACTTGCCACCGCCAAAGCCAGCAGTGACAAAGGAGGTGCCAGGGGCAGCTGCTCCAGCAGGAGCTCTCTCTGTACTCCGGACCCTGACATGGATGAAAACAAGATATGCTTGGGAGATAATTCTGTTAACTTTGTCTTCTTTTGGGAGGTGTGGTGGCTAAATACTTGAATGAAGGTTTTATGATGGGTGGAAAGAGTAACAACTTTCTTCATCCTAACTCAATGTCACTCTTCATGATGTACTCAGTTATTCCCTTTTAGAAATTATCTTAAACAAGGGTGAGCAATGGAATGTGAGAAAGATCAAAGAAATGCAGAGCAGACTAAGAAAGATGAAACATCTGGATTGCAGAGAAGGGTGACCTTTCCCTAGAAAATATCAACACTAAATCTTTACAAAGCCCTGTCCACTGGGTTCTAGGGAGCGCTGCAAATGGACTGGTCCCTAAGCTCTGGCCTGCTTCTCCACTCCTGTGAGACAGTTAACTTTTTTCTTTTCCTTAGCTCTGTTCCTCGCCGTGGGGACTCTGGATAACAACAGACAACAACAGAGCCCGTGGTAGCAGCAGCGAAGGAGTTAATATGCACCATGTGTCTAAGCCCTTTTCATTTTACTTCTTTGTAAATTTTTAACATATTTATTTAAAACATAAACATCGATATTCTGATTAGTTCGCAGGAACAATTATTGTCATTAGGGAAGATGGAAATTTACTAGCTATTTTCCTCCTTTCATTTTTAAAAAAAAATATATATGTATTACATTTTTTTCTTCAACTTTTATTTTAAGTTCAGGCATACATATGCAGGCTGTGCAGGTTTGTTGCACAGGTAAATGTGTGCCAAGGGGATTTGCTGCACAGATCATCCTATCTTCCAGGTATTAAGCCCAGCATCCATTAGCTATTCTTCCTGATGCTCTCCCTCCCCACCCCACCCTCCGACAAGCCCCACTGTGTGTGAGAACATGCGGTGTTTGGTTTTCCTATTCTGCGTTAGTTTGCTGAGGATAATGGAAGCCCTTTCCTTAACTCATTAAATGGGTAAATGTTTGCCCCCACAAGCCCGCATTCGTATTTTGAAGCCCTAACCCCCAGTGTAGCTGTATTTGGAGATGGGGTCTCTAAGAAAGTAATTAAGGTTAAATGAGGTCATAAGGGTGGGGCCCTGATCCAATAGAATTATTGCCCTTGTAAGAAGAGACACCAGAGAGCTCACTCTGCCTCCGCATGCACACACAGTGTGGGCCGTGTGTGCACACAGCGAGAAGGTGGCCGTCTGCAAGCCAGGAACTTGCTGGCACTTTGATCTGGAATGTTCCAGTCTCCAAAGCTCTGAGAAGATACATTTCTGTTGTTTAAGCCACCCAGTCTGTGGTGTTTTGTTACAGCAGCCTAAGCAGACTGAGACAGGCAGATACTATCATTCCCATATGAAAATTGAAGAGACTGAATCATAGAAAGGGGTCGCTTGCTGTATTGCTCTGTTGATTTTTCCTTCTAATAGTTTTGCTTTCTACATTTACTGTAATGTTCAGTTCATCAAGGCTCCTGACCATGATGGTTTGTTGTAAACTTCCCCACTTAACAGTATCCTCTGCTTCCTTTTTCCTCATTTGACGTTTTTCACTTTGAATTCTCCTTTCTCCAATGTTAGCATCTGAAACCCTTTGTGTTGGGCAGGATAGGCCAAGTCTGATGCTGTTACAAACATTCTGAAGACCCATAGGCCTACAGTGACCACAGCTTCTCTCTTGGGCACACTGGAGGCCATTGGCGGTGTGCAGGGCCTCTGCTTACTGTAGTCTCAGTCCCTGCCCAATGGGACGTGGCTCTCATGGCTTCTGCTGTCAGCACAGACTCATTCACTGGCTCTTAACACTTCTGCCCAGAAGTGGCACAGATGGTGGAAAGGTGCCAGGTGGGCTCCTCTAGCCAATGTGAGGGCCTTTGTACAAAGGAGAAAAGGGGAAAAAGAGCCCACCCACTGGTGCAGGGCTAGGAGAGTAGAGGGTGTCCCTTCCCTCAGATGGGTGCCCCCCCACCCTGCAGCAGGGTTGAGGGAGCAGAAGCGGGGTCCTGCCCTGTTGCCTGGTGGCCGGGCACTCGCTGCATGCAGGGCGGAGGGATAAGGAGCAGAGTCCTGCCCTGTTGCCCAGTGGCCGGGCAATCACTGCACGCAGGGTGGAGGGAGCAGGAGCAGGGTCACGCCCTGTCACCCCGTGGCCGGCCACTCACTGCAGGCAGGTGGAGGGAGCAGGAGCAGGGTCACGCCCTGTCACCCCGTGGCCGGCCACTCACTGCAGGCAGGTGGAGGGAGCAGGGGCAGGGTCACGCCCTGTCGCCCTGTGGCCGGCCACTCACTGCACGCAGGGTTTTGCTGTCTTTATGTCTTCAGGGCATTTCCATGAGAAGTGGAGGCTGCTGCCAAGACAGCATTTCAAACCATTCTTGAAGCAGGAACCACATCTGCGTGTGAATTTTTCCAGAATCTGGGGGAAGAACTTACTTGTTTCTTCGATATTCTAAATAATCAGTACAGCTTCCGACAGCAGTGGCCTCCAAACCTGAAATAGAGGCAGTGTATGAGTCCACGAGTCTTTTTGCTTGGTTTTGCCTTGCTTGCTTTACTTGGATTCTGACACTCCACTCGCGTGTTTCCACATTCAATTCCATTTGAATGACTTTGGTGCTTCTCAGCCAGCTGTGGACCCGGCAGCCCTGAGCCCTAGCCCTTCCCCTAGCAGCCAACTCAGCACCCGTGTTCTAAGGACGCAGGAGTCTAGAAATAGCTGCGATTCAGAGCATGTTTTCCCGACAACTGCTGATTCTCTCCTGACACCCTAATGCTGCTCTTTCCCTATTTTAGGGATTGTTCTTTGCTGAAATTATGTGGCACACATCAAAAGTGTTCTACAAGTGTCCGGGGTGTTCATTGTAATCTGGTATAACAAGATGCCTCACGGCCAGGTGCCGTTGGCTCCTGCTTGTAATCCCAGTGCTTTGGGAGGCCAAGGTGGGAGGATCCCTTGAGGCCAGGAGTTTGAGACCAGCCTGGTCAACGTAATGAGACCCCCATCTCTACAAGAAAAAAAAAAAAGATACCGCAGTTCACGCAGTTCAGGTATTTGTTCCGTGAACTTGGGGGAGTCATATAAACTCAACTTTTCTTTGTCTCTCTTGCCTGTGATGAGTAACAGAAACCATCTTCCCAGAAACTATCCCCACCCACCCCCAGCCCAGCCCGAGCAGCCCAGACCCAGGAAGGAGGTCAGAGCCTGCGTGACTGTGTGGCAAGGATCCCCCTCAAAGCAGGCAGTGATCCCCCTCAAAGCAGGCAGTGATGACCAGGCTCCCCAGGGGAAGGAAAAATGGTTGATTACCCCACCTCACTTTCTCAAGTTCCTGAAAGCCTCCCATCTTTTCAGGATGTTTTCCTTCTGCTTCCTTTCTGGGGTGATATTGCAATGCATGTGTCAGTCCCATTGTTCTAGCTGCCTTGAAGGAGTTCCAGAAACAGGCATGGCTGGTGTGAGAGGAGGCGTCCTTGTCACCATCCTTTGTTGCCTCCCATCTGTGGTCAGCACGGAGGCTGCCCTGGGTCTTGGCCGGCCCCTGGAGCTGGAGGAGGTGCTGGGCCATGGTTTGGAAGCTCGCATGGTCCCAGCCTCAGAGCCCCGTTCTCTGTGACCTGGCTGGGTCAAAGCCTGGCCCCAGAACAGCCCCTCCCTCCCCACCCACAGCTGTGCCCAGCTACGAACACTGTAGGCCGGGCGCGATGGCTCACACCTGTAATCCCAGCACTTTGGGAGGCCAGGGCGGGCAGATAACTTGAGGTCAGGAGTTCAAGACCAACCTGGCCAACATAGTGAAACCCCATCTCTACTAAAAACACAAAAAATTAGCCAGGCATAGTGGTGGGTGCCTGTAATCCCAGCTACTGGGGAGGCTGAGGCGGGAGAATTGCTTGAGCCCAGGACGTGGAGGCTGCAGTGAGCCAAGATTGTGCCATTGCACTCCAGCCTGGGCAACCAAGAGAGATTCTGTCTCAAAAAAAAAGAACACTGTGGTGTGAGAGGCAATTGTGGGTCAGCCTGAGGGCACACCCAATATAACTTTCACAGGTGTTTTGTTTTTCTGAGAAGAAGGTGACTTTTCCCGGTTGCTGTCCATGCAGACTGTGAGGGATGTTCACATGTCACATTTCTCACCGGAGTCCTCGTCCCATCGCCTCCTCTCTCCCTGCCGCGGTTCGGAAGCTCCACGGGGGCCAGTGTTGTTCAGGCCTCACCAGTCCTTGGTCATGCCACCCGGGCTGAGTTCATTTACCTGCTCATTCATGTATTCACTTTTCCTCCGATTCAACAAAAAAAAAAATTGATTACCCCCCGGCATGTCCTAATATACTGCAGCCTTCGAAAGAGATGTAGTCCTCATCTGAAAGGTCATCCTTTCAAGTGTCCATCCATCCACTGGGCAGATTTTTACTTAGCACATTCCCTGTGCTGGGGACTTCCCCGGGCACTGGGGACACTGTAGTGCACAAACCGAAGTCCCCACGCTCTGTGACCCTGAAGATAAACTGCTGAGCAGACAGCTCTGTAACATGCCAAGTGTTGGAAAGGGCTCCAGAGGAAATAGGGTGGAGAGAGGAACAAGAAGGGCAAGTGGGGAGGTTGCTGTTTTCTGTGGGGTGCCAGAGGAGGGCTCCTGGGAAAGGTGATGTTCATGGCAGTGGGAAAGACAGCAGGTGCAACAGTGGAGAAGGATGCCAGCCTGACCTGTCTGACTCTCAGCATGGGGGCTGTTGTGGCTGAGCAGAGAGATCCGAAGGAAGAGTGGGGAGAAATGAGGGAGGGGAGACAGCTGGGGGCGAGACTCCCTGGGGCTGTGTAGGCAGCAGTAAGACTTGGATTTTCCCCCTAGCAAGAGGGGTGGCTATTGGACAGCTCAGACAGAAACCTGGCTGCTCTGGCCTGTGTTAAGAGGATTCCTCCTCGCACTGTGTGGAGGACAGCCCTGGATGGCCGGGCAGGTTACGCACTGCAGAAGCCCTGGGAGCACCCTTCACACTGACTCCTGTGTGAATGACCATCACAGCCTGGGCGGGGCTGGCTGTAGGAGCAGCAGACCAGCAGGGGCAAGAGCAGAAGCCAGAGACCAGGCTGGACGTTGGCACAGTGACCGCAGGAGAGAAGAATGTTGCCAGACCAGAGTGGAGCCATGGGCTGCAGAGGTGGAGAAGTATTTGCATTCTGTATGCCTTCTGCAAGTAGAGCCTGTGGGGTTTGCTGATGGATTGAATATGGGATGGGAGAGAGAGGGAGATCAAAGATGGTCCCGGGGTTTTCCCCTGCATGACCAAAGTGGATGTTGAGGTTTGACCTGTGCCAGTGTGGGAAGCTGGGTAAATGTCGGGTTCTGGGGGGAAACCTGGTTGCCTCTGCTGGGCACTCGGCCCTCAGGCCTCCACATCCTCCTTGAAATGCGTATCGGGTCACTCTGGGGTATGGGTTTCTGATTAGGGGAGTTCAGAGGCTTATTCACAGCCCCTAAGGTATAGACTAAAATTAATTTATGTAACATGTATCATACTCTTTAAGTTGGAGGTTTTAAAAATGAATTTTAATTTAAAAATTGTCAAACATACCCCAAATTAGAGAGGCTAGTACGAAGAACACCTATACATCTGTCACCCAGATTCAACAAGGTTTTACCATATTGCTTTACCTGGCTCTTTCTTTCTTTTTCTGGGTGTCTTTGCTCACAGTATTTTGAAGCACATTCCAGGTGCAGGGTCACCTCGCTTTTCAGTGTGCACATCTAAAGCAGCACTGTGTTCTCACACAACCACAATGCTTTCACATCTAATCAAATTCACTTGAATTCCTTGGTATCATCTAATATCTAAAACATAATAAACTTTTTTCCAATTATGTCAAAAAGTGTCATATTACAATTGGTTGGTTTGAATCAGGATCTAGAGAGTCCACGCATCATGTCTGGGTGTTCTGCCTCCTACACCTCCTTCCATCTGGGAAGCTCCCTCCCTGCCATGTTGCTGTGGAAACCAAGGCACTGGATCAGTAGAGCACCCTACAGTCTGGCTGCTTGCTTCCCTCCAGTGTCATTTCACTTGTTCCTCTCTCCTCTGTATTTCCTGTAAGTGAAAATTAGCTCTAGGACAGTGCTGTTAGAAATGTAATATGAGCCACATATGTAATTTAAAATTTTATATTAGCCACATTTTTAAAAAGCGAAATGCATAAAATCTATTTTAATAATATATTTTATGTAAATTGATACATCAAAAGAGCATTTCAGCATGTAATCAATATAAAAAATTGTTAATGAGAGATGTTACACTCTTTTTATTGCATTAAGCCTTTGGAATCTGGCATGTACTTTGCACGGGTAGCCTCTCAGCTTTAGTTCACAGGCTCGGGCGCTGCCCGTGGCTGCATTGGGCTGTGCAGCTCCAGCGTCTCCACCAGATTCTGGCGTACCTTTTGCTCCTAGGTGGTGCTGTGTGCTTCCTGTTGTGTGGCACTGGGAGGCCCTCAGTGGTCGTCCCATGTTTAGTGAAAAGTAGGTGCAGGTGGTGACGGCGGATCTTTCCATCATAAACTTGTCCATCATGAAAGCAGTGGCGCCCCCACTCTCTGGATGGAGAAGACTGGAGAGAAGTCAGGGAATTAAAAGCCCCAACTTGCACCTTACCTTTCAAGTTCCTATTTGACATCCACAGGGAAAAATAAACTACACAGTTGGATCTGAGTCTGGAATTCAAGATCTGAGCTGGAGATATAAATTTGGGAGTTGTCAGTGTGTCAATGATGTGAACACGGCTGGATGAGATCACCAAGGGCACCAGTGCCAGTGCCGAGAGGTCACAGAGATGCAGAACCAGCAAAGGGAGTTGGACATTGTCCCAGAGGCCAAGTGAGATGAGAAGTGCCAAATGGATATAAAGGTTACAGCAACCTTGATGAGAGCTGGTTCAGTGGAGTAATGCGGTGAGCACCTGGTTGATGTAGGTTCAAGAGAGGAGATTCCTCAAAAAAGTGAAATAGAATTACCATATAATTTGGCAGTTGTACTTCTGAGTGTTCACCGAAAAGACCTAAAAGCAGTGTCTCAAAGAGGTACTTGTACAGCAGTGTTCATAGCAGCATATACACTAGCAACAAACTATCCAAAAAAGAAATCAAGAAAACAATCTTGGCTGGGCACAGTGGCTCACACCTGTAATCCCAGCATTTGGGGAGGCCAAGGAGAGAGGACTGCCTGATCTCAGGTTGAGAATGTTGTGAGCCATGATCGTGCCACTGCACTCCAGCCTGGGCTACAGAGTGAGACCCTGTTATGTGGTTTGGCCCTGTGTCCCCACCCAAATCTCATGTTGAATTATGATCTTTGTGTTGGGGGAGGAGCCTGATGGGAGGTAATTGGATCATGGGGGCAGATTTCTCCCTTTCTGTTCTTGTGATAGTGAGTTCTCCCGAGATCTGGTTGTTTAAAAGTGTGTAGCACTTCCCCCTTCACTCTCTCTCTCCTGCCGCCATGTGAAAGTGCTTGCTTCCCCTTTACCCTTCCACCATGATTGTAAGTTTCCTGAGACCTCCCCAGCCATGCTTCCTGTATAGCCTGTGGAACTGTGAATCAATTAAATCTCTTTTCTTCATAAATTACCCAGTCCCAGGTAACTGTTTATATCAGTGTGAGAACAGAGTAATACACCCTGTCTCAAAAAAGAAAAATAAAGAAAAGAATCCCATTTACAATAGCTACAAAAAAAGCACTTTAGGATTAAATGTAAACAAGGAGGTGAAGGATCTGTACATTAAGAACTACAAAACATGATGAAAAAAATTGAAAGAGACACAAATAAATGTGAAGATATCCCATGTTCATGGACTGGAAGAATTAATATTGTTAAAATGCCCATGCTACCCAAAGCAATCTACAGATTCAATGCAGTCCCTATCAAAACTCCAATGACATTGCTCACAAAAATAGAAAAAATAAAATAAAATTTGTACCAAATCAGAAAAGACTCCTAATAGTCAAAGCAATCTTGAGCAATAAGAACAAAGCTGGAGACATCACACTACCTGATTCCAAAATCTAATGCAAAGCTGTAACCATCAAAACAGCATGGTACTGGCATAAACAGAAACAGGTGGACCAGTGGAAGAATAGCGAGCCCAGAAATAAATCCACGCATTTCCAGTCGATTGTTTTTTGACACAGTTGCCAAGATCACACTATGGGGAAAGGATAATCTCCTCAATAAGTGATGTTGGGGAAAACTGTCCACCTGCAGAAGAATGAAATTAGACCCTCATCTCATTCCATATAAAAAAATCAACTCAAAATGTATTAAAGACTTAAATGTAAGACCTGAAACTATAAAACTAGTAGGAGAAAACATAAGGCGAAAGCTCCATGATATTGTTCCAAAAACAATGATTTTTTTGGATATGACTCAAGAGCACAGGCAACAAAAGAAAAAACAGACAAACGGGATTGCACTAAACTAAAAAGCCTCTGCACAGCAATGGAAACAACAGAGTAAAATGACAAACTAACCTACGGAATGGGAGAAAATATTTGTAAACTGTGCATCTGTTAAGGGGTTAATATCCAAAATAAACAGTAAATATAAACAAATTAATAGCAAGAAAACAAATAACCTGGTTTTAAAATGGACAAAGGACCCAAATAGGCATTTTTCAAAAGAAGACATACAAATGGCCAATAGATACGTGAAAAAAAAATGCTTGACATCATTAATCATCAGGGAAATGCAAATTAAAACCACAATAAGATATCATCTCACACCTGTTAGAATGGCTATGATCAAAATGAAAAGAGATAACAAGTGTCACAGGAAATGTGGAGAAAAGGGAACCATCGTACACTGTTGGTGGGAATGTAAATCAGTACAGCCATTGTAGAAAACAGTATGGAAATTCCTCAGAAAATTAAGAAGAAAACTACTATATGATACAGTGATCCCACTTCTGGGTATGTCTCCAAAGGATATGAAATCAGTATGTTGAAAATATTCCTTTTTTTTTTTTTTGAGACAGAATCTCACTCTGTCACTCAGGCTGGAGTGCAATGGCGCAATCTCTGCTCACTGCAACCTCCGCCTCACGGGTTCAAGTGATTCTCCTGCCTCAGCCTCCCGAGTAGCTGGGATTACAGGCACCTGCCAGCACGCCTGGCTACTTTTTGTATTTTTAGTAGAGATGGGTTTTCACCATGTTGGCCAGGCTGGTTTCGAACTCCTGACCTCCAGTGATCCCCTGCCTTGGCCTCCCAAAGTGCTGGGATTACAGGCGTGAGCCACCACTCCCGGCCTGTTGAAAATATATCTACACTCCCACATTCCCTGCAGCACTATTCACAATAACCAAGATATGGAATCAACCTAAGTGTCTAACAACAGATGAATAGATAAAGAAAATGTGGTATCGAGACACAATGGAGTACTCTTCAGCCTTCAACATGAAGGAGATCCTGTCATTTTCAACAGCATGGAGGAATCTGGAAGACACTATGATATGTCAAATAAACCAGGCACAGAAAGACGAATACCACGTGATCTCACTTCTTTTTTTTTTTTTTTTTTTTTTTTTTGAGACGGAGTCTCGCTCTGTCGCCCAGGCTGGAGTGCAGTGGCGGGATCTAGGCTCACTGTAAGCTTCGCCTCCCAGGTTCCCACCATTCTCCTGCCTCAGCCTCCCGAGTAGCTGGGACTACAGGCATGCATCACCATGCCCAGCTAATTTTTGTATTTTTTGTAAAGTTGGGTTTCACCGTGTTTGCCAGGCTGGTCTCAAATTCCTGACCTCAAATGATCTGCCCACCTCAGCCTCCCAAAGTGCTGGGATTACAGACATGAGCCACTGCACCCAGCCGTCACTCATCTTCTAATGGAAAGAATTTGCATTTATAAAAGAAGGATTGACATTTGTAATTTTTCTAAGAAATGGAATTTACAGTGCCAATATAGATGACTCTCAAATCTCACATCGCTGAGTGCTAAGTGAACTTCCTGTTGCTGTGAAAGTTAGCTACAAATCTGTCATATTTGAAGTGAGTTAGAAAGCATGTGGGGAAGATTGACTACATCTCCTGAATCCACTAAAGCTGATTTGGGTGCTCGTTTTGTGATTGGATATATATAGGACATCTTTTTAACTCCCTAATATGATATAACCAAAACCAGTTCTCTGTATTCTCTGTAGAAAACAACACGACAGGCCAGTGTTGACTGAAACCCAACCACATGAACAAAAAGGGCAAAGCCCAACGCTGTTAACCCTCAATGGAGATAATTAAAGACAAAACAAGAGAAATACTGCTTTATTTCTTACTAGGCTGCTAATGAAAAAGACTCACAATTCCACAAACAGGGTGGACATCGCTTTCCAGTTTACTCTTATCTTTTGAAATGTGAGTTATTGGTTCCCAGTTTGAGATTTATTCACTGAATCAACTGTCAGTCTTTTCATTGGGGTTATTTTCATTTTGTTTCATTTTGATTTTGACCTTAACTTCTGGAAACTATAATTGGGGAATAAAAGGTAAGGGGTGTCTCCTGATAGGAATTACATATGTAACGTAAATATATAGATACATCTATCTATCTATATGTAAGGTGGCAATGCATATATGTATTTAAAAAACTAAATAAAACAAAACCAAGATTGTCTAGGCAAATCAGTGCTATGTATAGAATTTCTCTTTGGTTATTTGGGATTGTAATCTTGTCTTTATGCAATTCAGGATTACACTGAGAAAAATTAAAGAAAATGTCAAAAGCTATTATACTGGGCAGGGGTAGGGCATGAGTTTAAAGATATTTGAGTATTTTCAATATATCCAAATCATATGTATGCATTTGTTTCTGCCCAATTTGTGAAATATATGGTTTATCATGTCTATCTAAATACTTGCTGAGGAAGGTAAGTTAACTAGTATTTACTGAGCAACTGTATAGGTAGGATTTTGTCTCAATTTCCAAGCAGTGGTTCTTGGCTGTGGCCCTGAGCTCTCTCAAGAACATGGTGCCTGGTATTCCTGCGTGCACACTGAGCATTGTCTAGGACAGAGCACCAAATATTTTATGGAATATCCATGTGACTCACGTATGATTATTCATAAATTACACATTAACTACCACAATAGAAGTTAATTCATTGTACAATATAAACAAAAGTAAATTTAAAGAGGCAAAAAATATAATCAGAAGAGCATGCATTTTACTTCAGAGAACTAGACAAAAATTAAATGTGCCTTGTGTCAGTATGTATTTTTACTTTTTAAACATTTGTAAGTACTATTTGTGATTAATAAAATGCAACTGCTCCTAAAAACATTACTGAATTTATATGTCAATGGAAGTTCACTAATATAATGTGACATTCTGTGGAATTTTACAATGTTACGAAGATAACATAATTCATGATAGAAAACCACTATTCTAAGATTTTCATCTTCATCAAAGTAAACTTACCCATGAAGGGGCATTTTCTGAAGAAGAGCCCCCAAACCCTTGTTTGCAGTGGTGGGAAAAGGCTGGCGGTGGTAGGGGGCATCCTTGCACCATTTTGGTTTCAGTTACAGTGGAGCTGAGGTTGGATGAAGAATCACAGAAACAGGTCAAGTGTGAGGATGCACGTACCAGCCAGGCAGGGGAGCGAAGACAGAAATGGGAAACAGGAGCAAAATGAAACAGAAATAAAGAGAGGAAAATAATTTAACAGTGAGTAGACAGGCAAAGGCAACATATGTAAAATTGGAGTATTCTAAGAGGAAAACCTAAATAAATGGAACAATGAATATTTTCACATATGAATTAATAAGGCATTCCATAAAGAAGAGTCGAATCTCCACCATGCCCCAGAAAACATAGAGATAGTACAGTCACTACTGAAACAGTCTAATCGTGTTTTCAGATGGCCATGATAAAGAGGTTCTTGAGAAGACAGGCAAAAAACAACAACAACAACAACAAATCAAGATCAAATGGGAAAATATCCAACCTGGCCTCAATTTCTCCGTGGCAACATTCACTATTAGAAGAAAGTTATGGCAATGTCTACAAAGCCTTAAGGAAAGAAAGCGTGACAGAATTGTTCACGCTTCAAACTGTCATTCAAAAATAAAAGAGGAGAAAAATATATTTGTTTATATAGGCATATAATTCCCTAGAAGGATATGTAAAAAAATGAAATTCCATTTTTAAAAAATGCAAGGATTCAGGAATATCGTCCCCATAATTCCTTCTTGAATAAACTATTGAAGACAATGTCTTCCACCTGACATTGTTCCATGGAATCACTGAGATCCTTTATGAACCTGTAGGCTCAAGCCACAGCCCATATGAATTAAATTAGAAGCTCGGTGATAGCACTGAATTATCAATACTTTTTTAAACCCCAAGGTTCAGAACGAGTGCAACCAAGAGATAAGTGAAAGAAGTACACAAGAGAACTGGCAATGAGCGTTATTTAACTGTGGGACTAAGACAAGCATGGAAATCCTAAAACCAAGGAGAACCACCTAAAAAACTGTGACAAACAGTACAAGGATTTAGGAAGGCAGCTGGGTATAAGCTACTGCCCAGAAATCAATAGCCTCCATATATTCATGCAATAACCAGTTAGAAGACAGAATGGAAGAAAAGGCTTCATATCAATAGCTATAAAATATATAAAATACCAAGGAATAAGGTTGGCATGAGTGCAATTTATATAAAGAAATCTTTAAAACACTACTGAGAAACCAAAACTTTCAACAGCAGAAATGGCATACCATGTTCTTGGATAAGATGACTTAACACTATAAAAATATCAAACCTCACCAAGTTTATCTACATAATGCAGGTCCCAATAAAAATATTAATAGAATTTCTTTTGGTACCAGATAGCCTGGTTCTAAAACTTGTATGGAAAAATTAACAAGCAATAATAACCAAGAAATTTTTTCAAAAAGATTAGTAGGGGGCTGTGCATTAATCTGTTTTCATACTACTGTAAAGAACTGCCCAAGACTGGGTAATTTATAAAGGAAAGAGGTTTAATTGACTCACAGTTCAGCATAGCTGGAGAGGCCTCAGGAAACTTAAAATCATGGCAGAAGATGAAGGGGAACCAAGGCACCTTCTTCACAAGGCGGCAGGAAGGAGGAGTGCCGAGTGAAGGAGGAAGAACCCCTTATAAAACCATCAGATCTTATGAGAACTCACTCACTATCACCAGAACAGCATGCGGGGAACTGCCCTCCTGTTTCAATTACCACCACCTGGTCTCTCCTTTGACATGCGGAGATTATGGGGATTATGGAGATTACAATCCAAGATGAGATTTGGGTGGGGACACAAAGCCTAACCATATCAGTGTGGTTAGCCTGAAGGTATGAAAATATTATAAGTCTGTAATTAATAAAACTATATGGTACTAGCACATCTCATGAACAGGCAGGTCAATGGTACAAAACGGAAAATGCAGAAGTAGATCCAAATAAATGATGAACTTTTCTATACAGTAAAAGGGGCATTTCAAACCAGTGGGAAAAGATAAGTTATTATTATTATTATTATATCTTTTTTTAATGAGACAGGGTCTCGTTCCCTCACCCAGGCTAAAGTGCAGTGGTGCCATCACAGCTTACTGCAGCCTCAGATTCCTGGGCTCAAGCAATCCTCCTGCCACAGCCTCCCAAGTAGCTGGTGCTACAGGAACACACCACTACACTCGGCAAATTTTTTTTTATTTTTAGTAGAGATGATGTCTCCCTATGTTGCCCAGGCTTGTCTCAAACTCCTGGCCTCAAGCAATCCTCCTGCCCCGACCTCCCAAAGTGCTGGGATTACAGGCAAGAGCCACTGTGCCAGGCAGAAAAGGATATGTTATTAAAGAACAGTTTGGGGACAGAGAGCAAACCATGTGGAATACACTAAGTTAATGCTTCATACCTCATACCAAAATAAATTACAAGAAAGTCAAAAGCTGGCAAATGGAACCACAAAACAACAAGAAGAAATCAATTTTTACCAAAAAAACTATATATAATTTTATATATATTTATATTATATATGTTTATAATATATTTATATAATGTATATTATATATTTTTATATACATATAAATATATATATTTTAGAGACAGAGTCTTGCTCTGTTGCCTAGGCTAGAGTACAGCGGTGCGATCATTGCTCATCGCTGCCTCGCTCCTGGGCTCAAGGGGTCCAGCCACCTCAGCTTCCCAAGTAGCTGGGACTGCAGGCATGTGCCACCACGCCCAGCTAATTTTCCTTTTTTGTAGAGATGGGGTCTCACTATCTTACCCAGCCTGGTGTCAAACTCCTGGCCTCAAGCAATCCTCTCCCCTCAGCCTCCCAAAGTGTTGGTATTACAGGCGTGAGCCACCGCAAGTGGCCGAGAAGTTTAAGATAATATTGGAAAATATTTCGTGTAAGTTACAAATCCCATAAGTTACCCCAGAAAAGATGTTTAGCTTTGTCTTACATAGACATTAAAATATTTATAAAGGCAAAAGCCAATGTTAAGGTCAAAAGGCAGCAAACAGGGAAAAAATATAATATTTGCAACTTGTGTCACTAAAACTAATTTTCACAAGAGGAACTCTAAAAAGTTATTAAGAAGGCCAATGATACGCGAGAAGGCAAAAGAAATAAAATAGTTTGTTAAAAACAAAAGGAACTACACATGGCTCTAAAACAGAAAGAAGTCCAAACTTCACACATATTAGAAGTATTCATTAAAACTACTCTAGGTTACCATCTGCCCACCCCACGCCCCAGCACACTAGCAGGGATTAGGAGATGGCTTGGCAACTCACTGCGTAGTGTAGATATGGGGACATAGGGACCCCTGTGCTGATGAGAGAGTCCACAGCAGCTATCTCCACAGAGTACAGCTGGCCAGTGTAGGTTTGGGGACATAGGGACCCCCACAGTGCTGATGAGAGAGTCCACAGCAGCTATCTCTGCAGAGTACAGCTGGCCAGCATCTGTCCACTTCAAAAGGCACATGCTGTTTAACCCGGAAGTTCTACCTCTGGGAATTTATCTTGCACCTCTACTCCCATGATATGAAATTCCAAGTCATTTGCTGCAGTCTTGCTTGTAGCAGAAAAATGTGGAAACAAACAAATTTGTCTGCCATAAAGGACTGGTCAAACCTGTTGCCATCCATACAAGGAGTGCCACGAGCTCCTGTGCACCTGTGGAAGGAGCTCTGAGCTAGATTGTTTAGCAAGAAAAGCTTCAACACACAAGTTCAGTGAAAAAAGCAAGGGCAGAACAGCGCACGGTGCTACATGTCTGTGGCAGAAAAAGGGAGAAAAGCATGCGTTTTTGAGTTTATATATTCCATCACCTTCAATATACAGCGTCGGGACACCTGACCACCTGCAGGACCCACTGTCATCCTGGGAGAGGGAGGAGGAAGCTCTCGGATCTCCTCTTGTGAAAGAGGCGAGATTATTGCTCAGCCTGGCTCCAGAGGCACGCAGTCCCTGTGCCCCGAGAAACTAACATGCCATCTCTGCTCTCCCACCGCTTCCTGGGTTGGGCTGCGGGGAGAGGCCTTGCTACAGTGGGTGCCTCATCAGCACTGTGAACAAACAGGGAAGGATATCTGGGGCCACGCAGGGAGACCCTGGGGGATCCTGGGCAGAAGCCCCTGAAGTGATTGAGCTGTTTCCTGGGCCCTCTGATGATTCTCCCTCTGCCTTGGAGGCTTGGCTTCCCCTGGCTGCTGCTAATTCTGGAGGACACAGTGGGGTGGGCCACATAATGGAGGCTGGACTGTGTGTCCAGTCCACCCAGATGCCACCATGCCTGCCAGTCCCTCTCCTCCTTAGAGCACAAGCCCTCTGATGCTCCCAGACAGTGGAAACTTTTTGTTCCCCAAAGCCCTCCAGCTGGCCGGGCTGCCCTCCCCAGACTCCCTCCTTCCTTCCAGATGTGAGCAAATCCCTTTCCTTCCACCTCGCTCTCGGCCCCTGGTTCACCTTCTGTTCCTGCCCAGGGCAAACTGCCCTATGTGCATCTCTGTCCTCATCCATGAAACCATCCTTGTCCTCACTGTCGATGGAATTTTTCAGTGATACCTAACATCTGTCCCAGAGCCATGCACGTTCCGAAAGCACATTCCAGGGGGACAGTTGTGTCCCTGGTGCAACACGGGAGTGGGCACACATTCTCTGTGCTGTGCATGGGGACAGCTCCAGGAAGAGAGAGGGCACTGTTTTCCTGTTTCCTGAGTCAATCCGCTGTAGTTCTGTGGCCCAGCTGAGTGGCATAGGCTCTCCTGACCCAGGTACCTATCAGCCCCCAAAATAGGTGTTGCCATGATTCCTTTGGACAAAATGTAAAATCTGGCTGAAGACTGAGTCCTCGTGCACCTAGCGTGACCCATGACAGCATGCAGGTGTTGGTCTGTAGGGATGCCATAACAAAGTGCCACAAACTGGGTGACTTAAAATAACAGAACTGTATTCTCTCACAGTTCCGGAGACCGGAAGTCCAAAGTCGAGGTATTGGGCCAGGTGGGTTCCTTCTGGAGGCTCTGAGGGGAAGGTGTTCCAGGCGTCTCTCCAGCTTCTGGTGCTGCTGGCAGCCCTCGGCCCTCTGGCTTGTAGACACATCACACCAGGCTCTGCCTCCGTCTCCACGTGGCCCCCTCCCTGGGTATTTGTGTCTCTGTGTGCAAATTTCTGTTTCCTTATAAGAAAGTCATTGAATGAGGGCCCACCCTAATCTAGTACGACCTCATCTTAACTTGATTGTACACGCAAAAAGCCTATGTCCAAATAAGGCCCCATCCACGGGTTCTGGGTGGACATGAACTTTTGGGGGATGTTACTGAACGCAGTGCAGGGTTCTTACATTCTCACCATCACGTATATGATTTTATTCTTCAGGGTGCTAAGGTGTGGTGTGTGCCATGTGCTCTTAACCCCTTAGAAAAGATAAGGACAATTTTTTTTTCAGGTCCAATGTCTGAATGTATTTTTTTTCTTTCTCTTAGGATTTGAAGATATATAACAATATGTCATAAACTGACCTGAAATCCTTGTTTGTTCCGCAGCGAAATCCATTAATAATCCCTATAACTGGGACAGTTTTATGTTCCCATTCTCGGTGTGGCTATTTATAGTGAAACCTCACTTTCCCTGTGTTGGTTAACATTAAAAACTGGAACTGCTTCTGAGGTAGGAGGCGGGACTTGACTCCAGAGGCGGGGCTTGGACACTGGGCCAGATTGAGGACTAGCTAAAACAGGCCCGGTGGGGAAAGCAGTCTTCAATCAGACACGCCCACCAGCGCTATGTCAATTTACCGTTGCCATGACGGCACCCAGGCATTACCGCTCCTTTCCACGGCAATGACCCAGTGATTACTACCTCTTCCTTGCATAAACCGCTCCTTAATCTGCATGCAATTACAAGTGAGTATAAACAGGACTGCAAAACTGCCCTGAGGTGCTGCTCTCTGCCTGCGGGGTAGCCCTGCCCTGCGGGAGCCGGCAGGGAGCTGGAACACTGACACTTCAGTAAAGCTGTTTTCTTCTACCTATGACTTGCCCTTGAATTCTTTCCTGAGCAAGGCCAAGAACCCAGATGGGCTAAGCTCCACTTTAGGGCTCGCCTGCCCTGCATCAGTTTAACTAAACTATTAGAATTTTTAGTTTAAAAGAAATGAGTAAGATTGTGAGCATTCTGTGAGATGCGGAGTGAAAGAAGGTGCTGTAGTCTGAACGTTTGTGTCTCCCCTAAATTCATGTATAGAAATCCTAACCACCAAGCTGACTGTATTAGGAGGTGGGAGCTTTTAGGAGGTGATTAGGGCATGAGAGTAAATGAGATTAGTGCCCTTATAAAACAAACCCGGGGAGTTCTTTCCCCCCCCATCCCGCCATGTGAGGACACAATGGGAAGGGGGCCCTCACCCCTTCTATGAACAAGAAAGGGGGCCCTCCCCAGACACTGAATCTGCTGGCACCTTGATCTTGGGCTTCACAGCCTCTGGAACTGGGGGAAGTTAATTTCTGTTGTTTATAAGCCACCTAGTCTATGCCCTTCTGCTACAGCAGCCTAAACAGCTCAGCCTTAATGGACGAGGCACATGGAATGACTTCCGGGCCTCTGACAGGGTGCTTGGGGAGGATGGTGTGATGTTGCGTTATCACTCACAGACACTGTGGAACTGACTGGGTTGGTGGAGCGGGGACCCGGGGAAGAGTTCAGTTCTGTTCTGGGAATGTTGCCTTGAGGCAGCTGAGCACTACCCACAGGGAAAGGTCTGGCAAAGGTTCACGTGCATTCGCCTGGGCCATAGGGGAGAGGGGAGCCGTCAGCGGTCAGGGTGGTCAAAGCCACATAGTTGCATGAGGTCTCCTAAGTAGGTCAGTGGAGCAGAGTACCCAGGGTGGAGCCCCGGGAACCTCAGAAACAAGGAAGGGGTGAGCAGAGGAAGGGTCGCCCTCAGGGCACTGGGAGGGAGGAGCAGGGTGAAGGGTGGGGGCAGAGGGGAAACAGCCATGTCCATGCTGCAGAGAGACCCAAGGGAGACCCGGGGAAGAATGTCACTTGCACCTTGCAAAAGGGAGGGTCCTGGCGGCCTCAGCCAGAGCCGTTTTAGTGAAGTCATGGGGAGAAGGACCACAGAGGCTTAGTCCTGGCTGGGGCCGCAGTGGGACTGGCAGTGGAGAGGAGGGGGCCCAAGCCAGGGAGATTGAGTTCTTGGCAAAGAGGCCGGCGGCGTTCTCCACTGCGTTTCCATCCGCAGGTGCGCCTGCCGCCTGGCCTGTCCACAGTGTGCTGGTTGCTGGTATTCAGTTCTGGATTGTACCTCTGACTGGACTGAGGTCCATCAGCAAATGACGGGGCCTCGGCGGTGTGGCAGTGTGTTCAGCTGCTGGCATGCCGCCTCGGGAACAGAAAAGTCACGTTGTTGTGTATGCGGGTAACAGCTCCAGGGAGGCGTGAAGAGAACTTCCTGGCAAGGAGTGCTGCTCCAAGACTGAATGGACTTTTTTTGAAGTGCAAGGGTCTGGCCTCTGGAAGGGTGTTTTTGCTGCCACCTTTGAACTTCTCTGTGAGTTTTTAAATTTTGAGCAAATCGCCTTTTATAATCATTCTATATGTACTTTTTCTACCCAACGGCTGCATAGTGTTCTCTTCCCACAGCTGATGTACTTAAGCCCCATCCTTCTCTGGTATAAAGAACGTTGCGATGAACATCCACTGGCAATCATCTTCCTACTCATCTTTGATTGTTGCTAGAAGGGAAATTGCTGGGTTCAAAGGATGCTGACCACTTGTTAAGACTCCTGGAGCACCCAGATTTCCATCCTTCTTAATCTCGTGTTCCATTACATTGCAGAATGTAGTGACAGCCAAGAATTTCCATTCATAAAACTCAATGTAGGGTTTTCTTTGGAAGCTAACAAATGACTTCAGGCTTGTCATCAGACCATTGCACTGTGCTGACTCTGAAGAATTTGTAAGTTCTTCACATCACTTTAAGAATACTTATAATTTTACTTATTCATGAAAGCATTTAAATAAGCTTCTTACTATTAAATAATTTCTTATTGTGAAATAAACCATTTACTTCATTAACTTATGTTTTTTAAAATCAATGAAACTAAAATTCTAAGGTTAAAGAAAAAATTCTAAGGTTAAAGTAAAATACAATAGTAATTTAGCTTAAAAAAAGAAAAAATGCTGATTTTCTTATTTACTGATGTGAATTCTCAAGATGTTTTTGTATTACTTATTGAAATAATGTTAATTTCTGAGCCTGTGATTTTGAACAAAACATGTATAATTGAAGTAATCTATAATCTGTGAAACAGGTATCTCAATTTTTCTCAAAGGTTTTAATTAGAAAGTCAGGGTTGGAATCCACTCTTCACGTAAGAATGAGATGGTTTCCAGAGATACCAACAAGCCAACACATCTTAATTTGATGCCTTTTTATTATCAGCAAAATATTTAAAATTGGGGTTTTATTCTGAGTAACTTATTTCATGCTATGAAACTGCCAAAAACAACTACAAAAATAAAATGAATTTATGTTCTTTATAAAATGTTATTAATATGAAAACCGGACACTATGTGAAAGCGATATTGTGTTTATGTAGGGAGAGTGTGTTAACATTTTTTTCAGCATGGCTGAGTTGGCTGTTTTTGAATTTGAAACTTCTGCAGTCTGGGTAGACAGTGCCACCTCCCTGCAGCAAACATGGGCATCCCTTACTGTTCTGAAGACCCTCAAGCTGCAGTCAACACTGGGGTCGTTTGTGGAAGGATTCTTTCTTGCTGTCTTGATTTGCAAGAACACCTCTGAAGGTCTTTGAATAGTAAATGCTGTTTCCATGGCAACTGCAGTCTGGCTTCAGTGATCCCTTAACCTGTGTGCCTTTGGCTCAAAGCACCCAGGAGCTCACGGCCTTCCCCAGGGGCGTCCCCCTCGGTCCTGTTCACAAGCATGGACTCTGGCATGGACGGCCCCACCCTGGCTGCACCACCGATTGTCCACATGACCTCAAGCAGGTTATTTGGCCTTTCTGTGCCTTCCTTGGAAAAATGGGTCTAATACGTGGGCTTGTTTTAAGAATTAATAAGAGAACTGGCACACAGCACTCGGCACAGTGCCTGGCACATGGAAAGCTCTTGAGTCGGGCTCCATCCCCCAAATCGAGCACCTCAGTTGTCTGTAAATGGGCGCATTGGCAGTCCTGTGCAGCAATGCAAGATATTCTTGGTTTTTGGTTTCTTTTAAATTCTTTTTAGGTTTCTTTTAAAATGATCAGCAGTCTTTGATGATTTATGAGCCTGTGATTTTGAACAAAACATGTATAACTGAAGTAATCTATAACTGTGAAACACAGGGATCCCAATTTTTCTCAAAGGTTTTAATTAGAGTCAGGGTTGGAATCCACTCTTCACCTAAGAATGAGTTGCTTCCCAGAGGTACCAACAAGCCAACATGTCTTTGGTATGTTATTCTTCTTGCTCCTCTTCTTGGGTGTGGGGATTTTCATCTCTTCCTGGAGACAGGGAGGCCCTGAGAGGTCTCGGTGGTGACGGGTTGCAGGCAAGAGGAGTGAAGCAAACCCTGCTGGTACTGCAGAAGCCACACGGAGTGAAGAGACATGTCCTTGACGTCATAGAGTGGAGTGCGCTTTCTTTCTTTTGTTCTTTCGTTCTTTCATTCTTTCTCTTTCTTTCTCTCTTTCTCTCTGTCTCTTTCTTTCTCTTTCTCTTTCTTTCTCTTTCTTTCTTTCCCTCCCTGCCTTCCTGCCTTCTTTTTTCTTTCTTTCTTTCTTTCTTCTCTTTCTCTCGCTCTGTTCCTTTCTTTTTTCCCTCCCTGCCTTCCTGCTTTCTTTCTTTCTTTCTTTCTTTCTTTCTTTTTCTTTCTTTCTTTCTTTCTTGTTAAATCCATATCACAAAGCATTTTCACAGATAGCTTGTTTCTAGTTGTTTTTTTTTTCACTTTAAGTTCTGGGATAGGTGTGAAGAACATGCAGGTTTGTTACATAGGTCTACACGTGCCACGGTGGTTTGCTGCACCTGTCAACCCATCATCTAGATTTTCAGCCCCGCATGCTTTAGGTATTTGTCCTAATGCTCTCCCTTCCCTTCCCCCTGACCTCCTGACAGGCCCTGGTAAGTGTTGTTCCCCTCCCTGTGACCATGTGCTTTCACTGTTCACCTCCCACTTATGAGTGAGAACATGTGGTGTTCTGTTCACCATTCACTCAGAGAACATGTTGGTTTTCTGTTCGTGTGTTAGTTTGCTGAGAATTGTGGCTTCCGGCTTCATCCATGTCCCTGCAAAGGACATTAACTCATTCTTTTTTATGGTTGCATAGTATTCCATGGTGTCTATGTGCCACATTTTCTTTATCCAGTCTATCATTGATGGGCATTTGGGTTGATTCCAAGTCTTTGCTATTGTAAATAGTGCTGCAGTAAACATACGTGTGCACATGTCTTTACAGTAGAATGATTTATAATCCTTTGGGTATATACCCAGTAATGGGATTGGTGGGTCAAACGGTATTTCTGGTTCTAGATCCCTGAGGAATCCCCACACTGTCTTCCACAATGGTTGAACTAATTTACACTCCCACCAACAGTGTCAAAGCATGGAGCACACGTTTGTTCATTCATTGACCGTTCCCTGTGTGTGGCTTTCATAGTATTCATTTGGGATCCTGACGTGAAATGGCCTAACCAGGGTGGAGTGGCAGTTGTGTTCCCGGCACAGGACTGGCCCAGCCCCCGAGCCCTGTAGCTTCCCTAACACCATTCACTCAGGCTCCGTCAGCCTCTCCCGGGTTCCTGGGCTTCTCTGCTTGTTTTCATGAGGTTTGCGCCTTTCTCCTATGCCAATTTACAGTACACCCTTTAGCAGCTGCAGCCACATTTGGCTTTACAACCCCTGGATGCCCTCATGTCCTGCCCAGACCCTTCTTTTGAACTCCACCTGACAACTTGACACCCCCCTTTCCCCAACACTCTTCATCACCCTGCCAGCAGCTGCTCCTCCTGCATTTCTCATCCCCCCACCTCAGAGCTGCCTGAGCCGGGGCTCCCCCGAGCTTGTTCCCCTCCCCTCCTCGGTGAAATCGTGAAGCTGGCTGAGGCCCCTCCCCTCACATAGTGACCTCGGCAGCCTCCCAGTCCATCTGCTTCCAAGATTGGCCCCACCACACCTGCATCTTCATCTTGGTGTCCTAGTGATCCTAGGACATGCCAGCCTTGGGATTGAAAACAGCAGCCTCTCTCCCCAGGACAAGGCCCCGTCACAGCTGTCCCTGTGCCTGTCATCATGGCCCCCTGAAATAAAGTCTGCCTTACCATCTTCACAAAAGGAGAAAGAAAACACAACCCTCATGCTATGGTTCCCCGCCTTACCATCCTTAATGACTCCCATAGCTTCCGGGATACATTTTAAAGCCATATGATGGCACCAGGGGCCTCTTAGCCCCCTCCTTCCTGCCTCTCTCCCATGGGGGTCTTACACTCCAGTTGTACCGAGCTACTGAAGAGCGTTTCCCATCATTTTCCATCCTTCCAGCCTCAGTTCCCCCTCCTCCAGGAAGCCCTCCCTGACTTCCTCGGCTGGGGTAGGAACATTCACACTAGCTGCTTATTATCCTCACAGCATTTTTCCTGAGGTTTAGCTTACAAGAAGTCTTTCTGTTGAATAAATGAAGAAATCAGCAACAAGGGTAATTGTTGCTGAAAGAAAATATTTATTATATTAAACGTAATACATGTTTATTATAGAAAAATAATAAGGAAAATTCAGGCAATAGTAGAAAATAAAAATTATGCCTCATACTTGACCAAGCACAATACCTGTTAACATTTTGTTTATTTTTCTCCATTCTTTTATCTGTGACTTTTTTTTAACATAGTCTCAATTATGTGTCTCTAAATAGCGCATTTTTAAAATCTCCTTTTTTTAAGGAAAGAAATAAGCGTAACTCTTGTATCAAATGCTCTGTAAAAATGTTTTAATGGCCACAAAATATGGCTTTGAGGATGCACCATCACGTCCTCACTTCCGTATTGCTGGACACTGAGGCTTTTGTGTTTGTTTACTGCGGTGAATAGCATTGCAGTGAACATCTTTAAGAGTGAGGTTTTTCTACTTCAAATTATTTCCTTAAATTAGAATATTAGAAGTGCAATTTAAACCCCAAACCTACAAACACGGTTAAGGACCTGGAGCTTTGCTTTCCTGAAAGGGTGTATCAGTTTACACTTGCATTTGTGTTGTCTGAGAGTGTCTTGTTCATCACAGGATTAAGTACTGTGATTATCTCAGCTTTGTAAATTTGACAGCTAAAAACTGGCAGCTAACTGATTCTTAGGTATCTCAAGTTCTTTTTCAAATCGTCAAAACGTGTCTTAGAGTGAGTGTTGATATTTTCTTGCTGATTTGTGGATTGCTTATTAACCTTTTTCATAGTTGTTGCAAATATTTTTTTTCAGTTTAGATTAGGAACTGAATATCTTCCTCATGTCTTTAAAGAAATATGCCTGACCAGGTGCTTGATAACCCTAAACGGAGTTTCCTGCCGGGCTTTCTCTTGTATGATGTTGAGGCCGTCACGGTTTGTTGAGCAGAGGAGTGAGTGCTAAAAGCTGGAGTTCAGCAGAACCACAGTGATGCCTCCACCCCGGGTAAATGCTTAACCACACTCCTCCCTGTAAAAATAACGGTGTCATTAAACATGGACCGGCTGTTCCATGAGCTCATTCCTAGGAAACAGTGGCTGAGTAGCAGAAGCCTGACCGGTCTCCATTTCCGCCCAAATGTGGGATGTGTGCACGTGGCATAGAGCCTCGCACGTTGCTTTTGGGAGAATCAGCTTGAGTCAACTTCTGGCAAAAGATTGGGGCCGTCTTTGGACAGATTTGAATATTAGACACCATATCATCTAATGAAAACCAGCTGGGAAGAGTCAGTTTTCCTGTGTTCTTGGGCATTTGACAAATGGTGGGAGATAGTTCTAATTTTAGAAAGGAAAACGTAATGCATATTCTCATGATGATTTGTCAACTGGATATTTTGCAGAGAGGAAAACGTCTGAAATGTCCCAAATAAAGCTATCTGCTGTCATGAGAACACAGCTGGCAGGGCAGAAAGCAGTGTCGATCAACAGGAGGTCGTCCTGCACCGGGACGTCAGTGCCCCGACACCTCGGTGTGTCCCTTGGCTGTGTGGCCTTGGGCAGGTCACTGGTCAAGCCTGAGATAATGACATTGGTCTGCTGGGGAGCAGCGGCCCTAGGCCAGATGTACTAGGAGGCCCCTTCCTGGCTGTGATTTTAAGATGGAGGGGAAAATGTTTATTTGTTCTGTGAAAGCCAGGGGTGGGGTAGGACAGAGCCAGCAACACCGACAGCCCATCATGCTGAGCCAGAGGTCTGCTGAGCTGAATTGAAGCTGTGTCAACTACAGTACGTGCCTCACCGAGCCTCAGTTTCCACATTGGTGCTGTGCAGATGATAATACAGACTTTGCAAGGCTGTTGAGACTTACCTGCACTAAGACATAGAAAGTGCCCAACACAGCGCCTGCAGGGCCAGCACTCGGTGGCAGTCTAAGGAATGTCTGTCACAGCGCTCCCAGATGGCAGGTCCTGCCTGCCTGGGCCCAGCTCTGGCTGTGTGGCTCAGGACTATGGGACCTCTGCAGGCTGCGTCCCCTGCCTGCCTCAGTTTCTGCGTCTAAGCTAGAAAGCATGATTGTTCCTCCCCGTGGGGCCGTTACGAGAAGCAAGCACATGGAAGCGTGCCAGGCATTTTCCGAACGTCTGGAACATCCTCAGCGGCAGGGTCTCCTCCTCCCTCTCCTCCTCCTCACTTAGAAATATTTTCCCTGGGAGTCCCACGGAGGTCGTGAAGATGACAGAGGCTGCTGGCACTAACAGCTGTGTGGGGCAGCCCAAGCCCCTACTTTGAAAGTTCCATTCCATCCCTCGCATTTCATCTGAAGAGCGCTATGTTCTCCCTGGGGAGAACTGGCCTGTTGCATATGAAGAGTCCAGAGATTTTGAACAAGGGAACCCCTTCAGCTTCGAATGACCATTACCGTTGATGATCCCAGAAGTTCCCTTTCCAAGCAGTGACCCATGGACTTGTGTCCCTCGTGTGATAACCTGCACTACACACATATCCTACAAGTGTCCATAGTGGTTATAAGCTGCCACAGCCATACAGATCTGAGAGCCAGAGGCCTTCAAACCAGCTAAGGCTCTGAAACACTTCAACTCCACTTAAGAAAACAAATCGGAGCACATCCGTGATCCCACAAATGCTAATTTGCTTGTCACACATCAGAAACCCAGGAAGGCACAGAATAGATGCTCTCTTACTGGCTTATAGGTTGGGTACTTTAAAGTTGGAGACGTTTAAATCAGAGATAAACCTATTGTAACAATACATTTCATGTCATGTGAGCCTTTTGTCTTCCAGCAACTAAAGGGAACTGTGGTAGGATGAGCTGGGGTCACAGGGACAAGGAAGACAGGTAAGGGGACGGAAGCCGGGGCAGCAAGGAGTGGCTCAGGAGCTCTCACCCTGCAGTGGGCAGCTCATCACCCCTGCTCCCCGTGTCTGTGTCCCTTCAGGAGAAGCTGGCCAGGGACAGGGCCACCACTCATAGACAGCTCCTCAGCCTACTCAGCACTGCTTTATGTGTCTGTGTGCACACACGTGTGCATGCCTGTGTGTGTGCAGGTGTGTGTGTGCCTGCATGTGTGTGTGCACATGTGTGTGTGTGCCTGCATGCATGTGTGTGTCTGTGTATTCCTTTTGAAACATACTAGATGCCCTCTCTAAGTAAATCACATTTAACTGCTGTAACTAACCCGTCTGGCAACATCTTTTCTTAATGCTTTTTCACTGTTCACCGGGTTGAGGGTTTCTTTTCCTTATTTCCACTTCTGCTTCTTTAACGAAATTATATGACTTGATACAGTATCATTCTTTTCAAATTCAGTGTTTCAGTAAATAGTTCTTTTCAGCAGACAATTACTTAGGCAGAAGTAGTTTAACATAGCATTTGTCTCTGAAAAAAATGTTTTTTTTCCTTTCTGTCTAGATCCTTTAAAATATATAATATTGCATCATATACAATATTGGCCTGTACCAAGCACCTGTATCCAGAAAAGTAAAAAAGCTAACTGGCTTAAACCACAGCAGAACCTGCCTTGCTGGGTCACCTTCCTTCAGTTCCTTCTCATGGTTTCTAGAATTCCTTGAGCGCACACAGCAAGCTAGCTCTACAATCACTTTAGAGAGTGAGGATCGATGCCCCAGCTTCTTGTTTTCTTAGTGGCTTTTTAAAAAATAGTAGACAGTATATAGCTATCTACTGGCAATAGGAATCTCTTAAAATCAAGGTGAGAAATGTAGTTCTTTTGCAAGAGAGTCAGAGTTTTGTGTTCAATGAAAATTTAATATTTGAAAAATAAAAGATCTTAAAACTATTAGTTTTCCATTATGATCAGATGGCTCTGTCAAAATGGAAAGAAAGCAGGGAATTTTCTGTACTCCTCAACACAAAGTTTATCTTGTTCCTGAAAAAATATTGAACCATTTTTTCAATATTTGTCCTTGCCAGGATTTCACCCTGGCACCCGCTGTTGGTGTGTTTTAAATTTGGTTTCCTTCTGATTCTTCTAAGAGAATATCTACTTTATCATATTTTGAAATAAGACTTTACAGTATCCAAATGTGGATGATATATCCTTTTAACTATGTCCCTGATATTGAAGCTCTGAACATAACCTCTCAATTTGAGTCATCTGTGTTTCCAGGTATTGCTATAGCTAAGCCACAAAATACTGAATTTTGGCGTCTTATATAGATGGTTGCAGTGTTTCCATTCTTCACGAAGCATGAGAAATTCTTTTACAATACGATGACCGTGCTCCGTCGTTTTAGGCGAAGAACAGACTTACCACACACTGTGCTTTCTCTCACTTTGTGAGACAGTGAAGGAGGGACCTTCTCTTCAGGTGAAATGAAACCCCCACACGGATTAGCCTAACTTCTTCAGCTAAGGGCTGGGCCTTCTTTTATTACAAATACCGTTGCATCTTTATACACTGTTTCAGTGAAAAAAAAATAAACATGGCAATTCCCTTTCCAAGGCTCTAAGTCACCACCAGGCGGCATAACAGACCTCTGTGTCCCTGGTCTGTAGGAGATGGGACAATGCGGGGACAGCGCTGGGAGGGCCCGCAGGCAGCAGGATGCCAGGGCCTCGCCAGGAAGCCATGGTAGGCGCCCGGGGGGAGTCTGGACGTCACCCCATTCTCAAGGTGAAGCCTCGCCAGGGTCTCGCCAAGAGAGCTGAGGGGTCAGATTCACCTTCTCCCTGCACCTCTGCACTTCCCTCTGGGTTTCCTGTCTGTACATCCAGTGCCGCGCGTGGCGTGGGGCGTGGCGTGGGGTGGTTCCTCACAGTTACCCTCGCTGGGTGTGCGGTTGTCTGACATCAGTCCTCCCCAGAAAGTGCGGCTGCCCCCGGTCGGTCGTTCTGTCTGTAGCTGGCGTGGTATCTGGCACGGCGGAGGCCCTGGGTCCGTGTTTGTGGATGGAATGAATCAATGTGTGAATGAAGGAAGTCACATTGGCAGCAGTGGCGGGGAGGGTACCGTTTGGGGACAATTCAGATCATTCTGAGGAGACATGCTGAGGCCTGCTCTAAGACAGCAGCTGTGGGAGGGCACGGAGTGGCATTAAGAGAGGAAGCTGACTCGATGACGGGCGGAGAGGTGGGCGGAGGCTGTCTCAGGAGCGCCAGCAGCTGGCAGTGAGTGGTGGGCGTTTCCTGACACTAAGGCTCTGTGCAGAGCGCGTCTACAAACACTGTCTATTGTCTCGTTTCATCCTCACAACAACCACCCCTATGAAGTTGTCACTATTATTGTCTCTCCTTTACACATGAGTCTGGGCACAGGGACTTCAAGTGAAGCCTGCTAGGAGGCACTGCTGCTGCCCCCGCGGGAAGGAAATGCAGGGAAGGGACTCAGGGGGCAGCAGGAATTCTGCTTTGGATCTGTCACATTTGAGGTGCCTTTGGGGCTTCCAGGAAGAGGTGTCCAGACGGCAGGGGCTGAGGCTTGGAGGAGTCAGGATTGGAAATATGAACTGGGTGCCCATCAACATCTAGGTCGTGGTCAAAGTGGGTGGTGGGGTATTACAGGAAAGAGCTCTGCAGCCCCCCAGAATCCTAGCCTGCGCCCGCAGATGAGCAGGGGCAAGGACGCAAGGGCAGTTGTGCATTTTCCTTCTTTTCTGTGGCATTCAGAAATAGGCAAAATGTGATACACTGCAAAAGTGACTGTTTGCTATCTGCAGGAGTGGCCATCAGTGTTAGTTAAATGAGAGCTGTGCAGAATGGCATGTGTTTGTCCTCTTATTATTTTTGCTTTAAAAACCTGTTTTAAAACCCTGGTATCAATGGTCAATTATGTGACTTTCAAAAGCAAAAATTAAGGAAGACAAAAGAACTGCATTTGACACCTTGAAAGGCCCAGAGGGATTCTTAACCTTGGGTCCAAGAATTCCCCCAGGGGCCTTTGGATAGATTTCCAGAGATCCCCGAAACTGAATAGGAATAAAAGGGTAGCATTACCTTCCATTATGAATGCGGGCAAAAACCTTCGGTAGTATTAGAAGTGTGACCTCAGCACCAATAGAAACCACAGGTATTTCTCCGTCACTTTCGGGTTGTTGCTGAGAGCTGGGGAAATGGTTTCATGCATCACTGTCAGTATTTGGTGGAATAAGGACGTGCACGCACGTGCTGGCTGTTGAACTGTTGCCTCTCCACTGCAAACCCTCCCTTCCTTGCTGCAGGGCCAGAGCTGTGCCCTATCGGGCCCTGCCCCCAGAGAGAGCCTGGGCAGTGGGAGGAGGGAGCCCGGAGCACGCTGCTTCCTGCCTGCTTCCTGTTTCTGTGAGCGTCACCCCAGCAACGGGATTTCACCCTGGCTGCAGTTGTTGGTTCTGTTTCTAGTGTTTTTCACACGCCCAGACACCACCCTCACCAGTCCCTCCTGAGCCCCCGCTCTGAGGTCCGGGTCCCCACTCCAAGCCTTCTGGGACCATCACCCCGGTCTTTGTCTCCAGCCCTAGCTGTTCCTGAGATGACGCCTCTGTGGTATGAGGCCTCCTTTGCTTTTTCGGCCAAGCAACACCTGTTTAGGGGCTGCCTGTATTGCTTCTATTGAAATCACTGCTGTAATTTCTTTTTCTCCTGACTTGGCTCTGATTGATACACTATATCAGGATTTAAAAATATTTTTTGACAATGTGTTTCAGAATAATCAGTTTCCTTCGTAACCCTATGTTTCGTTACATGCGTTTAAAAATATTATTCCAAGAATGCTCCACAGGCTTCACCAGCCTGCCAGGGGGATCCACTATACCAAAAAACAGAGAGCTGAGAGCAGTTGCCAGCCTGATTAATTGCCGTTTCCTGGGCTGGGTTTAAATGCCTCTAGGAACACAAAACATAAAGGGTTTTCTTTCTGTTCTTCCTCCCTTTCTTTTCGAATGAAGTTATGGAAGGAAATGAACTTTGTTATTTTCCCCCTTTAAAAGTAGTACCTGCTCATGGAAGAAAAAAGAACACTGGAAAAGAAAAGTAAAGAAAAAAATATCTCTATCTTCCTTGTGACATAAAAACACCCATGGCTCCATTTTGATGTATTTCCTTAGGGCCTTAGGTGTTGTTTATTTTTGCAGAGATATAATTGTCATAATCTTTGTCATAAGCATTTCCAATTCTACTTCATACTTGTCTTAAACACTATTTTTATAGCTGGACAGGATGCTGTAAAGCAGTAGGTTGACCTGGCCCTTTTCTTATAATGTAAAACTTTGACCATAATTTTATTGTGATAAAATATTTCTAAGATTTACCATTTTAACCATTTTTAGGTGTAAAGTTCAGTGGTTTTAAGTGCGCTAGTGTGTAGCCATCACCATCATCCACTTCCAAAACTTTTTCATCTTCCCAAACTGAAATTCTGTACACATTAAACACTGACTCCCCAAATTCACAGAGCTGAAGGTGGAGTGGGCATTGCTTTCCCCAGCCCTTGGCAACTCCCATGCAACTTTCTGTCTCCATGAATTTGATTAACGTAAATTTTTACTACTGAGCTTCGCTTTTCCAATAAAAGTTCAAGGTACATAGTTTAAATGTACATACTTTAATGCAAGCAGTATTGCATGACACCAGCCTGCCTTCTTTCGTCCTTTTTAAAAAATTAGACCAGAAACTGTTGTTGAATCCCATGTTGCCGGTCCTGATGGTTATCTTTCTAGTGAGACCCGAAAATTCACGTGGGGACATGACAGCTTTCCATTTTCATGAATTGCAAATGTGGAGGGCTCATGGTAGGGAGATGGTTTTATTTTTGTGGGTTTTGTTTCGTTTTGTTTTTTGAGACAGAGACTCGCTCTGTCACACAGGCTGGAGTTCAGTGACACGATCTCGGCTCATTGCAACCTCCGCCTCTCCGGTTCAAGGGATTCCCGTGCCTCAGCCTCCTGAGTAGCTGGAATTATAGATGGGCAACATACCTGGCTAATTTTTGTATTTTTAGTAGAGATTGGGTTTCACCCTGTTGGCCAGGCTGGTCTCAAACTCCTGGCCTCAAGTGATCTGCCCATCTCAGCCTCCCAAAGTGCTGGGATTACAGGCGTGAGCCACAGTGCCCGGCCCAGGAGATGGTTTTAAAACAGAGATGTGCCCTGGTTGCCTTCTCTGAAAGTTTCTCTCCACACAGATCTCCTGACCTTTGGTGTGGCTGATTTCACGTGGAGTCTGTTGGATTCGCACCATCTGGCTCCTGTTTTCTGGGGAAACTCTGCGCTGGCTTTCGTCTTCCTCCTTTTGTGATTACATAAACAAAAGGGTAAATTGTTTTCTTAAACGTTAGTTTTAAATTGTGCTAAAATACACATAACAAAGTTTGCCATCTTAACTATTTTTAAGTGTACATTTCAGTGACATCAAGTATACTCACCCTCTTGTGCAGCCAGCACCACCAGCCATCCCCAGAACTTCTTCATCTTGCAGAACTGAAACTCTGCCCCCATTAAACGCTGACTCCCCATTCTCTTCTCCATCCAGCCCTGGCACCCATCATTCTACTTTGTCTTGATGAATAGTATGAGGTACCTCATCTAGTTGGAATCATACAGCATTTGTCCTTTTGTGACTAGCTGATTTCACTTAGCATGATGTCCTCAAGGTTTTCTCACATTTTAGCAGATGACAGCATTTCCTTCCTTTTTAATTCTGAGTTAAATTCCACTATGTATCTATACTACATTGTGTTTCTCCATTCAGCCATCAGTGGACACTTGGGTTGCTTCTACCTACAAAAGACCAAATTATTTTGTCCATTTAATATAAGTTATTTGAAGGCCAGGCACAGTAGCTCATATCTATAACCCTAGCACTTTGAGAGGTCAAGGCAGGAGGATCGCTTAAGGCCAGGGGTTTGAGACCAGCCTAGGCAACATAGCAAGAATCCAATCTCTACCCAAAAAACTAAAAACTACATAATTAATAAAATGTGAATTATTTGAAGTTTCAGTGCAGATCCCTTCTTATCACTGTATTATCTGATATTATCGAGCCACCATGAAACCTCTAGCACAGCCTACCTGTGGTACCGGGAGGCCACCCTCCCAGCCACATCGGGGTCTGCCTGATTTCTGCTTTCCTCACTGCCTGGGTCCCTCTGCCTTCCCCCAGAGACGAAGATGCTGCAAGTTAGACTTGGAGCTCTAATATTGTATTCTAAATGTAGGGCATATATTTTAAATAATCGTAGAGTGTTAGAGCTAAAAAGGTTTAATATGCTTTATATTAAAAACATATTTATCTTGTTAATACTCTGAGTCCATTGCGTCACCTCGGGCGGACCATTTCCCCTTTTTCTAAAACCTACACCATGGGAGGGTCTCTTTGCCAAAAAGGAGAAGTTCATGAGCTTCCATTGCCTAATATCATTCTTTGGAGGCACAGTCATAGCTCCTTATCTGGCTCTCGAAGTTCAAGTCCAGCTGTCTAGATCATAACTTTCAACTAGGAAATCACCGGGTGCCTTAAAAAAATAACCAGCGCAAAGTTCAGGCCTCTTGTTCTAGAAAAGTAGTAAGGTTACTCCTACTAGAGCCACGGGATGTAGAATTCCAGTTACTGTTGGGGTTGTGTGTGTTTTAACAGGCACACCTCTTTCCCTGCAGCAGGGGGTACACAGCAGGCTGTGCAGAGTAGGGCAAGGTAGAAGCCCTGGGGTATGCAGGAAGGTGGGTGGGGAGGGGCTGGTGTGTCAGGGACAAATGTCAGCTCCCACATCCCTTGGTAAAGTGTGACTGGGTACATCAGATTTAGATTAAATTATCCTGAAACTATTTTTTTTTCTTTTTTTGAGACAGAGTCTCACTCTGTCACCCAGGCTGGAATGCAGTGGAGTGAGGTCAGCTCACTGCAACTTCTGCTTCCCAGGTTCAAGCAATTCTCCTGCCTCAGCCTCCTGAGTAGCTGGGATTATAGGCACCTGCCACCAAGCCCAGCTAATTTTTGGATTTTTTTAGTAGAGACAAGGTTTCACCATGCTGGCCAGGCTGGTCTCAAACTCCTGACCTCAAGTGATCTGCCTGCCGTAGCCTCCAAAAGTGCTGGGATTACAGGTGTGAGCCACAGCACCCCGCCCCTCAAACTATTTTGTAGCTTGCATTATATAGATCAAACACCTTCATTGCACTTACATCTCTAGTATTGTATTTACTTAAATAATGATTATCAATAGCAACTCATTTAATCCTTATAAACCCTGGGAACTGGGTACCATTATCCCTCCCATTTTACAGATGAGGAAACTGAAACACAAAGAGAGGATATGTAACTTGCCCAGCGCTGAAGACTCCCACCAGGCACAGCGCGCCTAGAATCTGTGCTCCCTGTCACCACAGTAGACAATTGTACTCCAGCATCAACAATGAAAATCACTTTTCACTGACTTAAGTATTATTCCTTCTCCAAGTTGATCTTCCACTGGTCTAACTTAGATTCTAGCCTTTAGGCAAGAGTATCTTGTTATGAGACGTGTAATTTGTTTCCTTTCAGGTGCCTTGCAACACAACTCTGTTTATCTCATAAGCAGTTTTAAATGCTATTTAAATTCTGACAAGGCTGAGTCCTGTACTGTGTGATTACAGAGCAAGCACTAACTCACAAAGCTACTGTGTCCTGATTATTTCTCTAATTGTAGAGTAATTTAAGGAAGAAGGAATATATCAGCAATAACCGTAAAATGATGATGATAATGGCAGTTCTGATGTTCATACCCAACAAAGAAATCAGCAATATAACTACTGAAAGGGTGTAGATAAAATTTGTAAATACTTGCGGATTATGTGTATGTCTAATCCAAAAAGTCAGTCTCAAACTGAGAGTTCAGTAAGATAGTTTGTAATAACAGAAACAAAAAACCAAAGCATTCCTATATCCTACCGTAATGATTTTTTTTTGAGACGGTGTATCGCTCTTGTTGCCCAGGCTAGAGTGCAATGGCATGATCTCGGCTCACTGCAACCTCTGCCAACTGAGTTCAAGTGATTCTCCTGCCTCAGCCTCCCGAGTAGCTGGGATTGCAGGTATGCACCACCACGCCCAGCTAATTTTGTATTTTTAGTAGAGACAGGGTTTCACCATGTTGGTCAGGCTGGTCTCAAACTCCTGACCTCGGGTGATCCACCCGCCTCGGCCTCCCAAAGTGCTGGGATTACAGGCATGAGCCACCGCGCCCAGCCTGATTTTTTAAATAATGGAAAAAATGATAAAATCCCACTCAATGTTGCATGTAGGAATAAAGAAAAATGCAGGGCCTATATGAAGACCATAATAATTTACTGAAGGACATAGTCAGTTGAAAAATGCAGAGAGCAATACCTTGTCTCTGAACAAGAAAACTCCACATTAAAAAGACACGGATCCATCCCCAAATAAATGATAAATACAGTTGGCCCTTTGTGTCTGTGGGTTCCACATTCATGGATTCAACCCATCTCAAATCAAAAATATTTGGGAAAAAAAAAGGCTGGGTGCAGTGGCTGGCCAGGCACAGTGGCTCAGGCCTGCAATCCCAGCACTTGGGAAGGCCAAGATGGGAGGGTCGCTTGAGGCCAGGAGTTCAAGACCAGCCTGGTCAACACAGTGAGGCCCCATTGCAATAAATAAATAAGAAAATATTTGGAAAAAAAATGGATGGTTGCCTCTGTACTGAACATGTACAGACGTTTTTCTTGTCATTATTCTCTAAACAATACAGTCTAACAACTATTTACATAGCATTTACATTGTATTAGGTATGAACAGGAACCTAGAGATGATTCAAGTACACAGGAGGATATGCACAGGTTATGTGCAAATACTCCACCATTTATGCTCAGAGACTTGAGCATCTCCAATTTTGGTATCCCAGTGGTTGGAAGGGGTCCTAGAACCAATGCCCCTTGAATACCGAGGGACAACTGCATAATGCATTTCAAATAAAATCTCAGTTTAGAGGGGAAGGTTGGTTGAAAGCTTAACAAATAGACTCTAGGCCAGCGTGGTGACACATGCCTGTAATCCCAGCGCTTTGGGAGATTGAGGTGGGCCCATCACTTGAGCCCAGGAGTTGGAGACCAACCTGGGCAACATGGTGAAACCCCATCTCTATAAAAATACAAAAATTAGCCAGGCAAGGTGGCACAGGCCTGTGGTCCCAGCTACTCCAGAGGCTGAGATGGGAGGATCACTTGAGCCCAAGAGGTGGAGGCTGTAGTGAGCCATGATCACGCCACTGCACTCCAGGCTGGGTAGCACAGTGAGACCCTGTGTCAAAAACAACAACAACAATGACAAAAAGAAAAAAAACAAATAGACTCCTGAGTTAATCTGGAAGAATAAATGGAGAGGCTGGCCAAGAAATTTTTGAAAAAACATAACAGGGGTAGTTTTCAACTTTTTTGTAGCCCACAGCTTCTTTATTCAAACACAATCTCACCTCCCTGTTCAAATACTTTCAGTGGGTCCTTTACTGCTTCCTGAATAAAGTCCAAGTTCCTTAACCTGCGTACTGTAAAAAGAGCATTCTGACAATATCCAAGGGTGTTCAAAAAGCAATGTTTACAACTCCCACAGTTCTACCACTTCGGCAGAGCAGCCCTGTGTTTATTCTGCATGTCCTTCTGGTCTTTGCATGCCTATGTCTTTTACACAGTCCTATTCTTTTTTTTCTTTTTTGAGATGGAGTCTCGTTCTGTGACCCAGGCTGGAGTACAGTGGTGTGATCTTGGCTCACTGCAACCTCCGCCTCCTGGGTTCAAGCGATTCTCCCACCTCTGCCTCCTGAGTAGCTGGCATTACAGGCCCATGCTACCATGCCTGTCTAATTTTTGCATTTTTAGTAGAGACGGGGTTTCACCACATTGGCCAGGCTGATCTTGAACTAGTGACCGCAGGTGATCTGCCTGCCTCAGCCTCCCAAAGTACTGGGATTACAGGTGTGAGCCACCGTGCCCGGCCGCAGTCCTATTCTTTTTTTTTTTTTTTTTTTGAGACGGAGTCTCGCTCTGTCGCCCAGGCTGGAGTGCAGTGGCGGGATCTCGGCTCACTGCAAGCTCCGCCTCCCGGGTTCACGCCATTCTCCTGCCTCAGCCTCCCAAGTAGCTGGGACTACAGGCGCCCGCCACTACGCCCGGCTAATTTTTTGTATTTTTAGTAGAGACGGGGTTTCACCGTTTTAGCTGGGATGGTCTCGATCTCCTGACCTCGTGATCCGCCCGCCTCGGCCTCCCAAAGTCCTATTCTTAATTGTGTTCATCTGAGGACTAAGAACTCCACAAGCTTGGCTTTGGGAATAGCAGTAAAGCAACAACACAGTGCTGGGCTCGAAGACGGACAGCTGCCTGAAAGACGGCAGAAGCTCCCTGAGTGTGCCAAAAGCACTGATGAAGTTTTAAACCTAGTCCAAGCTAACTGAGTGATGCTAGACCTTCCCGCAACTTCTCTAACCTGGATGTAAATTGTAATTCTAGAGCCCCTTGTTTTGCGGGAAAAAAATAATCTGTGTATGGTCAAATAGCAGATGGAATGAGCTGCCAGACGGAATCTTTTGCCAGTGCAACGGAACAAAGTACTTGTTCATGCCAGGCTCAGGTCCCCTGTTACTTGCAGTCCTCCGGGCAGTCCTGTCTGCTGGCTGTCTCTCTCCCTGCTTTACGTAGGAAGCTGGAAGAGGTCAGGGGATTTCCTTGAAATTACAGGCTAGTGAATGGCAGAACAGGAGCTCGAGCCTGATTATCTGCTAAACCTCTGCTTTGGAGCTTTGAGGCCTTCTGCACAGGTCACTTGCATTCTCTGTGTAGGGGTGCAGGGTTGTTTTCTCTCCCATCGGCTTACTCTTGGATTGGGCCTTCCCAGAGGTGCCGAGAAGCAAAACCCAGTTCTTTGATCTTCTCACTTCAGCTGTTCTTTCTTCCAGCCAACTTCCAGGATTACATCCCTTGGTGTGACCACACCACATCTGAAATCTCAACTCCCCACTTCCCACCCAGTGACCTGCACCTCCTGTCTTTCAATGCTCCTGGCGCTGACTTTCTTGCCGTCCCTGACAAGCAGCCCTGCCTTCAAGTTCTCACTGGATGAAAGAAGAAGGCAACAGATGTTAGATGCCGTGTGCACATATTCCCATCTTGACCATTCTTTCTGTGCATGCTTTGCTGTGGAACTGTTGGGGCCCCATCCAGCTGTATAAGCTGAGACATGAATGTGCTTCCACAGTGTGGGCACCTCGGATGCAGGTACAGGCCCCTCTAGATCCAGGGCCACTTGGCAATGTCTGAGATATTTTTGGTTGTAACAGCTGGGGTGGAGAGCGCTGCCAGCATCTGGTGGGTGGAGCCAGGAACGCGGCTAGCCATCCTGCAATGCACAGGACAGCCGCCCACGACAAGGAACTGTGCAACCCCAAACGTCAGGGGACCCTGCTCTTTATCAATCCTAGGGTTTCCCAAAAAGCCCGACAGCACATTTGATACAGATGCCACCAACGGGGTGGAGACAAGGGGCGAGGGCTTCAGTGGAATCTCAGCAACTAAAATCAAGCCGACGGTCAGGTCAGAGAAGCATTTGGAAAGCCTCCAGTGCGTTTAGGGGACCACGCCCTCTCATCATGCCAAGGCAGCTGCCCAGTGAGGTACAGGGTATAAAGGTGACGTGGTCAGGAGTGGCTATTTGATCTCCAGTTATTCCAGAATTTCCACTCTCGTGCCAAGCATGTCTCTCCAAATGGCTGCTCTCTGGCGTTCCTCACACTCCCCCTGAAGTTCATCTAAGATCTTCATTCTTCAAAGGTGAGGCTTGTATGTTCTATGTCCAAGTCTTCTCTAAAGATATCCAATTTGTACACATGGAGAACATTTTTTGTACTCGAATAGTTGATGACTTTGCTTTGAGCTATCTCTCAAGGGCCAAAGTGCAAAAGGGCAAACCCTTCTATTAGAGTGTGGGTCTATGTTTTTAGTGTTATGCCGAAGTGTGTTTTAGCCTTTATTTTCCTTTATGGAAATTCATTTTCTTGGAAAGATCATTTTGGGGATGCTGTTTTAGGATTTCTGTACCTTCAGCTGGAAGGATGCTCACCGTTCCTGATGTTCATGTCTGCCCTTCAGTCAGGGAGCCTGGAAGCCAAGTTGCTTAGTGGCAGTGCTTTACTTTTAAGCCTTCGAATACATCTTGAGTACCTTAAACTTCTCTGTATGCTATGGGTACTGTTTAAATTCAGATTATGGAGTCCTATTCTCCCCACACTTCTTTTTTTTGTGAATGACATTTATCAATGACATTTGTAGCGTGGTGGATTCTGAAGTTTTCAGCTAGTAGCGTAAAGATTTATTTCATGGCTCTGACTGTCAGGAATATTCTCTTTTCTAGAATGTTAAACTCATAGGCAGGATTACTGAGGCAAAGCCACATAAATGAGGGAATCTCTGGAAAAAATACATTGCTTTTATTTTGTACTAAAATTGCCATTTTTTTTTTTTTTTTGGCCAAGTATAGTGGCTCACACCTGTAATCCCAGCACTTTGGGAGGCCGAGGCGGGTAGATCTCTCGAGGCCAGGAATTCAAGACCAGCCTGGCCAACATGGTGAAACCCCATCTCTATTAAAAATACAAAAAAAAAGTAGTTGGGTGTGGTGGCACACACCTGTAGTCCCAGCTACTTGGGAGGCTGAAGCAGGAGAATCACTTGAACCCAGGAGGCGGAGGCTGCAGTGAGCCGAGATCACACCACTGCACACCAGCCTAGGCTACAGAGCAAGACTATCTCAAAAAAAACAAATTGCCATTTTCTATTCCTAAGTATATATTGAAGCATTTGATTTATTTCTTCTCAGTGGGGTATACTGTTAGCTGGTGAATGCAGTTGTTGAGGATGAAGCTTATTTCCCCATGTCAGCATCTATTCTGAACATTTTAAATGAACTATTCTGAGAGCATGTATAGATTTTTTTTTTCTTCACAGGAGAGCTGCCTTAGGAGGACTTTTCAGAGTTTGTGCCTGTAAGACTGAGAAATACATAATGGATTTTAGCTGTCGTGTTTTTAGAAGGTAATTGGTAGATATTTGCAGTGCATTGTCTTCATGAAAAACAAAATTGGGCCTGGTGCGGTGGCTCAGACCTGTAATTCCAACACTTTGGGAGGCCAAGGTTAGTGGATTGCTTGAGCCCAGGAGTTCAAGATCACCCTGGGCAACATGCTGAAACCCTGTCTCTGAAAAAAAAAAAAAAATTAGCCAGGCGTGGTGGTGCACACCTGCAGGCCTAGCTACTTGGGAGGCTGAGTTGGGAGGATAGCTTGAGACAAGGTTGCAGTGAGCCAAGGTTGTATGTAGTGAGCCAAGATTGTGCCATTGCACTCCAACCTGACACTCAACAGTGTGAGACCTTGTCTCCCTACCCTCCCCCCCCCACACAAAAAAACCCCAAAAATCAGAAGTGGTTTTCTTAGAGATGCTTTACTGGAGGTGTTTGTGGCCATTTCCTTGGCTACTGTGTATAGAGGAGGTTACTGTGGTCACTCTGGTATGGACTTAAAAAGCATCAATTCTGTGGAACACACTGGGAAAGCGGATACATTTAGGATTGCTATAGACTTATTCCTAGACACTTTTTGAGATGAGTTTAATTCCAGAGTAAAATACATTAGAAATTATTTTAAGTATGCCTCAGAGTGTATCACAAAACAACATTTAATGGTGTAATGTAACGCCATGGAAGGGCTCTGAGCTCAGGTACAGTGCACCTTGACTGGGACACATACAGCTCTGAGGCAGGTCCTTCAATATTGGGTCCTCCTGCTCCTTATCCTCCCTCAACTCTGCCATCCACTCTTCCTGCACAGGAAGCTCTGCATCTAGTTATCTGCCCTCTCCTGGCCACTTTGGTGTCCTCATTCCCATGGAGCTCACAATCGGATCAAATCCTGAGTCAGTACAAGATGCCAGTGCCTGCAGCTCCCCTCCCCGCTCCCCACACCCAGCCTTTGGTCGGCAGCCCCTCAGGCCTTGCCCCACCCACTCCATCTTTTCTCACTGTCCTTTCAGCCTCCAGACAGGCTCACATCTCTTCCATCCTTAAAAACCGACAAACCATGAATAAATCTCCCCCATGCAAAGCCTTTTCCTTGGTCCCGCCTTCCTTCAAGGCTGCCGTCTACCATTTATTACACATGCACAAATCACAGAAAATGTTTAATTGCCAAATTTTAATGGCAGAATGTAATGACCAGTGTTTTTCTAGTTGCAAATTAAAGTCTTTCCTGACCTTGCTCTCTTCACTCTGTGGCTTCCAGGAGATGTCTCTATTTTCTGACTCTCTAACTACCCCTTCTCTGTCTTGACTTGTTCTTACACACCTCTTATCCTTCCCATGTAAGTGTCTCAAGGTTCCTTCCTTCAGGCTCCTTTCTGTTCTGTGCATGCTGCCTGATTTTATCATCACCTTTAACTAATCGGTAGTGTGTGCTGAGGTGCCTGTTAGACTCCTCCACTGAGGCTTTCTGCCTCCAATTCAAATTCAGTTCAATCAATAATCAAACCCATCACCTTCCTTAGAAAATCTAAAGAGATTTAAAAAGCAAAAACAATAAAAGACCTATTAGATGAAAAATAAGTGTGATGAATTGCTGGGTGCTAGGTAGTTATGAAAAAATATCCTAAAGACATGTCATTTTTAAAAGAGTTTCTATTCCCAATTGCTACAGAAGTATAAAATACTGAAGATCAATGAGAATTAATGACAATTCATCAAAGTCCTCCATTTTGTTAGGAAAACCATTCATCCATCTATCCATCTACCCACCCATCATTTATAAGGCACCTACCATGTTCCAAGCAGTGAGAACATGCTTTTAATCGGGAGAGCCCATTCATAACCTGGGGGTGGGGGCTGAGGGAGGTGGTGGGAGAGGTTCAGTACCCAGGTCACAGGGCAGCTGTGGGAAGGCTGCATGCTGCCATATGTAAGCCCGGCACTGGAGCTGTTGTGGATGCTGGAGACAAGCTCACTGTTGCTTTCCAGACGCTCTTGCTCTTCTGTCCACCGGAGGCAGTCAGGACCCTGGCCTGAGGGCCAAGAATACTTTGTGCCTGAGCTGGACCAGCTGGCCGTGGGGTACCACCTTCTTTGCAGACAGCAGGCAGGGTCTGGATCCCCTGCTTGATGCTCCTACCAGTGCCCCTAGTCTTACTGGGAGATCCGGCTCCTGGCATTGACCTGGGTGTGTGCCCTGCTTTGCCAGTGCCCCTGGAGTGGGAGGTGTGGTCACTGGTCCACCAGGAAGACAGCTAAGGGCATTCGTTGAGTCCACGTGATGACTTTCTGCTCTGAGTGAGGCCCCTGGATGGCTGGGAGGAAGGAAGCAGCTCTGCGTCAGGCGGCGTGCCGCTGGTGCATTCCATCATGATGTGCTAAGGGCTGAGGAGACCTGGGTTGAAAACCTAGCTTCGCTCTTCCAATGTGCATCTGTGGACAAGTGCTATAACCTCTGTGAGCCTCAGTGTGTGGATAAAGTCTGTTGTAAACTGAAAGGTGCTGTGTAAATTTCAAGTGATCATTTCATGAGCCACACGTATAACAGATGTGTTTTTAGATATTAGTCAAAGGGATCCAAATAGGCCAGGTGTGGTGGCTTACACCTGTAATCCCAGCACTTTGGGAGGGTGAGGCGGGTGGTTCACTTGAGGTCAGGAGTTCGAGACCAGCCTGGCCAACATGGTGAAACCCCATCTCTACTAAAAATACAAAACTAGCTGGGCGTGGTGGCGCACACCTGTAATCCCAGCTACTCAGGAGGCTAAGGCAGGAGAATTGCTTGAGCCTGGGAGGCGGAGGCTGCAGTAAGCCAAGATCATGCCACTGCACTCCAGCATGGGTAACAGAGCGAGACTCCATCTCAAAAAAAAAAAAAAAAAAAAAGAGGTGATCCAAATAAAGCAATAACATGAATGTAAGCTCATGGTTTGTAGAAGTAATTTACTGACATTTATTCTGCTGTCATGAGTATGGCTAGTGATTCACGTTCATGAAAAACAGATGTTAGGGCTCTGATTTAGAAAAATGACTTCATGTTAGTTATCTGACTAATGGGGAGGCTGAGAGCCACTGTGTCCTCCCCGTCTGCCCTCAGCCTTGTGTTGTCATCCCTGTAAGGGTTTGTCTCTGTAGCCCCAAACCACAGTGGGAGGCGCAGCTAGTGAACCTTGCAACAGACTAACACCATGGAGACAAAGTAAACCATGTTTGGGTGTGGCCCCAAATTGGCTAACTGTTCTGGCATTTTCTGGTTAGCTATGATTCTGATGTTCCTAGAACAAAATTAGACCATGCTACTGGCCTTTCGTTCTTTTCTCAGGAGTCTCCTATACTTCTGAGAATGGATTTTTAGATTTCAGACATGTAATTTTCATTGAGAGGGCACAGAGGAAGACAAAGTTATATCACAGGCCTGGCAACTTTTAAGGATGCCCTCTGAGGCAGTCAGACAAAACCCAAAGTACCCTCTCAGTGCAGAGATTCTGGGCTTAACCAGTGATGTCGGGAGGTCAGTTCTGTGTGTCTACAGGCCATTAACTGCAGTTTGGAAGGGGCCATAAATTCCAAGGCACTTGTTAGAAGGGGCTGTCCCTGGATCATCCTTACCAAAAGAAGGAGGAAGTCAAGCCCTGGTCACTGACCTCTCAGCTCTTTAGTTAAGACCCTGGGCCCCATGCTGGTATGGTCCAGATGGACCCCCTTTTTTTTTTTTTTCTTTTTTTTTTTTTTTTTGAGACAGAGTCTCACTCTGTTGTCCAGGCTAGTAGAATGCAGTGGCATGATCTCAGCTTACTGCAACCTCCACCTCCTGTGTTCAAGTGATTCTCATGCCTCTGCCTCCCAAATAGCTGAGATTACAGATGTGCACCACCACACCCAGCTAACTTTTGTATTTTTAGTAGAGATGGGGTTTTGTCATGTTGGCCAGGCTGGTCTCGAACTCCTGGGCTCAGGTGATCCACCCTCCTCGGCCTCCCCAAGTGCTGGGATTACAGGTGTGGGTCACTGTGCCTGGCCCCAGATGCACCCTCTTCCGAGGAAACCCCCCACCCCCCTGCTCAGACCTTTCCAAGGTGCCCTCGGGGTTTTAGTTTTGTCTTCGAGGTGTATGATTTAACGTTACTCTGCCAAGCCATCTTTAGAGCTGTGAGTACTGGGATGAACATTTTGTGTATCTCCATGTTTCTATAAAATGCCACCTTTCAGAGCCACACCCACACCCTGACTTCTGACCCGGCCTTCCCATGCGTCAAGTTTGTGGGTTCCAGTCACCCATTCACCACCCTCACAATTGACCTTGCTCTACGTTGAAAAAAAAAAAAAAGACTGGGGGTGGGAGAGGGGACTACCTCAGAAGGGGGCTTCAAGAAGGGGACTTTAAAGTTACCTGTATTATTTAGGTTGGCGTAAAAGTATTGCATTTTTCGCTGTTAATTTTAATGGAAAAACTGCAATTACTTTTGCACCATCCTAATAAAACTGGGAGGCAACTGTGGATCCTCTGCATTTTATTCCTGGGGCTCTGGGATCTAAAAACACCAAGAAAGATGTATTAGCATTCAACTTACAGTATAGACTTTGCTCTTGAGCTGGGGATGGTTCTGAGACTTCCACCTCACAGGACTGGCTGGGCTGAAACCCAAGTCAGAATGTAGCATCCTCTCATCTAGAAGGGTGTCAGGATGGCAGTTTTCTTTAATATGCTACTACTTAGCAGAATCAGAAACCAGCCATTATTTTATTGCTGGTAATGTTCATTTGTTCCTGGGACTAAGACTCATCAGCTCGCTGCTTCTTACTCTGTGAGTGTCCTGGCATGGTCCCCTCCCTGCCACCTACATCCTCTGCAGCAGCCCCTTCCCACAGCTGTTGTGGCAGGCAGTGGGTTTGTTCTCTTTCCTGGGCTGCCCACAGTCTTGCTGCCTGGCCCATCCCAGTTCTTGGTCTGGTGCCCAGCTTCCTTCCTGCTATGGAGGAGGAGGAGGAGGCCTGGGCACCTTGAGTCAGGGCACCTACCAAGGGGACTCTATCTGGAAAAGAGGGGACTCCAGAGGCAGCAAGGCAGGTGCTGGTTTGCTTTTACTGGACTCCCAGGACACTAGGCAGCAGGCTAGCAGGGCAGCTCACCCTGACTGTGCCCAGCGGGATCCCCGTGTTAGAGCCTTTGGTCCTCACCCTCACAGCGGGCACTGTCATTATCACCGGCATGTTTTGGGTAAGACTCCAGGCACAGAAGCTAAGTAACTTGCTCAATATCCCTTAGTGAGTGGCAGGGCCAGGAACTGAACGAGGTGGCTTAATTCCAGAGCCCACTTCTTAATCCCTTCCCTGTATGGTTTTCAGAAGCTGGTAACTAGCAATTGACTGGCAGCCTGGGGGTTAGGAAAATGTGTCTTGTGGCAATTACAGGTGTCTTCAAGCATTGCCTCAGGGACATGCCAAGGGAACGGAAACCAGTCCCAGTACCCTGCTCTGGGAGATGTGGTCACAGGGTTCGGGGTGTTGAGTAGCTTTAGAATCTGCCTATCTAGATCAGAATATTCAAAATCAAGTCTCAGAAGAAGAGGGCTGTTTTATTAATGGGTTATCATTCTCATCAGTGAAGTTGTGACCACTGGTAAAAGTCTAACTGCTTTCTACAATAAATTCCCAGAGAACATTTAAAATTATTTTCTCCAAATAATTGCACTTTAAACAATCAAGAATTGTGATAGGCCAGGCGCGGTGGCTCACACCTGTAATCCCAGCACTTTCGGAGGCCAAGGCAGGCAGATCATTTGAGGTCAGGAGTTCGAAACCAGGCTGGCTAACATGGTGAAACCCCGACTCTACTAAAAATACAAAAATGAGCCGGGCATGGTGGCAGGTGCCTGTAATCCCACCTACTCGGGAGGCTGAGGCAGGAGAATCGCTGGAACCCGGGAGGCAGAGGTCGCGGTGAGCCGAGATCGCGCCATTGCACTCCAGCCTGGGCGACAGAGCGAGACTCCATCTCAAAAAAAAAAAAAAGAAAGAAAGAAAGAATTGTTATAACAACATTTAAATAAGCGTTACAGGGAGAAAACAAGCTATTGAAAGGTAGGCATTTCATTATCTTTGAAAGTTGCTTTTGTGAGCCTGAGATGCTGTCAATCAAAGACAGCTTGGCCTCTGTTCATCTTAAGTTCAACGTTTCTTCCCCAGCGGTTCTCTAGGCCTTTGCTCGGCCCCTCTTTTCCTTCTCCCCTATCCCTCCCAAGTCGTCCTTCGGCTCCTCAGCACCCATTTTCCCTGCTGCACACCCTCCTGACAACTCCTGCCCTGAAGCCCTGGGCCCGGGTCACGGCGGGAAGGTGAGTGCTCACAGGCGCGAGCTCACGTTACCAAGTTGGGTCAGCGTGCAGAGAAAAGGGAATTGGGAATTGGAGGGCTGTAAAATGTAAATGTGCTTTAAATTTTACATTTCCTGGCGTGGCCAGGACAGGCTGACCTTCCGATTACAATCCGCGTCATCCCGTCGCTTCTGCCCCCAGCCTGGCGAGGTCGGGAACCGTTTCCCGCAGGACTTTCATTGGGAGTTACGAGGGCGCCCTGTGCCTGGAGGTGGCGCGGGCTGGAGCCCTCCCGGAGGAGACCGGCGCCTGGCAGGGGGTCGTCGCGGCCGCAGCCTGGACGGTGTGGACCCCGGGTTCTGCGACGCCAGATCGGCCCCAGCGGCCCGCACCCGCACCCTGCAAGCTCGTTCTCCCCTGCGGGCCGCCGCACCGGGCCAAGGGGGGCTGTGTGCACGCAGCTGCGTCGTCCTGGAAGTCGGCCCTTCTCGGGATGCCGCGTTAGTGGGGTGCCCGGCCGGCAGGTGCAGCGGTGCTGGGGCCTAGGCTTCCGCGTCCAGGAAGCTCAGCGTGGCCTGAGGGTGATGGATGTGGGGGAGCCGGGAACTCATACCCTCGCCCAGCCCCGGGCAGGTCCCCCCCCGGAGGGGACCCCCTCTTCGGGTCGACCCCTACTGGGCGCGGCATCCTCCCCGGAGCGCCCGCTTCCCACGGCCCCTGCGGGTGGAGCTGCGGCCGGAGCCTGAGGGGTCTTTTCCTCCAGGTCCTCTTTCCGGCGGGGGCCGGAGGGGTGGTGATGGACAGCCCGGGAGGGGCGGGGCAGGACCAGGAAGATCCTTCCGAGACGGAGCGCGGGGGGCGGGGCGGGGCTCGCGTTAAGGGAGCGCGGAAGGGCGGGACAGGCCGTGGGGCGGGGCCTGGGTGGGGCGGAGCCGGTGGGGGTGGGGAAAGGGGCGTAACCGGGAGGGACCCTCCGAGGCGGAGCGGCGCAGGGGGGCGGGGAAGGCGGGTCATGGGGCGGGGGCGGTGGGGCGAGTCATGGGGCGGGGACGGGGCGGGGCGTAGCCGGGAGGGCCCCTCCGAGGCGGAACTGCGTGGGGGGCGGGGCGGGCCGTGGGACGGGCGGAGGCGCCCGAGTCCCGCTTCCCCGGCGCCCTTCCACCCCGAGCCCGACTCAGCCCGCGGCCACCTGCGCCCCGCCCCTGTCGGCCGCGCCCGAGCCCAGCGCCGCGAGCCGCTCCCCGGCGGGCTGGCTCCTGGCCCCGGAAGCGCGAGCGTTCACTTAGCGGCGAGTGGCTCCGTCTCCGCGGACAGAGCGCGCGCCCCCTGGCCCGGCCCGCGAGGGGCTCCCGGCGCGGTCCCCGAGCATTTCCCGCCGGGTGGAGCGGGCCGAGCCCGGCAGGATGACCAGCCCCGCGGCCGCTCAAAGCCGGGAGATCGACTGTTTGAGCCCGGAAGCGCAGAAGCTGGTAAGAGGAAAGCGCTTCCGAAACTTTCTTTCGTGACTGCGGCGGGGTTTCAGGGGCTTCCAGCTCGTTCCGAGGTCAATGGCAGGCGCAGGTGCCCGGGAGGCGTGGGGTGGGCTCTGGCGGGACCCCAGCGCGGTGGGAGCGGGCGCAGTGGGCGCGGGTCCGTGAGTGGCCCGGCGAGCGGCGTCCCTCATGCGCTAGGAAGCACGCTTTATTGTGGGACGCCACCTCCAAGGACGAAAAGGCACATGGTCTCTCCCCGCCCGAGGTGATGGGCTGCAGACAGGCTCTGACCAGGTCTGCGCCTGGCCTGGAGTCACAGGGAGCTGCTAGTTTGCTATTTTACAAAATACAGCATCAAGGACCGGGTGGCCAGAGCCGGTGCCCTCACCCGCTGTTGGAACCACCGGGGAGCGGCTGGGGTGCTTTGGAGCACTCAACCCGCTCAGCACCTGGGGACCACCTCCGCCGAGGACTCCAGACGCCAAATCCACTTTGGCTAGTCTCCCGGGTCCGCCCAGCGCGGACAGGATCCTGCCTCTAGGATTTTGCCGTTGTCCAGCTCAATATGCAGTCGTGGGGCTACGGCTGTAGTTTGGCATTAAAATTGGGCAGGGGATGAGGCGGAGAGGGTTTGCAAATACACATTTTCATGCAGCTTGTGGTTGAACATGAATGGGAATAAAAGTGAAAGGGTGCACTTTGGAAAAGAAATATAAAACCCTAGCTTTCCACTTAATCAGGTGTTCGTGGGATCTTGGTAAAAGTATGAGCCCCAAACAATCACTCTTTCATCAGGTAGAAATTAATCATCTACTGGGTGTGTGTGTAAGATTTAAGATGAATCAGACTGCCTTGACCTTGGGAGAGCTTATTAGGAAATGCCAGAGAGAGGTGTAGAAGTAGAGTCTGATGAACTCATACTGAAAAGCCAGTTCTTTGCTTGTCAGATGGTTGCTGTTTTTTAAATGTCCATTTTAGTGTGGTTTTTCTGTGACTTCGTTTAAAACTCTGGCAGTGGGCCAGCCCTCTGGAGCCGGTTTTTACCCCTTCAACTAATTAGTTCCTAGGGGCCTGGGAAGAGAGACCCTTGAATCACCATCAGGGAAGGGTTCTTGAAAGAAGGAAGGGTGGGAATGTGGTTGAGCGGTGCCAGTGTTCTGAGGAGCAGCCTGGGACACCATAGATGGCAGGAGGAGGATGGAGGTGAAGAGCTGCCTGCTGGACTTAGAGTCCTTGGAGAAGGGAAGAGTAAACATTGAGAACAGGATGTGAGGAAACTAGGGACAGGCTAATCAGAGGAGTAGGTAGAGGCACACCTGGAGCAGCTAAGGCACTGGCTACAGGGTCTATTACTTAAGGCTGGGAGCCTCCTGGGCGGGTCTGGGTTCAGATGACTTCGAGATGCTGCCGGGAGGAAGGGAGAGGAAAGTCTGGACTGTGTCCAACTGAGTAGTTATGTGATCAGCCCAGGCCCACTGTCCCTCACCCCCAGTTCCAGAACCCAATAAGCTTTGAAGACCGGAAGGTTTGTGTTTTGTTTTGTTTTTATAAGTTTGTGGCAGAATTTTGGCAGTGAGACTTGCCCTGTCCAATGGGGGGCTAGTTTTGGTCTTCACTGATCCCTCTGAGTGTGAATTTTCTTACGTTTCTCTGCAGTCTTGTTGATGTCTTTGATTAAGGGCTGCTACTCTGGGTTGTACCAGAATATATGGTGTATGCATCTTACTACGTTTCTAATGTCCAAAAATGCTGAATTCTGAATCATGGCCCCAAGGGTTTTCAGAGAGAAGTTGTGAACCTGTAGGAGCTTTTCTTGGTAAATGGTAGCAAAAACTGTATCAGAGTGAGACATGGTGAACAAAAGCAAAATGCAGTTCCTGTTAAGAGGCTAATGTTCAGGTAGGGAAGGAAATGTGCTGAGTGGTGATGGGAATTGGGGGTCATCATGGGTGGGGGGTAGGGCGTCACCCAGCGGCTGCCCTGGGCCATGGGCTGGGTATAGGCACAGGAAAGTGGTTGTGGGTGTTTCACACTGGTTTGTGCCAGTTCTTGCTCTGCATTGTGTCCGTGGGTTCAGGGATGGGTCTCCTGCGGAAAGGAGGGACTGGGGGCCGCACCCATGCAGAGGAGAGCCGGGTTGGTCAGAGGAAGTAGATTTGGCAAGCTCCACCTCAACTAGAAGACAAAAGCAGGATCTGAGTGGGAGCCTGGGCTTCTTCAGCAAGTGGGCACCAGCCCTGGAGCTGTAGGAGAGGGTCCGATGCGGACAGTGGAGACACTGTGCATTTCTGCAGCTTTTGTAACTTCCCTGTGTTTGCGATGGCTTGTGTCACCCCGCTCTCTTTCCACATACTGATTAGCATTCAGCCCTTCTAAATGACCAGCACTGTCCCAAGAAAGGGCTGTTAGGGGAGAGCGTGGACACACAGTCTCCCAAGTCCCATCTCATTATAGGTACCTGGGCCAGGGTCCCCAGGTGTGGGAGAGTGGAGTCTTGACCAATATGGGGATGAATCAGTTGGCACGAGGCGGGCTGGCCCTGCTCTAGCTCAGTCTGAGATGGTGGAGCGTGGAATCATATGGTGTGTGTTTTAGGCATGTCATTTCCCCGGGCAGGTAAGACATAAATATAGTAAGGTAGGTCTTTTCTAGTAGTATTGAGAGTGTCCTACTGGGGCAAAGATGGAGACTAAATTTCCCTTTTTCTTTAAGAGTCAGTTTCTGTTCAGCCTGAGTTAATATCCCACAGCGGAAGCCTCCTTAGCAAATTTCAAAAAACCCTGCAGTCTCAACTGCCACTTATGCTGAGCACAGGAAATCAAGTTATTTATAGTTGCAGAACGGTGTTTCAGCGAAGTTGATTGGAGAGTTACCTGATTATAGTGAGATTCTTATCCAATCCCTACAGAATTGTGAGACTAAATGTTGGTGCAGCATGTTTGGTCCTCAAAAGGCAATGTCCAAGAGGAACTTCTTATCCCCGAAAAATCAGGCTGTGTGACTCAGCAAAGGAATTGTTTATGACTGGTTACTCATATGCCAGTGCTTCCAGAATATCTGCTCGTATTTAAAGGAGTGATCTTGAAGCCCCAGAGGCCATAATGTTTAGATTACCAACCTCTTCACCAATCAGTAAGTCCATTACATCTCACTACGTGTTAGACATGGGACAGGAGAAGAGGATTTTTATTACCTCACTGTTATTACTGGAGGCCGCCCAAATTTGTTTTTTGTTTTTTTTTTTTAAATAAAGAAGCTTGTTTTCATGGAATGGACTTACTAGAACTTTTATTATTCAGACTACCTAGATAAAATTAAGTAAATTCGTTTCTTTCTCCCAAATTAAATATTTTGACTACATGCAAGATTTAATCATTCAAAATTGCCATGTATTTGATTATAGACCAGTAGTATAATCCCCCTGCCCCAGGCCAGATTCCAAAACAATAAACCAAAACACACACACACCTGGCAACAGAAATTATATGTATTCCGAGACTCATTCATTCATTTTGGAAAGGGCCAGTGTTTCCAGTGGTTTCTCCTTGGGATTGTAACTTTACAACTTTAAAACTAGGTAAGTAGTTTTCCCTTGAATCTAAAGTATAACTACTTTGTAGTAGAGAAGTAATTTATCTTAAATCACTATAATGAAGATTTACTCTTAATTTTAACCAAAATGTTTCATTTATTTGTGTAATGAAGATGATCAAAGCAACGCCACCTGTGATCCTTCTGTCTTTTTTACTGTATGTGGCACGTGGCTGTGTGATTTTCCTAGGGAAAGGAGTGGGCTTTCCCTGTGGGTTGAGAACCTCTGTCCCCCTCCTCTGAAGTTTCCCCAGTTTTTCCTGCTTCTCTGCTAGGTGGGTGCCTTAGCATGCTTGTCTTCTCATCGTGCTTCTAAACTTCTCTGAACCGGATTTATACTCTTAGGTCAGTAGCTGTCAAAGAAGACACTAAGTAGTGAAAGTAGCTAATATTTACCAAACCCCTGCTGCGCCCACCTGGTGTTTTATGTGAAGGTCTTCTCTAACCCTTGCTGTAACCTCATGGGGAGCAGATCGTTTTCTCTCAGTTTTTCAGATAAAGAGGAAACTGAGGCTCAGAAAGGTCAGGGACTTTCCAAGCCCTCACAGCTAGTCAGCAGTGGAGCCAGTTCAGACCCAGGCCTGCTGACTCGGAACTGGTACTGATAACTGTCACCACTGTATGCAATGCTGCAGGCAGGGGCTGGCAGGTAGTAAATGTGCAAGATATAGCTGTGGCTGCCACGGCTGCTGCTGCTGCTTTTGTCGCTGTTGTCAGCTTTTCTTGGCAGCCCTGCTGTCTCATACCCCAGTATTGGGGCTGAAGGATTTCTTTTTACCAAAGCTGCCTCTTAGGACAGAAGTCCTTGTCTTGAATGCATACTGGGAAGTCTTCACTCTGTCAAACTTTTCTGTTCTCTGCCTGGTAATTTCCAGACAGAAGAGAACATTCAAAGAACGAACTTACTTTCCTTCTTTTTTTTTATTGAGACAGTCGTGCTTGATTGCCCAGGCTGGAATGCAATGGCACAATCTCAGCTCACTGCAACCTCCGTTTCCCAGGTGCAACCGATTCTCCTGCCTCAGACCTCTGAAGCAGCTGGGACTACAGGTGCCTGCCACCTCACCCGGCTAATTTTTGTATTTTTAGTAGAGATGGGGTTTCACCACATTGGCCGGGGTGGTCTCAAACTCCTGACCTCAAGTGATCCTCCCATCTCGGCCTCCCAAAGTGCTGGGATTACAGGCATGAGCCACCACACCCGGCCCAATGAGCTTTACTTTTCTACATAAGGAAAATAATGGTAGAAATGAAATAGCTGTGAAACTTGTTTTGCTATTTTTGTACCATGCTAAAATGTTAACTACTGCTTATGTCGGCATACACCTGAGAGCTGCTGTGATTTAAGCCTTTTTATTTTTCTGGGTATGATGTAACTCCTCCCCTACCTCATCCAAGTAGATAAGTTCATGGAGGATAAACATGACAGCTGCTGTTTCTTTTATAGCTGGTTCCAGGGAATATCCACTGAATATAGGAAAGATTGTCAGTTGCTGTGTGCTGCCCTGGTGCTGGTGGAGCTTTCAGCCTTCTTCTCAGAGGAAACAATTTAAATGTTTTTGTGAAACCCTAGAGGTCTGGGGTTTGTAGGACAGTCTTGAGCAGAGCAGGCAAAGGTGAAGGGAGTGGAGCCCAGACGTGCTGCCTGGAGGGAAACCTGTCACCTGGAGAGGAAACGGCACAGGGGAGGCCCAGCCGCCCTCGCCTCTCAGTCCCGCACGTCTCTGTTAGTGGTAGTCATGGTTCTTGTATTTCCATCATGTTGAGGCAATTGAAGGAAATATGAAGATTCATTCATCTCAGGAAAAGCAAGAAATGTATTAACAGCAAGAGTAGAAGTTCACTTGCATGGAAGATACTGTATAGCGTATTTATTTCTTAGCGCCAGTGGGAGTAGCTGCTAAGCCCAAGATTGTGTTGTGAGGTTTGAATAGGTCAATGTGTGAGTCATCAATAAAGTAACATCAATCATTTTGTTCCCGATTAATACGTTTGCTATTTTAGGATGCGAAGGACTTTAAAGAAGCTTATTATTCTGAAAAGCAAAGCCTGGAGATTTCCAGTAGCAAAACAGACACAGTCTGTGGACAATCTCAGTGTACAAATAATTCACCTCTGGCATGAACCCAAAGAATTTCAGAGGGGAAGGAAGCTCTTAAAGATTACGTCCCCTCCTACTTCTTTAATGAGGGCTGGGGTTCAAAAACCGAGTAACTTATCCAGGCTCACATAACTGTAGGTGACAGAGCCCAAGCTGGAGGCTGTGGCTGGGTCTTCAGACTCCTTTCTTGACAGTCTGCACCTGCATAAACTCAGACCTTTACTGAGAACAGTGCAGCCATAGCTGAGAGAAGCAGTCGGCACCCAGCATTTCTTGGACTTGTCTGCCAGGTCCCCCGAGTGCAGAGGACAGTGTGCTGGCTCCTGGGGCCTGTGGGCCCGGCCAGGAGCAGCCTTGTAAGCTAAAGCCTTCTTTGAAGGTGGCCGTCTTACCGTAAACTTTCATGGTAATTTCAGTCTACTCCATAATTTGTCTGAGTTAATTTTGATGGAAACATAGTGTTTTAAGTAATCAGTTAGGCTTTGATCTCTAACTTTATGCCATCCAAATCTTCATGATGGCCTGAGCACCAGGCACCCAGACCTGTGCTCTGAATTGTGCCGGGGCTGGTTCATACAGTGTGATGGAGAGACGAGAGATCCACACTGGAGTTCTGAAGCTGTGGTTCTCAACCCTGTCTTTTTACAAGTTCCTTAACTTCCTTACTAGCCTGAAATGAAATGCATAGGTGAGAAAGTCAACCAGCGCACATAATTTCGAGTCAATATAACATTTCCTTAAAAAATAAAATACAGGTAGTTTATAGTAACATAATAAGAATTTTGATATAGAAATACTCAAGACCAAGTACACCAGCAGTTGAATGCAGTGATGAGACCTGCACACACCTGTGCCTGGCGTCACAGGGAGGCTGACACAGGTGTGTTGCACTGAGACCCACACACCACCCCTCATGTTGCTGTCTATGACGTGACATTCTACAAAGTTGACTAACTCTCAGGAAAGTTCTGAACAAAGCCAAGTATCATCATCTTCCTTCAATTTCCATGTCGATTGCATTCCTGGAATAGTTCATGTATATTTGAACTGTGTAAAACATATTTTGAGTTTATATGTAAGTTGCAATCAGTTTGTAAATCCAAAAATTAAAAATAGTGGTTTTTCTTTTCTTTTTTTTTTTTTTCTTTTTTTTTGAGATGGAATTTCGCTCTGTCGCCCAGGCTGGAGTGCAATGGTGAGATCTCGGCTCACTACAACCTCCGCCTCCCGGGTTCAAGTGATTCTCCTGCCTCAGCCTCCTGAGTAGCTGGGATTATAGGCATGCGCCACCATGCCCGGCTAATTTTGTATTTTTAGTAGAGATGGGATTTCACTATGTTGGTCAGACTGGTCTTGAACTCCTGACCTCAGATGATCCGCCTGCCTCGGCCTCCCAAAGTGCTGGGATTACAGGCGTGAGCCACCGCACCCGGCCAAAACAGTGGTTTTTCTATCTTCCTGAGCAGTCAAGGGAAAAGTTCTTCCCATCGCAGGCGTGTCTGAATGCGGGATGGTTGGCCGACCTGGCCCTGCCCCCCCGCCCCAATACCCTTAGCTTCTTCCCAATCTTTTTGACATCCCAGTCCCCCCAACATTTCCAAAATGCCCTCTAAGTCAACACTTCCGCCACTGCCAGCTGCCACCCCAGAGTGCCCTGTGCCTGGTAACGATCGTTCTCACAGTCATGGCCGTAGGGAAGGCTCTTTGTGGTTCCTGGGGGACTTCGTGAGATTGCCCACATGAGCATTTCTTTTGGAACTGAGATACAGTGCACATCGCCTCTGGGGGACATGGGGTGGTGGGTACACGGAACCGAGGTGAGCCTCCCTTGCGTTGCGGAGGTGCTAGCCTTGTGCCGTCCGTTCTTGTCCACGTCTGTGCAGGAGAACATCACCCGGCCCACTTGGTTGCTGTGAATAGCAAACTTTAGAGGCCACTGCATCTGAGGGTTGGGGGGTTTGCAGAGAAAACAAAAGTTGGTGGCTGTGGCTACTTCCTATAGCAAAGTGGCTCAGGAAAGGGATCCCGTGTCACAGCCTGGGTACACCACGGCCCCTCCAGGAGCTTGATTCCTTCTTAGCTCAGGGGAAGAATCGCACAAGGACCGAGGCCCCTGCTTGTCTGTGAACAAACTGGCCTTTGTGGCCACTTCAGGCTTCGGCTGCATCATATTCCTGTCACATTCACGTGAGTGAACTTGAATTACATCCTTAACACTTTTCCAAAAAGGTTATAAACTAGACTGGTGATGTATCATGGGGCCTAGAAAAATAATGCTGCTGCTTTTTCACTTCTCTGCTTGACGCTAAAACCTGGAGGCGAAAATGAATGTGTGTAATTAATAGGAGAACTTCCTCCTGTTTGCAGAGTGCTTTACAGCTGGCAAACGGCTTCTCTCCCTGAACAGCCCCGTGGGGCGTCATTTCCATCTGACATCTGAGGAGAGCTGCTGTTCATGGTCCAGTCCTCTGTCCATTGGCCCACTGGGTGTCCCTAATATGCGCTAACAGGCTCCTGGCAAACGGCGGGCATGGCAGCCACGAATCTGCACATGAGCTGTATGCCCTGGGTCTCCCCTGGGCTCTGCGGGGGGAGGTGGGAGCCGCCTCTGGTTCACATGCGGTGCTTTCCAGGCTGCAGGGCCTTCTCAGCCTGGGTGGAAGGAGTGACGTCAGAGTATTTCTCAGGAACTGCCTGCCCTAAAGTTGTGGCTCATAAACCCCTTCCAGCTTCTGTGTAGAATTCTGGACCCCTAGGGTATCACCACAGAGTTTAAAAGCAGAGTAAGAACATTTCCTGTGACTGTAGGGTGAGAGGCCCTGGGATCTGTAATTCTACACTAGGCTGGAATCCCAGAAAAGCTTCAATGCTCAGGAAATGTATGAGCAGTGCCAGGATCCCCTGAAGGAGTGTGGGGCTTTTGAAGCAAGCTGCCCAGCGAGCCTCCCGCAGCACCTGCTGTCCCTTTGCCAGCAGTCAGGGCCCCTGCCCCACCAGTGTTGGTTGTGTTTCTGTTCTTTGAGGAGACCACATGATGATCTTCTGGTAGGAGCCACAAGAAGGATACAAATGCCATTAGAGCTGCTAGAGCCCCAGACGTCACTGGAATTGGGGTTCAGGGTGTTGGGCTGTCCCCACCCTTAGGCAGTACTCCCACTGCCTACAACACCTCCAGCGCAGGCTGAGGCCATGCGAGGATGGAAGCACATGTGGGCTAGGCCAGGAGGGCGTGCGGGAGGGCTCTCCACTCTGCGCTCCGCTGGGGTTTCTCCTTGTGTCCTGGTCAATAACTTCTTCTCTCTCTGGTTCTCCTTGGCCTGAGCCCCCAGCCTGAGCCGGGCTGTCCCTGAGTTCCCTGACCCGGAAGAAGGGACGGCCATTATCTTTGGGTGACTGTCTTCTTATAGCTGGGAATCTCTGGGGCTCTGAGCGGGAGGCCCATGGGGAGCCCTGGAAGAACAGGCATGGGTTAGACTGTTTACCTCACTGCCCTGTGTGCCCTGCCCCGGTAGAAGCCGTTTCTGCTGTGTGGTTCTGTCTAGAACTAGAGCCCCTCAGGGCCCTCTGCATGCCGTGGGGTCCCTTTGCAAAGCACCTCCTAACATGTGCTTTTATCTGTGGCTCGGGATGGGGATGGTGACTTCTTCACGCAGTCTTCTGCAGGCCTCTCCAGCCTGGCTCCCGAGATGTCACGCATGGGTCCATGCAGCCCAGAAAAGACCCTGCAGGGGGAGAAGGGTCACTTTGGTGCCTATCTCCCCAGCTGGCCTGTGGGCTGGGTGCCTGGCAGATGGGGCTCCCAGGGAGGTGCCCCCATAGACTTGGGCTCCACAGCAGGCTGTGGGGCTGGCATTAATGTGGCTGGGAGAGCCTGGCTGTCTTTTTAGCCATTTGTTTCGGAGGCCCTGGGGGTCATACTTGTGCTTCCTCGTGTATTTTTAGATCTCTTATCACCGTACACACCACCTCCCTATCAGAGGGCTGTCATATTCACATATGGTAAAATAAGACGCAACAATAGAACTCGAGTCGTGGTTCGGCTTTCTAGGATTAGGACAAGGAGGCAACTTTGATAGTAAATGGAATCTTTTTTTCCCAGCCATCCCCACCCTCAAAGAGTATCTTGCTGTAAGACCTAGTTCCTGTAAAACTCTGTCTGTGGGGTCCCTGGCCAGGATGGGTGGGATCCCAGGGAAAGGGCCAGGCTGTGTGTTCTGAACAGGAATGGTTCTGGACCAACCATTGTGGGCATTCCTGAGAAGCCAGGGAGCCTGGATCTTGTCAGAGGAGCTCCTCCCTCTGCTCCATCCTAACCCCGCGGGCAGCAGCAGGAACTGAGAGAGGACACGGTGGGGGCAGCGCTGCAAAACCCAGCAGCGGGCCACCTTCCAGCAGCAGAAAGCATGAGTTTTGGTTTTGGGGCTCTTCCATTTCCTTCCTTCTTTTCTTTCTTTTTAAATTTTTGCTCTTTGTTATGAAACAGCAGCCAGACCGAGCTATGCATGTCCTGCTGCACGGCAGGGGCCCTTATCTTGAACGACTCCACATACTGGGCAAGGAGGTGGCAGGGGGAGGGGCTTGTGGGAACCCAGATCTGGGATGGGACTCAGCCAACAGTTTAAAGAGCCCTGTGCCCCCACTACCCAGCCTCAACAATTGTTAGCTTATAGCCGTTTACACCCCACCCAGGTTATTTGAAGACAAGTCAGAGGGAGATAATTTCACTGTACTCCTAAATGTTTTAGTATCTCAGCAAAGATTGTATGGGCAGAGAAAGGAGGCTTCAGGGTGTAGGACCCCAGGAGCAGGCAAGGGCTTGCTCTTTCCCTGTTGGCTCCTGTAGGGTGGGGACAGACCAGCCCCCATGAACCCTAGCGAGGGCCATGCCAAGAAGCCGCTGTTCTAATCTAATCAGTGGAGGATCCAGCAAGCTCGGATGGGAGGGAAAGAATGACTCAACCTGCAGGCCGTCTGGGGTATGCACAGTCTCGTCTCCTGAGTTCTCTGAAGCCCTTTGCAGTTTTTGCTTTGTATCCTAAACTCCACAGGCCCGAACCCTGGCACTGAGCTTGATCCGCTGCAGCCCAGCCCGTTCCTGTCCCCATGCTGGAAGCAGCCTGTCAACTCACTTCCTTGGTTTCCTGTTGCTCTTCCCACCCCATACCTGCTCCCCACATTTCTATCAGAGCCCTGTTTCTAAAACAAAAGTCAGATTCCGCTGTGTTCTTAAAACCCTTCAGTGGTTCTGAATTCTTTCAAGACGAGGTTCCAGATACGGAGGCTGAGGGCGAGGGTCTGCACCCCAGGCGTCTGCACTCCTTGTCACCAGCTCCTGGTCGCAGCCACCCCGGCTCTGCTTGTCCTGTTTCAGGGTCCGGCTTAGGGCTCCTGTCCTGCGGATGCCTTCCCCAGCCCCCCGGGGTTGGGTCAAGTTCTCCAGAGCAGCCCCCGCCCCTGCCACACGTTTCTTCCCCCATGTGGTCCTCATCACATGTACATTGTCACCAGGTGCTTTGCCTGTTTCCCTGGAGACTGGGCACCCAAACCACATTTCAGAAATCCCTCCCACTGTCTCAAGCAGTGCTGAGACAGCATGGCACGTTCACAGCACAGTGCATTCCTGTGGCCTCCCCGGGCCACGGTCAGCCCACAGGCTACTCACAGAAAGTGACAGGCCGTGTTCAGAAGCTCTTCAAGCAGTCTGACGTGGCTGTGGCCCGTCATGAGATTTTATATTTTACAAAAGTGTCAGTCGATAAAGGATTTGTCCTGCGCCACCGGAGCACTGGCCTGAGGTGCCCTGATCCCCGAGAACCCCTGCCTGCACAGTCAGCGCTCTCCCCAATGTCTGCCATCTGCCGTGCCCTGTCAGGCTGCTGTGCCATTCTTCGCAGTGTCTCTGGGGAAGAATTTTGTCGAAACTCTGCAGATGTTCTTTTTTTTTTTTTTTTTTCAAGGCAGAGTCTCGCTCTGTTGCCCAGGCTGGAGTGCAGTGGTGCAATCTTGGCTCACCGCAACCTCCACCTCCCAGGTTCACGTAATTCTTCTGCCTCAGCCTCCCGAGTAGCTGGGATTACAGGTGCCCACCACCACGCCCAGCTAATTTTTTGTATTTTTAGTAGAGACAGGGTTTCACCATGTTGGCCAGGCTGGTCTCAATCTCCCGACCTCAGGTGATCCGCCCACCTCAGTCCCCCAAAGTGCTGGGATTACAGGTGTGAACCACCGCGCCTGGCCAACTCTACGGATTTTCTCTCAGGCATCTTAAGCAAGTGGCAAGAGTTATTCTGTGGCTAAGTGTGTAGTTTTGTGTTCGTGAAGATGGTCATGCATAGGTTTTGTGCCAGTTTAAATGCTGGCTCATATATTTGTTGGTGTTGAGTTAGGCAGATTCCAAGAATTGCCTGTAAGCTAAGTTGCCACTTCCGGTATTGCCAGCACTTTGTTTTCCACATATGAGTCATGTGAGGATCGTAAGGGGGGTAGATGTTCTAGAAGGCAGGGGCTGCAAGGATTTGGAATTGTATTCAGTGACAAATGGACTTCTTTCTGAATTCTAATGTAAGGTGGAGATCGCCATAGTTGACCTGTCTTGGAGGTGGGCTTGCGTGTGTCCCCATGAGGAATTGATGCCCTAACATGATTCATCCATGGGGTTCCTTTATCAGCCCAAGCCCATGTGCCTCCCAGCAAAGGTCATTGTTTTTTAGTCTTTAAATGTCATTATCCCCAAGTGAGGGACAGGGTAAACCTGTTAGGCTGAAGGTGGGCCATGATGGGAACCTTTTCCTGGGTGGAGGGCAGACCCCCGAGAGCAGCGGGGTCTGACAGGGCATTGTTTTGGAGGCCTGCAAGTCTGGAGCAGGTGCAATACTGCACGCTCAGGCAGGCGAGCTCTGCAAGGACCTTTGGCCAGACCCGAGCAGAGCTAAGCTGGAATAGGGTGGGGTACTGAGCAGGCAGGCGGGGAAGTGGGTGGGCGTGCAGGTGCCTGGGACCCCCCTCAGCTCACAGAGATACTCGCCCTGTGAGAGCAGGAGTCACCTCAGACCTCCTCTCCTTCTGTTATCTGCTAGTGTGTAATAAATATCCACAATTCAGCGGCTTAGAATAACACACAGTTATGATCTCACAGTTTCTGTGGTCAGGAGTCTGGGCACATTGGCCAAGCGCAGTGGCTCATGCTGGTAATCCCAGCACTTTGGGAGGCTGAGGCAGGTGAGTGGCATGAACCCAGGAGTTCGAGACCAGCCTGGGCAACACGGCAAAACCCTGTCTGTACAAAAAAATACAAAAATTAGCTGGGTGTGGTGGCACCTGCCCTGTAGTGCCAGCTACTTGGGAGGCCGAGGTGGGAGAATCACTTGAACCTGGGAGGCAGAGGTTACAATGAGCTGTGATCACGCCACTGCACTCCAGCCTGGGCGACAGAGGGAGACCCTGTCTCCAAAAAAAAAAAAAGAGCCTGGACTCAGCCTCTCTGGGTCCTGTGCTCAGGTCTCACAAGGCTGCAACCAAGGTGTCGGCCAGTCTGGGGTCTTTCTGGAGTTCAGGCCCCTCTTCTGAGCCACGTGTTTGTTGGAAGAATTCAGTTCCTTGTGGTTGTAGGACTGTGGTCACTGTTCCTGCTGGCGTCAGTCAGCCAGGGGCTGCTCTCAGCTCATCGAGGCCCCCTCCCACTGGGCAGCTTGCTTTCTCAAAGCCAGCAAGGACACTGACTTCTAGACCCTCTTTTAAAGGGCTTGCCTGATTAGGGCAGGCCCATAGGATAATCTGTCTTTTGAGCAAGGCAGTCAACTGACGAAGGATTTTAATTATTTTTTTAATACTTTTTGCCATGTAATACAGCCTAATTACAGTGGTGTCATCCATTATGTCCATGGTCCCACGCACTCAGTGGGAGAGGGGTATGCAGGGCAGGTACACTAGTGGTGGGAGTCTTGGGGACCAACCCAGAATTCCACGTTCCCACACAGTGGGAGAGGGGTATGCAGGGCGTGTACACCAGAGTCTTGGGGACCAACCCAGAATTTGGCCGACTGCAGTTGTCTCTCCCTCTGTTCCCTTCTGGTGGCCCTTCTTTCCCCCAACCCTTTCCTCTTTCTTACATCTCACCCCTCTGCTCCTCTTCTTCTTCTTGCATGGCCTCCCTTCTCTTTTCCCGGCCCCTCCTCTCTGTTCCTCTGCCCCCCAACCCCCAAGCTGGTGGGCTATGGCTGCTATGAAACCTCGTACCTGCTCTGTACTGGCTTAGAAACTGAGCCAATGGCACAGAGCCACCTGCCTTACCAGGAAGGGCTGCACTTGGCGTGGCCTTGGTCACTTTGCTGGCCCATTGGTAGGGCCGTAGGACGTCACTCTAATGCCTTTCCTTCTCTGTCTCCTCCCTCTTTGCTTTTGTGTAGACCCAAGAGTCCTTTCTTTTGTTTGAGACAGGGTCTCACTCTGTCACCCAGGCTGGAGTGCAGTGGCACAATCACAGCTCACTACAGCCTCAACTTCCCAGGCTCCAGTGATCCTCCCACCTCAGCCTCCCAAGTAGCTGGGACCACAGGTGTGTGCTACCACACCTGGCTAGTTTTTGTATTGTTGGTAGACACAGGGTTTTACCATGTTACCCAGGCTGGTCTCGAACTCTTGACCTCAAGAGATCCTACCTGCCACCGCCTTCCAAAGTGCTGGGATTCCAGGCCTGAGCCACCATGCCTAGCCTGGCCCCAAGAGGCCCTTCACACCATGTAATATGGTCTTGGAAATTGAAAATGGCAACAAGGTATCAAAATCCTGATGCAGTTGTGATTTTTGACACCCCTTGATTTGAAAGACATGGGGTGGGTTGATAAAGGAGCCAAGCGAATAGAACAAATTCCTCATGAGGACACAACCAGGCAACCTCAAGACGACAGATCAAGTGTGGCCAGTTTGCAACTTAGATTAAAACTGAGAAAGAAGGTACATTTGTAATATAGTGTAAGTCTAGGATGGGAGAGAGGGACGTCCCTGTCAGGACCACCCCCATGCCAGGAGCTTGCTGGCCACCTCGGAAGTCCCATTTTAATATTATCTAGGAGCCGGTTGTGGTGGTGCAAACCTGTAGTCCCAGCTACTCAGGAGGCTGAGGCAGGAGGGTTGCTAGAGCTCAGGAGTTCCTGGCTGCAGTGAGCTGTGATCACACCTGTGAATACACACACACACTGCACTTCAGCCTGGGCAACAGAACAAGACCTCATCCCCAAAGGAAAAAGAAAAAAAAAAAAAAGGAAGAAAAAAAGGAAAAGATTATGTAAGACGTCTGAAAACTGTTTATAGAACCATTGTTGGAAGGATTACAGACGTATTCTCAAAAAACACTTCAGTAGAAAGAGGGTGGGGTTTGTTTGATACCAGAAAACCTGCACTCAGTAACACTTATGCCATCGAGCTTACGGGGCTGTGGTATCACATGAAGCAGTGAATACGCATGCAGTTTTTAAAATGACTTGTAAGTTGTTTGTAGAAACAGTTCAGATGCCAGGCTCGATAGCATCATGTCCATTCCTGCTCAAGCATTTGAAACGTTCTCACGGAGCAGAATGTGGCAGAACAGCTACAAGCTGAAAAATACTTATATGGAGGCTGATTTTTTTAGTGCAAGGAAGGACTCCAACAGCTAGAACCGTTCTGCTATGATCTTCATTGTGTTGGGAAAAGGTGGACTCCCAGCACGGCTGTGTTTTAAGGGGAAGCTGAGGGTGCGTGTGTGCTGAGAAGTGACTGGACAGCAGTTCGCTGGGATTACAGTCCCAGCTCCACGCCAGCCAGCCCTATGGCCTCAGATGGGTCTGGCAGCCTCTCCAGGCCTTCACTTTCTGCTCTGTAAAGCGAGGGGTTGAACTGGAAACCTGGAGTAGCATCCAGCTGTTAACACTCTGCTCCATGCATCTGTCAGAGCTCCAGAAGGAGGCTGACTGCCCAGCCCTGCCACCTACAGGCTGTGTGACCTTAGGCAAGTTACTTACCCTCTCTGTGCCTTCGTTCCCTCATATTTAAACTGGGGATGGTAACAGTCTCGGCCTAATGAGGCTGTTGCAAGGAATACATGGCATCATATCCATAAAGCTCTTAGAATATTCCTGCCTAGCATGTGGTAAGGACTTGATAAATGGTAGCAGTTCTTATAACTATTTCTATTGCTCCTGACCACCCTTTTACTCTATGAATCTGGAATTTATTGCTGTATATCTGTTAAACTCTGAACAAGATTTTCTTTCCGCATCATCACTGCTGACCCTGTACTGGGAAGGTGCCCGCTGCTCTGTCCTCTAATAAGATGCCCTGTCCGTTTCAGGCGGAAGCCCGGCTCGCTGCAAAACGGGCGGCCCGCGCGGAGGCTCGCGAGATCCGCATGAAGGAGCTGGAGCGGCAGCAGAAGGAGGTAACGCTTGGGGCTCCTTGTTGGGTCTTTTCACAGTGATTTGCGTGCTGGGCCCAGGGTGCAAGTGCAGGCACCTGTTGCTGCAGACGCACCTGGCTGTCTCACGTTGCTCACGGTCAGAGTGCGTTTGCGCCTGTGACTTCTGCCCAAGGTCAGGCCAGGAGTGCGCATAGCACGGATACCAGGCGTGCCTGCTCAGACCTGCTGGCTCCTGAGAGGGGCTTAGAAGCCTCTTGCCTGCGCAGATCGTCGTTTCTAGCTGCGAGGAGCCAAAATGTTCAGGGTCTGAGCTTTAAGGTCTAACTGTTGTACTAGAATCTAGATCCTCTGGATTAAAGTGGAAAAGAAGAACGGATTAATGAGTTTTTAAACTGGCCAAATTGTTTTATTTAAAAATATGTCCCCCGTGGTTTGTACAGTGTTGATCACACACGGGCTCCAGGTTTCAGGATATCTAGAGCCCGTGTGTGATAGAGAGACGGGAATGAACACATGGATGAAACAGCCAGGAAGAAATTCCTCCCTGGGAAAATGGCTAGCAATGTGTTGACACACCTGCTCAAGCCATTTGCAAGTTATTTTCATCATCTTGAGCTGGAGCTAGGAGTCATTTCTGACAGCATAAGGGTTCTTTAACTCACAGTTATGGTGTGACTTTTTCTGTGACCTCAGAGACATAGAAGCTGAGACCCCCACTCAGTCCATGTTCTCCCGTGGGCCATGCCCTGTGGGGCCAAGGGACCATCCACACTGAGCCCACCCCCAAGAGCTTTTCTTCTTAAGAAGATGTGAATTTATTTTGTTAGACAGAAGTAACCAGCTGCCTTCCCCAGGGTTGATTTTAATACACAGGTTGTTGTTTGGCTTACATAGCCAAATTTAAAAAGGCGAGCCAGTGTTTAAAACCAGTGAGATTTCGGATAAAAATCTGAATTTCCAGATTCTCTTATGGTGGTTGTAGATTCCGCCACATTCCCAGCAAAGACCAAGCTGGCCACATACCCTGCAGGGTCAGGGCCCTGCCACAGGTCTAATGTGCTCATTGCCCTCCGCTGCTAGGAGTTTGCCGCTCCATGTAGAAACCTGCATGCAGAGGCTAGGCAGTGTCACCAAGCCCTGGAACCATCCTGCACACTCAAGCTCTGGTATCCATAGTGGTGCCAGAGGCCACTAGAAGGAATAGTGCTTTTATTCTGAACTGGTTTTTAAATATGTATATGTATAATTTTTTTTTTTTTTTGAGATCAAGTCTTGCTCTATCGCCCAGGCTGGAGTACAGTGACATGATCTCTACTCACTGCAACCTCCACCTCCCAGATTCAAGCGATTATCATGCCTCAGCCTCCCAAGTAGCTGGGATTATAGGTGCGCACCACCATGCCTGGCTAATTTTTGTATTTTTAATAGAGACGGGGTTTCACCATGTTGGCCAGACTGGTCTGAAACTCCTGATCTCAAGTGATCCTCCCGCCTTGACCTCCTGGCCTCCCAAAGTGCTAGGATTACAGGCATCAGCCACCACACCTGGCTTAAATATATGTATTTTAAATGACAAAATCTCAGGTGCTTTTTCACACTGCCCAGTATCAGTGTCTCTGTAGAATGTGTCTGTTCATACAGACACATTTAGATAAAAACGTATTGATTGTATCCTTTTTTTTTTCTTTTTTTGAGACAGAATCTTGCTTTGTCGCCCAGGCTGGAGTGCAGTGGCATGATCTTGGCTCACTGCAACCTCCCTCTCCTGGGTTCAAGCGATTCTCCTGCCTCAGCCTCCTGAGTAGCTGGGACTACAGGTACCCGCCACCATGCCCGGCTAATTTTTTTGTCATTTTTAGTAGAGATGGGGTTTCACCGTGTTAGCCAGGATGGTCTCCAACTCCTGACCTCGGGTGATTCCCCCGTTTCAGCCTCCCAAAGTGTTGGGACTACAGGTGTTAGCCATCACACCGGCCCCATATTAGAATTGATTTAAATATATACATATTGATATAAGATATAACCAATTAGAATTGATTTAAACATATACATATTGATATAAGCAGCTTGTTACAAAGTTGTTGGGCAAAAGTTCTTGATTTAAAAATAACTAAGATGAATTAAGGCAAGCAGTCATCGATTTGAATGGCCCCCTTTAAAAGCAAAGCATCCCTTTATTCCTTTGATTGAAAGGAAGCCCTTTTCTGTTGCATTTTAATTGTGCAGTTTAAGAACCATCTGTTGCTGGACTCCCACGTCTCTGTTGTAATATTCCCAGCCACACGAAAAGAAAAATAAAAAATAAGCCAGGCGTGGTGGCATGCACCTGTAGTCCCAGCTACTCAGGACACTGAGGCAGGAGCATTGCTTGAGCCCAGGAGCCTGAAGCAATGATCGGGCCATGATTGTCCCTGTGTGTAGCCACTGCACTCCAGCTGGGGCAACATAATGAGACCCCTATCTCTTTCAAAAAGTAAAAAAATAAAAAGTAGTTGCTACTCCAGATGGGAAACCAAGTCTTGGGCATTTAATTTTAGTATCATGAAAAAGGGGTGCAGGGCAGCCCTCACTGATGCTTCTGATGAGCACAGGCCTTGCGGAGAACATCTGATGAAATCGGGAAGTCTCACGTAAAACGCCATGGTTTGCCTTCTTCAGCATGAGTACAGATGTCATTTGCTTAGTAGATGGCATTCACATTTTGAAATTCTTCTCCCTACAGCATGGTTTTATCATAAAGATATTTCAGGGGTCACAGGGGTCAAGATATCTCGCCCTGTTGCAAATTCGGCGGAACATCCGCCACTGAGAGCGGTGGTTTTGGTCTGTGCTCTCACCAGCAGGGACCGGAGGAGGGGGTGGTGTCCCTTGCAGGCAGCACCTTTGGCCAACGTCACCTTTTGCACGGTCCTCTGTGGATCTGCAGTCTCGGCTTCCTCATCACCGATGCCTGCACTTCTTCCCTCACGACCGTGGCTTGCGGCTGTGACACAGGGCGGGCGTCGTGGGCGCGGCTGTGGACTCCTGCCTGGGGTTGGTCACGGACCAGGAGCCAGAGCCACCCAAATTTACCAGGTTGTGGAATGAGAGCCTGGGAAGGTGGGGGACATGTCAGGAGGGGCAGAGAAATGAACGTGGCCAAGATGGTGAGTGAGGACACCGAGTGAAGCAGCTCTACCGGGGGGTGGGGAAGCCACTCCTTGTGGCAGCAGAGGATGGACATGGCAGACAGGAAGCTGCCCTGGGAGACGAGAGCCAGACGAGGAAGGGCCAGCCCAGTCAGCCCAGCGCAGCACGCGTTCCTAACGGCGGCAACGGTGCCTTCATGAATTTCGGGTCTTTGCAAGGCGGCAGCATTCCTGTTTAAAGTTTATGTCTGCTTCTTCAAAAGAGGGATCGAAAGATCTTAAATAAGATAGATGTGTATTTCGTGACTAGTCAGAGAAGCCTGGGGCGGGGGGACATCCCAGAGCTCCTGCCGTGTGGCAGAGCTGGGCTTGGTGCTGTCACCTACCACTGGTGACGGGCATCTTCCCAAACTTTACAGGTGAGGAAAACAGGCCTTAGGGAGATACACAGTTTTCCCCAAATCCAAGAAAATAGCCAAGCCAAGATTCAAATCAGATTTGACCAGATACAAAGCCTGTGGTCTTCCTAGCTCACCCCTCTGTCTCAAAATCAGTTCTGTACCAACAATAAAAACAAGAGTGGAGGAGGGAGTGAATCCGTGGGCCATGGGGTTGAAGTTCACATTGAGGACGCTGGCACGCACAGCAAAGGGGGAAACAGAATGATCCACATAATCCTAGTCACTTTCCAAGTGGAAGCATGCCTTGAAAAATAAAGTTCTCCTTGGTGTGGAATTTGAGGCACAGGAATATGAAACATAAAATATACAATTTTCTTAGAATTTTCTATAAATACAGAATGAGTAGCTTTCACCTAGCTGTGCTTTTATGTGACCCAAAGGGTGGGGCAGAGGCCAGGAGGAATGTACTCGTGTGTGCGCACGCATTCGTGTGTGTGCGTGTGCATGTGTGTGTGCATGTGTGTGCATGTGCGCTCACACACGTGAGCATCTGTGTATGCATCCAGAGGGAAGAGTGAGTCGAGCTAGTGGGGTCTGAGCTTGCACGTCTTCGGGCCATGCCTGGAGGATTTGGGAAGGTGCACTGACGACACCTCCCTCACGCTCTTCTTTGCATATCACATCTCTGGGCCTGGCTATTATTAGAACCAGCTAACATAATTTGAGGTTATACAATCTGGTAGCTTGGGGCACTGGCATTTTAAGTTGTTGATTAAGGGGAAATGAATACGTTTTGGAAGACCAGTGTTTAAAGGGTAGGGTTGATACTTTGGTGTAAAAATTGAGAAACCTGATCCCTGTTTTCATCGGGGTCACAAGCCATCCCACCTGCATGCAGGCGTTTCTGAGCAGGCTCAGGGTTTTCTTGAGGGGGCCGCTCTGAGAACACCGAGAAGGGCAGGAAGCTGACCGGGGTTGGTATCCCCCAAGGAAAGCATGGAGCGTGTACGGAGAGGGGAGGTGGCGAGGAGACACCAGTGTCGGGGGCAGCCCTGTCCCCACAGCATTATCAGACTCCAGGCCAGCTCTAGCCCACCCTGAGCTCTCTTTCTTGAATGGTTCTTTTCAGCACACAGACGGCGAGAACCCACTACAGCTTACTCTAGCTGCGTTCCGGGGTCTGTTTAAAAGGATATGAGCTCTTTTTTAATGGATTTGTTAGGGGAGAATAATGTACATATTCTTGGGAAATTCAAGTGAACCTTGAACTTCTTAGGGAGAACCTACACTGATAGAAGAAAATGGTGATCATTTCTCTTTTCTTGCTGCTGACTTGATAAACATTTTGGTTAGAGATGCTTTGTTTCTTACAGTCATATTGTTGGATGTAGTCACATGTGTTCCCCCATATAAGACTAGAAATGCCAACTTCTTGGTCTCGCAGTTTTGGCAGTGCCTTCAATAATGCCTGATATGACAAATGTCTTAATGAATGAATGAATGAATGAATGAAAATGAGTAGCTATCTCAGTTTTATCTAGTGATTACTACAAAATTAAAAGAAACCTCTGAAGCAAACGAATATGTCAATGTATGATAATAACCTCTTTTAGGAATATTTCTGTTATATTCTAATGATCACTCCATTTAGCTGGAATTTTCCTGTTATTCTGTGTGTGTCTGTGTGAATCAGAACATCAAAGCCTCTTTCTTCATTATTTGTGAATTTGACCAGTTAACTTTCCAATTAAGTTTCTGTACTTTTTGATTAAACTTTTATTACCGCAAAAAGAAATTCTGAATTAAAGATGAAGGAAGTACTTTTTCTCATTGATGGCAATAGGTTATACAGACTTCTGTATTAGAATAATAGCAGTATTTTTGGTAAGATTCGTGTGGCTATGCCCCTATTTCCCCAATGTATCTAAAATGAAATGTAAAGTAAGTGATAAAATTACAAACTCTTGTCAGTGGGACCTCACCTGTTTTCTTATTCACATTTTACTGTATTCGTTGTGACTTGATTCATATGTCTAGTTACTTACAGAACCTTTCATTCTGATGTTACTGCTTCTTTAATTGGATTTTACATTTCTTTTTTCTTCTGTCCTTCTCTATAGATCTATCAGGTCCAAAAGGTAGGCTCTTCTTTCTTTATTTTCTAACTTGCATGTACTGTTTTTTCCTTGCCAAGGGCCTGGTCACCTTTCAGAAATAACACCTTGCACTGAAGATACATAGAAGTTCTTACTGTTTATTTTACTACTTTGTGTATGAATTTGTTTGAACAAGAATGCCTAGATCCTCATCTTGCCCCACTCAAAGCAACAGTCAGACACATTTCTGTGTACTGAATGCTTTTGTCATCTGCATTTTCCTCAAGAAATGTAAAAATTGTTTCTTTGAGAAGAAAAGTAATTCTAAGGCAAAATTATATTTCAGAATGTGGATAGCCTTCTGAAATTATGTATGGAAAGAAAAAGATGATTTTATTAGAAAACTTAAAAAATTCCATACAAATTACCACACATTGAGAGATTATTAGATATTGAGTTAAAAATCTGAGTAAAAGGACAGTGATGATATAAAATGAACCTGCCATTCATCCCTAATGCTCAGAGATCATAAAATGACGTGCCTCTCTGTTTCCTAGTATTTTGTAGAAGCAGCTGAGGTTTAGAAGTAAATACACTGGGCAGGCCAGATACAGAAAATAAAGACAAGCAAGTCAGTGATTCAAGATCTAGCAAAAATGAAGTCAGAAGTGAGCGAGTTCCTTGAGAATTTATAGAATTTGTATACACGGGAGTCTTTCCCATAAATGAATTTAGTTTGATACTTAAAACATCTGTGATAGTTTCCTTTTATAAATTTAGTTTCTAGACAACAACTGTATTTTTCTCTTAGAGCAGATGAGAAAATCAGAATAAGATCACTTAATTTCGGAGGTTAGAGCACACAGGCCTCGGAATGCACGGGCAGTAAATTTAAGAGCCTGTTGTGTTGGATTCCTGTGCTGGCCATGATGACGAATCGCCTTCCCTGCTGGAGCCCTGCACTCTGCATAGCTGCTGTCCCGAAGAGTGCAAAGAAATTTGTTAAGTAGATGCCAGAATCTCTTGTGCTTGACTAGTGTTTCCAGGGCCCAAGTGTAGAAATGGATATTGCAGCTGGAGTTCCTGGTCGTCCTCAGAGAGCCTCGGGAAGAACTGGACAGGTGCAAGGCCAGGCGGGGAGCCCTCCCTGTAACTGACAGCAGGACGCTCTCATCCAAAACCTGGAAGAGGGGCTCTATCTGGTCGTTTCCACTTGCATTCATGCCTTTCTTGTGCTAGGTCACATTATTTTCTTTTTACTAACGTGCCAGGGATACATTGTGAGAACTTTGTCAGAATGTGAATTTGTGTAGAATGTGAAGCTAGAAGGAGCCCCGGAAACCTGCAGTGGAGGAGCAGAGGCACAGTTTTGTAGTAAAGGTGTGCCCAGGGAAGGGAAGGCTTTCCTCATTGCTGAGATGTCTGGGGAGGAGAGGAGGCGGCGATTGCGCCTCCGGCCCAGCCAGCTGCTTTGCGGAACAGTTTCTCTGGAATCAAAGCTATTTCTGAAAGTAGCGCGGCTCCTGCTTCCCTCCGCATGGCTTCCGGATCATGGTAGTGATTGACGTTTGAAATGTTTGCCCTTCCTGGACTTTGCTGTGCTAGTGCTGCTGGCTAACCCAGGAACTACTAGTTAATTGCACTTGCTGTTACTAGGGGCGTTCTCTCCCCAGGAATGACATGGAAATGCAGTTACAGTAGCCACTTATAAGACCACCCATGAACGAGGTGAAAGATTTTCAGAACTGGTCCTTTGTCATGAAAAGAGCAAGTTAGAGTGTGCAGATATAATGGGCAAAAAGAAATCTATGAAAACAGAAAAACTGACAGTACAGATTCTTTTGGAATTTAAATAATTTTATTGTGAATTTATATAGCCCCCATCCTTCTAAAAACATATTTTGCTTCCCTCTTTCTAGTTAAGCCAAAAAATAAGGGAGGAGTGATGGCATCATATTTTACTTGTGAAAAATCTGGAACTTGGCAGGTGCTAACATTAATTGAATGCAAAATAGCTTTAAGCTGATGCATTTCCCTGACATTGAAGTTAAAACATGACTTTGGGATGTTTGTTTTTATTTCCTTTCTGAATTTATATTCCAAGGGAATAACCTACAGAAAAAGATATGGCTCATGTCCTTTTTGTCTTTTTTGTCCTTTTTGTACTCATGTCCTTTTTGTATTATTGAATTTTTAAAAGTATTGTTAAATTCTCCCTCCTAATTTCTGCTCTTCCAATTTTCTACTTACTGTCACCTCTAAGAGAAAGAGATAAGACCGTCTGAAAACTGCTTATTTTTAAATCTGGCCGCCCTTCGAAATGAAACAAAACCAAACATAGCAACAGCATGTTTTTGGTTATTGTAAAACAATTTCAAAAATGGTCTTGTATTTCTAGCACCTGATTTTTTCTCTTGATTATAAGATTTTAATGTATGAAGAGAAAACTCACATCTGTGTTATAATGATACGGAAGTTTGCTTAGTTGTTTCTTGATTTTCTTACTGGAAATTAAATAAAAAGGAGAGAAGCAAAACCCCATTATTTGGGCCCATGACCTGGCTTCCCACCTACCTTTGGGATTCCCTGATTGAGTGGCAGCAGTAGCCGTTCTGAATCTGCTTTTCTCATTTTAACTTGGACCACTGAACAGGATAAAAACATGGAAGTATAAGCTAAAGCAAGCTTGTCCAACCTGCGGGCCACATGCAGCCCAGAATGGCTATGAATGCAGCTGAACACAAATCGTAAACTCTTTTAAAACATTATGAAATTTTTTTTGCAATTTTTTTTTTTTAGCTTATCAGCTATCGTTAGTGTAGTTTATGTGTGGCCCAAGACACTTCTTCCAGTGTGGTCCAAGGAAGCCAAAAGATTGGACACCCCTGAGCTAATGTCACCTCCAGACATACATAACTTGTGGGTCTGCATATTTTTCTTCTGTACAAAGACCTCTTCTGTAGGTGGCAGTCATCTCTCCATCCCTGCTACAAAGACAGCAAAGTCTATGAATTCTCACAGGCCTAGACTCAGCATAGACATCAGGCAGCTAGAACAAGCGTCAGCACGCAGTTTCTCCCCTTCTCCTCTCAGTTTCCCTGAGGTCCCAACACCGGAATGGCTCTGAGCTTCTGCTTCTCTTCGATGGTGTTTTATTCCTTCATCGCGTTTGCTTTGAAGGCATGAGCAGCCTGTTGGAGGGGGCGTGAAGGCTGCTGGGCCGGCTTTACTGTCCTGCTCTCCCCCGAGGCCCTTCACCTGGGGAAGCTTCGTCCTGGGCTCTCTTGCTTTGCCGGGATGGGGTGGGCTGGGAGGATCTCTCTTCACAGCTCACAGCCTGCATGACTGCACGGGTGGCGGTCCCTGTGGAGAAGCCAGGCCTGGTGCCGACTGCTTTGCCTTGGCGTGTTACCTTCACCACACGGCTGGATGGCGGTTTGGAAATGCATGTCAGAACAGTGCCTTAGACAACTGCCTTTTTAAGAAATTTCACTTCTTGCCTAATTTTCTTTCCCTTCTGTCTATAGAAATATTATGGGCTGGATACAAAATGGGGTGACATCGAGCAGTGGATGGTAGGCCTTGAATATAATTTTGTTTTTACTCTTCCCTCCCCACTTGAATACAGTGTTGAGACTTAAATGGTTTATAATGTAATTCTTACGCAGTTTAACTATGTAGATAGATTCCTATTGCACCATAATTTAATACTGAGAGATTTTCTTCCGGGGATTTCTGCATCTGGTCTCTGTTTACATCCCCAAACGCAGCCTGCTTAGAAACAGTCCTGGTCTTGCCTGTTTGGTAGCCACTGACTGCTGATGTCTCCTGGCCAGCAGTTTGGGGAGGTCTCCACTACCACAGCCGCCCTGATCTCCTCGAGCACAGGGCTCTCCACCAGGACTCGGGCTGGGCATGCGCCCCTGGCTTGAGAACTTTCCAGAGAACATTCCCATTGGCTTCGCAGCTCACCAGGCTGTGGTTGGAACCTGAGAGGTACATTATGCTCCATTTCCTTCACTCATGATTACGACCAGCTGCCCCATCGCCCTCATTTAGACTTTATCTGCATTTGCTGTTGGGTTCTCTCTTCATCTTGTCCGCTGTGCCTGCCGAAACCACTGGTCTTTGGTAAGAAAACTCCTTTACCTTCTCCACCTGCTTCCTAGAACAGCCCCTCTGCCTTCCTGTGGATGGAGAGCTAGCCTGCCCCTGATGATACTCCTGTCCTTCTGGCTTTCTCAGGAAGCAGCGGCACCCACATAGGGAGGCTGCGGAAGGGGCACAATCTGTGTGCTTTCCACTGGTCCCGAGAGAGAGTGGCCTGGCCCTTCTCGTTAGTTCCTCTACCCGAGTCCTTCTACCTCTTCCTGTCCCTTTTGCTTTATTGCCTGGCCTCGTGGACTTCATCACATGCTTTTAGCATTTGAGAACCTGGCCAGGATGGAAATGTCCTATTAAATGTTCCTTATACATAAAATGATCTGAGGAAAATCCAAAATTATTTCCTAACATCTTACGTACTGGGTATAAAAGAGGTTCGCTCTTCAGATATACAGAGCACACACTTACTGTATTGAAAATATGATTACATTCAGCCTAGGCAAACCATCATTTTAGGCTTACATGACATAAATGTATTTTTGTTAAATCTTAAGACATTTCTGTCCACAGGCATGGTGATATAAGAAAGAGAAAAAAAGAAAAGAAATATTTAAAAAATCTTTACACATTCTTTGAAGTTGTATCATTGTTTTATATACCACTGAGAAAGAAAAAATGCTAATTATAACTGAGCAACTTGGATTATAAGATACATCCCCAGCTTCAGAGATGTCCAAGTGTGAAAAACCGTGTGTGTCTTAGAATCCACAATACATAGTAGAAAGAGTGACATCCTTTTCGGATATTGTGTGGAAATGATTTATCTTCTGATTCCCGAAGAGAGTGAGGTTCTGAAAGTAAGGGGAAAAGTAGATTGATTTAAATGGATCAGATGATAGAGGTTAGAAAAAAATTAAGACCCAGCTTCTGCCCCAAACACTGTTTTTACAACAAAAATGAAGTATGCAAATTATTTTTGTGCTTAAGAACCTCCCACCCCAGAAAAAAACATTTTTACCCACTGGTTTAATTAAAGCCTTTAAATGAAGGCAAAGAAAATATTTATGTGACATTTAGATCAGAACTGCTGTATTATGGTGCAGTGGGACTACCTAAGCTTTTTTAAAGCACTTTTCCTGTGTCCATCTGTCTCTAACCTTTTCATGCTGTTTCTTCATTGTTAGGAAGACAGTGAGCGCTACTCTCGTAGATCCAGAAGAAACACATCGGTTAGTACCGTGTTCATTCATTACTTGGGCAATTTGATTGAATTCTAATTTATGCTTGCAGTGGCTGAAGTATATATAATATATTCAATCTCTTAATGATGATATCATCTCTTAAAGAAATTAACTAATACTATTAATGATAGAATACTGATATTATTACCTAAATAAAGACTATGAACTTAGCTTTTAGCATTTTGACCTAAATTTGATAAGGAGAGTGTGTTTGAGAAATTTTTCAGTATTAATATATTCATGACAGCTGTAGTGCTTTTTGTGCCATTGAATACCCATAAATAATCTGCATAGTAATATACACCAATGCTGTGTATTTATATTACCCGTGAGATAAAGAATACTACTTGGATGAAATTACTTTTTTTTTTTTTTTTTTTTTTTTTGAGACAGAGTCTCGCTTTGTCACCCAGGCTAGAATGCAGTGGTGCGGTTTTGGCTCACTGCAACCTCCACCTCCCAGGTTCAACAATTCTCGTGTCTCAGCCTCCCAAGTAGCTGGGACTACAGGCGCCTGCCGCCACACCTGACTAATTTTTGTATTTTTGGTAGAGACGGAGTTTCCCTATGTTGCCCAATCCGGTCTCGAACTCCTGGGCTCAAGTGATCTGCCCACCTCGGCCTCCCAAAGTGCTGGGATTACAGGCATGAGCCACCGTGCCTGGCCCTGAAATTACTTTTTTTTTGAGATGGTGTCTTGCTCTATTGCCCAGGCTGGAGTGTAGTGGTGCAGTCTTGGCTCACTGCAATGTCTGCCTCGTGGGTCCAAGTGATTCTCATGCCTCAGCCTCCTGAGTACCTGGGATTACAGGCACGTGCCATGACACCCGGCTAATTTTTGTATTTTTTGTAGAGACAGAGTGTTTCGCCTTGTTGGCCAGGCTGGTCTCAAACTCCTGACCTCAAGTGATCTGCCTGCCTCGGCCTCCCAAAATGCTGGGATTACAGGCATGACACCACACCTGGCCCTGAAATTACTTTAAATCCATATTGCCCATAAGCAGACAGAGATCCACAAAGCCCATGCTGTGGAGGACCTAGACTGGTGTCCCCTGAGATGTCCAGGGGTGGCTGGCCCCCTCACTGCTGTGGGTTGGGGTCAGTTCCCAGCATCCCCCTGAAACTTGGGCACTGGTTCTTCATGTATGTTGTATGATTCCTTCACGGTTGTTCTCGTCCTTTCTTTTAATAGGCTTCTGATGAAGACGAGCGCATGTCAGTGGGTAGTCGTGGAAGCCTGAGGGTCAGTAACCAGAATGATGGAGTTTGCATGGCACAGTTTCTGGTCCAAGCCCTTTACTTTCTCATCCCCGCATTCTGATTTCTTCTTCATTATCCCCGTGGTCTGATAGTCAATATTTAACCGATGAGATGCTTACTTAAAATCAAATCAATGGGGGATGTTTCTTTGTTGCTGTAGAGAGATGATTTATATGCATAGGCACGTTGGTTGTTTCTTTCTCCCGAGATGAAGTCATCTTTTTTTCAATACTTATCCACATCACAAAGCTCCCAAGCCTTGATTAGCACAGTTGTCTCAGCACATTGGTGTTCCACAGGAATGCAAAGGCGCGTCTGCCCTTTAGTAAGTCTGTATCCACTGACACCCATGCTCCTGGTAAAATCGGAACCTCTATTAAAGTAGCTGTAAGTTAATTATTATTGAGCAATGTTTTGGCATAGCCACTATAGACTGCCTGCTGAAAACCTGGACCAGGACTGGATCCGTAAGGTCTGCCTTCAGCCGCTTTTCCTTGTATCAGTTATAATTAGATCTCTTTACCACTGATAGGCTTAATGGTTAATCAACACAAATATGGACTTTTCCTTAAACATTCCAGAAACCTTAATAATTATACTTGAAAAAAGTGTGAGTTTGGGGGGAAGTAAAATAGAAAAACTATGTTTTGCTCAGTGCTTTAAATCAGTGAATTAACCTGAGCATGTCAGTTTCTTTTACTGCAGGATTGAAATTACATCTCACCGCTAGTAATAAATAAATCTCAAAGCAGCCACTCGCTTTATTAATCCTTAGGGACCACATAGAGCTGAAGGCTTGTTTCTCTTCACTGTGGCAATTAAATCCTATTACTCCTTGACTTCTTATACATGCACTGAGTGTGCATGTAATTTGGCCCTTCCCAATGATAAAATGCAGAGGTGAAACACGGTTGCTGTGCTGTGAAGCCACTCTGTCCTTGTCAGTGTCCTTGCAGTGCCAAAAGCAGATCCGTAGTGATTTTGCCAAAAAACTGTGGTTCAAATGTGAGGCCCCGTGAGGGCTTCCTTGCTGTTTGAAACCTTCTCCTGAGATGTAGCCTCAGGGATGCTGTTGTAACCGTTACCTCGGGACCGTCTGACCCCACTCACCCCAGAAGAGGGAAGATTTATGGATCCAAAATAGAATAAATGCAAAGCTCAATTGACAAAGTCTGTAGACAAGGCCCAGACATCACAGCTGTTGAGCAGGCCCAGGAGAAGCTTGAGTCCTTGAAACCAGTGAAGAAAATGCTGTTTCAGGGATGAGGGGGAGCGACCGAGAGAGGAGGAAACTCAGACTTAGCGGTATAGAGGATGTCAGTCACTTTGGCAGGAGAACTTTTAACGGAAATATTGAGGGCAAAACCTGGTTAATATGGGTTCAAGAGAGAATAGGAGGAGAGAGGCACAGAATCCCAAACTGTCTCTCTCAAAATGCATCATTTTCAGAGCCACACCCTCCTGAAATTGTAGGCACAATTTCAGATGTAAGATGTGTGCACTTACATTTTCCTGGGAAAAGAATGTTCAGTTTCTTCAGATTCTCAGAGGGTCTCCTGACCCTGAAGAGTTGAAAACCATTGCAATATGAACGAGTATTACGGTGTTATGTAACAGCATTCATTTCATTTTCAATGATTTTTAACCAGAAATAAGTTGCATCTTTCTGCTGGACACCACTCTTTGCCGAGATATCAAGTATATTTGTTTTAAGAGCTGAAATTTCCTATAGGATGTTCACCATTAGGACAGTACATAAGATGGGGAGGAAGTGGATGGGATTTTCATTTTCAGCCACATGACACTTTCCCATCAGGTACTTGATCTGAAGAAATATATTCCTCAGAACTTAAGAACTTGGATCCTGGAGATGAGAGTCAAACCTCCTAATGTTTATAGGCACCAAACAAGCCCAGAGTGGTGAAGAGGCCTGCGTGGGGTCACAGTTCTTAGGAACAAGGCCAGTGCCTGCTGCTCAGGGCCCTGGTGGGCTGTGTGTCCTCCGTGCGCTGGGTTCCCTGGGCTCTATGCTTGCCCCTTTGTACCACCGAACAGGGCACTCCCCAGAGTGAGGACTGGCATCTCGCTCTATTTCTATGCGGGGCCAGTTTCTACTGTTTTTATGTATTTTAATATTATGAACTTTTTACATTTTTGATTGTAAGATCGTATCTTTTATTTATTGACTCTGAAAACACAGGCCTTCTTCATTTAGCTAGAAAAAATGATAAACCCTAAAAAAGGTGGGGAGGTGATTTATACTACTCTGGAATTTGTATGGATGCCTCCTCAGAAAGTCTAGATTTTGGATTTTCTAGAATTTCTCGAGTTTAGATTTTCTGGAAAATCTAGATTTTTAATTTTCCTTTTTGAAAATTGATGACAGTGCATCTGTTAACCTTTGCCCTTTTGTAACTAAAATGGATTATGTAGAAGAGGAAATAAGATTTATCAAACTGTTTCAGACTTTGTGAATTATAGCAGCCTTTGCCATGGAAGTTTATTGAATGCTACTGGATTCTGTGGTAGCTACCATTCTGACATAATTCTTTTTGTAAATACATATTAGATCCTAGAAATTATGGAAAAATGCATTTTTGTTAAGATTTTAAAGATTGCTTGTATTTATGTTTTACTTAGCTTTTAAATTTACTTTTGGCAACTCTCTTTGCTGTTGTTTTTTTTTTCTGCCATCTTTCTTCTGACAGTCGCAGCCTGACTTGGAGTATGGGGGTCCTTACGCCTGGGTGAGATGGTCGGATATACTTTGCTGTGTGACCTTAACTGTGTGGTGTGACCATAATAACCTGTGGTATTTCCACGAATCTCATGGGTGCTTTGTCTCCAGTTTTTGCCTGGGGGGCTATGAGGCCAGGAGGGCAGGCTTACCCTGCAGAGTGAGCAGTCTTCCTCCTGGGGCCTCCAGGGTGCAGCCCTGATCCTGCCGGAGGGGAGGAGCCCAGGCATCTGTGCATGAACACTCCCTCACCAGATGGCCTTTGAGCACCAGCTGTTTGCCACGCCTTGTGTTAGCAGCTGTGCATACCAAGATGAAAAAGATAGTGTCTGCCTTCAAGGAACTCAAATCAGATCAAGAATTCCCAAGGCCTCTACATTTGCTTTAAAAGATTAAATGTAAAGCCATTTTACCTAATGAAAAATCCATTATTTTCCAGTCTATATCCATTCAAATTAAATGTACAATCTGACTTTTTTTTTTTTTTTTGCCAGAAAGTATTCTTTGAGAAAACTCCTAACTTCCAGTAACAAAAACTAAGGCTTTAGACATAAACTCAGAATTACTTCTTATATGTCTCTGACAGTTTCTGTGCCTTATGCTTTCTAAAAGTCTGTCAGTGTTATACTTCAAGGAAGAAAAAGTTCTCAGAAAGCACAGCTCAGCATTAAAGTGATTCGATACTGAAGTTATTGTAGCATATTATGTACTATTTCACCTGAAGGACTTTACCTAAAAGCAGTTTGTGCTTCATTTGCTCCAGTGCATTTCAAAATTATTTAGTAAATTCTTGTTTTAAAAATGTATTTTTGTGTTTGCAATTATAGTGAATCAATAGTAGCATACATCTGCATAGCATATTTGGTGCCCTGAGCCTCCTGTGGGACGGCTGTTCTGCTCTTAACAGATACAAGAGCAGAGGCTGGAGTGAGTAGCTCGGGAGTCAGGACAGGGGAAAGCACAAAGACAGGGCGTTAGATTCAGAAAGCGCTCTTCACAGAGTATCTGTTACTTACCTACAGAGCACTGCAAGTCGCTCTGGCAGGTGAGGGCATTTCTGTGACACTGTAACTCCAGCAACTCTCCTGTTCTTTAAGGAATTCAATGTGTTAGCAACATATTTCTAGATTATTACTCTTTTTATGTTAAATTCAAAGTAAATTTTGTTTAAGAGCTAGCCCCCAGTGGGATAAATGTATATGTTAGCAATGGTCAGGAACACATTTTGGATTTTTTTTTTCGGTCTTAATTCTTTTTTAAAATTCAATAGAATGCATCAGGGATCGAACTCCAGAGTTTTGACGTCACCTTCCTTGTTTCCTTTTCCATCTCTAATGCCCTTTACATGTGCTCTGTCTTTTGACTCATGTAGAAAAGACATCTAACATTATTCATCCAAAAAGTTGGCAGTGGACTTTTGCGTGGTCCCATGGGAAGGTCACAGACGCTTTGATAACACTGCGTGGTAGCCATTAGCATTCGGACTAGTCACAAGTTACCGTTTTCATAGGGCATTTACCCTTGTATCTTATTTATCCTGTATTAGAACATACTAACTTATGTGTGTCCTCTTTATTTTATTCTCTCTTATGGCAGTGTTTCTGGAGAGCTTGTTAGAGTGCCTGTTCCTGAGCCCTTTCTGTAGGTATCCTGATTCCCTAGGCAGTGGCCCATGCTTGTGGGAAGCATGCCAGGTGTCCAGGAAGCAGGTGTGAGACCCAGCCTGGGAGCATGGAACCAGCAAAGTGAACAAGCCTGTGTACCACTTAAAGCTACACAGTACAATAGAGCGAAGCTTGTTGAACATCAGAGACCCAACTTAAGATGAAGTTAATATGCTGCCTATGGACTTTTGTTCTAATATTGTTCAGTTAACTGTCAATGCCCCTTGCCCTCTTATGCCACGTAAAAACAGCCCCACCCATCTAAATACAACACAAAAAAACACCATCCAAGAGGAGAAAGTTAGCAGTGTTCTTTAAGAAGGTCAAAGTACTTCTCCCTATGGAGGTATAGTCAACAAGATCCTATAGATTTGGGAATACATTCTAGGAACATAGCCCAGGAATAGGTTCCTTATGATAGAATTCCATTACCACAGACCTGGTCATGGAAATTGCTTTGCAGGCTTTCCTGCAAAGTAACAGTTTTTCCCAGGTTTTCGTAGAAGGCTGTAAGTGGAAAGGTGACAAATGAGAGGATACTGTCATGCTTCCAGCTTGCCCAGCCTTCTGCTCCGTCGCTGCAGGCTGAGCTGGAGAACTACAGTGCAAAGGACAGGGTTCCGCCACAGAGCTATGTATTTCATAAGCAGCAGTGGAGAGCCAGAGGCCTTGCTTATGTCATACATTTCTCTTCCTCATTTGTTAGTAAAGTCAAAGTCATCTAAAAGTGATTAACATTAGCCTTCATTATTTTATTAATTTCTTCTGGAATCTAGTTTCTGAAGACATAACAAGGGATTGAGATCTAAAATTTGCAAGTCCTTGACATGCATTTTCATGTCAAATAATCTTGTTGCTGAAGACATGAAAGGAAATTAGTCTGAGTAAAACTCTTGCCAATCTCCAAAGATTTTTACTATTAAATTTATTTCAGAAATGTTTTAATGTTACTCATAGAGTTCTCAAATTTAATATGGAAGGATTTCTACACTCCTTTTGTTTCAGAACTTCAAATTGATTTCTTGATTTGTTTTGAGTTACAGCAAAGATAAATATATAGTTTGATAGTCAAAGTTTTATGAATCTGGATTTATAATCTGTCTGGAAATTCAATTTTTTTTTCTACTTTAATGTCATGGCTGCAAAATATGTGCTATACAGCACCCGTCCCCCGGATAAGGAACCATGTTTAGCACCTCCCATATGCCAGGCCCCTTCCATGTGGATTCATGTATCCACCCAGTCAGCTGGTGATTCATGAGGGCACTGTTCTAGGTGCTTGAGATACTCATTTTCATCTCATTTAATCCTCACGATGGCTTTGTAATGTATTTATTATTATGCACATTTTCACGGCTGAGAAAACAGATGTTCAAGTGCATTAAATAATTACTTAAGGTCACATGACGGAGCTTCTTTGTGGAATTTGGACTCATGCCCAGGACCTGATGGCGTCTCCTTCCATTTTTACCAGTTGTGTAGACTGCTCCTCCTTTTTCTGTCCCGAGAGCTGGTTTTGTCTCTGATGCTTGACAGCTCTATTTTGAATCAGCAGAAATTTCCTTATAGATGAATTAAGGGACATTTAGAAAGCCCATGCTTTGACTTAAGGGAACCTGGGCTGGGAACTGAGAAGAGAGGGATGATAGGCATGCACTTAGTAGAATCATTCTCCTTTATTCTGGAGGACACATTATGAAATTATTAAATATGTGTTCAAATTTCATTTTGAAAAATAAAGTAGGAGGGCTGGATGAATAAAAAACTAGTATAGAGGATATACCCCACGATGAACTTTTGCGTTTAACTATAGATTGACTAGAAATAATTTCTGAGGCCGGGCGCGATGGCTCACGCCTGTAATCCCAGCACTTTGGGAGGCCAAGGCGGGCGGATCACGAGGTCAGGAGTTCGAGACCAGCCTGACCAACATGATGAAACCCCGTCTCTACTAAAAATGCAAAAATTAGCCGGGCGTGGTGACGCACGCCTGTAATCCCAGCTACTCAGGAGGCTGAGGCAGGAGAATCACTTGAACCAGGGAGGCAGAGGTTGCAGTGAGCTGAGCTCACACTACTGCATTCTAGCCTGGGCGACAGAGCGAGACTCTGTCTCAAAAAAAAAAAAAAAAAAGAAATGATCTCTGAATCTTCTGAATTATGGCCCATAGCATCACAATGTGCCATAATTTTCAAAGACCCTGAACCAGGAACTGAAAACTCATTGACTCAGGCTGAATCACTACCCATCGGCCTGGCATGTGGCTTCTTGCAAGCAGAATGTCCACAGAGCCACCATAAAACCAGAAACAGCCTGACAAGGAAATGGCCACACCAAGCCCAAATGTTCCACCCCGTGGAGGGACTTGGTGCCACTTTAAAACTAAGAGTGGCATGTGACATGAAGCCTACTGACTTGGTTAGCTTGACTGCTGTTCCCTCCTGAGCTGCGGGGGAGCAGACGGCGGCAGGGATGCAGTTTGGGAGCTGCCAGGACTTGTACTGTCCTGGACTGGTCATTCATCCGCTCCACAAGAAAGGTCACCTTATACCTGGCTGGTTGGTCCCTGCTGATTTGTACCTGTGAATTCATTTGTGTACTGATGTCAGTTTTTCTCTTTTCTTCATTGAAACAGACAAATGGTTATGATGGAGAATTGTATGGATCACAGTCCCTGAATAGAAGATCTGGCAGGGTTAGTATAGTAAATTTGCATGGCTCAAAATTCAAATAGGTTGTTTCAAAGCTTCTAGAACTAAAAACTAATTGCTAAATTTAAATTTAGCTTCTTTGCTGTTTTTAAATTTTAAAATCGGTCTGTCTTTTTTTTCCTAGCACATGATGGAATGAAAGATAATGTTTTTCAACTAGCAAACATTCTGAGAATGTTAGCCCTCCAACATTCTGATTGTTAGTATAAGGGGTAGATATTGATAAGAATCTCAAGTTTTAAAAGATCTGAAATTAAAGATTAACTCTTTCATTACTGTATTCCCCTGGGTGTATGTATATAATGTGTGTATTAAGTATATTCAGCTTTCAAAGATACTAAATCCAACATTTTCGCAGTCTCCACATCTGTCATTTGTAATTTTAATGTTTACCTTAAAGGCATGTGTACAAGCACCTGTGTTTTTCTGGAGAGGAAAAGGAGAATAAAACAATGCAGATGCTTGGAAGGCTCCCAGTTAAGGGGTGGGAGGCAGGAAGGAGCTGGTGGAAGGAAAGGGTGCTGCTCTAGGGGGAGAGAGAGGGAGTGGTGCCAGTGGCAGGGGCATTAGGGAGACCGGGCGGGGGTGGGGAGGGCTTTGGATTAATCAAGGACAGGAGGTCATTGGGGATTTTAGAAGGTTACACTGGATACATTTCCATTAAGCTTCACGATATCCCACAGGTCCATTCTGTGTGAAATGGTCTAAAAATTTCCTGTTCTCATGCTTCATTTTTTTCTTTTAGTAATATTCCTAATTGTGTAAAATAGTATTTCTTTTCATTTATCTTAATTATGTTATATTAAGATATCATGTGTATGCTTAAATTATACTTTTGGGCTTCAAATGAGTGACCCCACCCAGACCTTCTTCCCTCTCCCCGACCAAAGCCGTCTTTAGCTTTCTGAAACCAGCTGATCAAGTTGTTTTTACTTGCTCATTCCTATTTACCTATTTAGCATTGCATGCACTTTAATTATTTATTTTTTGAGACAAAGTCTCGTGCCCTCACCCAGGCTGGAGTGCAGTGGTGCTATCTCAGCTCACTGCAACCTCTGCCTCCTGGGTTCGAGCGATTCTCCTGCCTCAGCCTCCCAAGTAGCTTGGATTACAGGCATCCACTACCACACCTGGCTAATTTTTTTTGTATTTTTTAGTAGAGATGGAGTTTCACCCTGCTGGCCAGGCTGGTCTCGAACTCCTGACCTCAGGTGATCTGCGCACCTCGGCCTCCCAAAATGCTGGGATTACAGGCATGAGCCATGGCACCCGGCTGGATGCGACATTTTAAAAATGTATACTCAAGACACGTAAAGATGGCCTTCAGGGCATTTGCACTCTGTGGATAAGGGCTCTCCAGTGGACGGGTGGCAGCAGGCTGTCACACTCCACCCACCTTTCTGGCACCCCAGGGCTGAGCTATAGCCCGCAGGCGGGCTGGGCTGAAGAAAGATTGAAAATTTTGCAATAAATGGAATTTTAGTTACCCAAGGAGATAAGACAAGGAGTTTACTGACAACGCAGTGTGAAACTCAGTAATTACGAATCGTGCTAGGGATATGAGATTGTGAAAAGCAGTACTAGATACACCCCTGGCATCACCAAGACACAAACACTGAAGGTGAAAATACAGCTTAGAATCTCCAGTTGTTAAGAATCTCTGCTGTACTGTTTGTGCCTCGCGTCTTTAGATAAACTAGCGTTCCTGGGCTCCTAGTGTTGGCTCGGTTGTGCTGTTCCATGTTCGCCTTTTGAATGGGATGGGGGTGCTTTTGGAGTCGTAAGGAAGTGCTTGTCACTTAAACGTGTTTTCTTCTTTGGTGCTCAGAATTCCAGCTACAGCGGTGACAGCAGATTCTCTACTTTGTCATCATCCAGGGAGGAGAAGTTGGTTGGTTTCCATTTAAATCTTTCACATTCTCTTCAGAAACCGCAGATTTTGTAGCATGCAATCTTGTGTGTGTGGATTCAGCTCTACTTTTCTCTTTCGGTGTCTGTTTGACGGATTTTTGTTTGGGTAGCTGTGTTATTGACGTGAAAAGCAGCAGTTAACATGAGCTCCTTCATTCAGATGTACTCCAGTGTGCTGCGTTTGACCACACCAGCTCGAATGTGAATTGTGGCATTCAGCTGGCTGCAATGAAAGGACGTGTTTTTGTGTATATTTTCTAATTAGAATTAATCAAAAGGAAAAAAATAATTAGAAGAATGCTCTTGAATTCTTGAGAGTTTCTGAAAACAGAACTACTTTGAAGAGTACATGCAAACTTTGTGGTGGTTTCTTGGGCATGGACTAGACTTGGAAGGAAAATCCAGAGTCTCATCCAAATCCACATGTTTACACAACAGAGTTCCTTCCCATTCTCTACAAACATGCATCGGTCTTGATAAACATAATTTCTAAATTGTTTAAGAGCCCTAAAATTGCTAAGGCTTGTTGGTGTTTGTTTAGGTTCACATTTACTCAGCAAAATTGGGACTAGTTTAGGTAGGAAAATCAAGCAGGCCCTGGGATCACAAAGCTAAGCAGAGGAGGTGGGTGCTCTCCAGGCACTGACATCTAGAACAGAAGCCACCGGCACCGGAGACCAGTACAGGAGTGAACAGATGAGTAGATAGAATGGGAGGGAGACACTGGTTTTGCCAGGAAAAAAGATGTGAGCTGAACCTTAATAAATAGGAAGGGCCAGGTGTGGTGGCTCACACCTATAAATCCCAGCACTTCGGGAGGCCGAGGTGGGCAGACCATGAGGTCAGGAGATAGAGACCATCCTGGCTAACACGATGAAACCCCGTCTCTACTAAAAATATAAAAAATTAGCTAGGTGCGGTGGCACATGCCTGTAGTCCCAGCTACTCGGGGGGCTGAGGCAGGAGAATCGCTTGAACCCAGGAAGCAGAGGTTGCAGTGAGCCAAGATTGCACCACTGCACTCCAGCCTGGGCGACAGAGTGAGATTCCATCTCAGACAAACAAACAAACAAACAAACAAACAAATAGAACAAATGAAAAGAATAGGAACTAACCAGGTAGAGCCTAGAGGGGAAGCTCTTCAAGGTAAGTAGCCATTTGAGCAGAGCAGAGGCCGCGCAGAATGGGCAGAACCCAGGAGAGGTGCCATGTGGCTGAGCACAGGGTGCTGTTGGAGCTGTTCCGTGAACCTGGTGACTCCAGTAGCAGCTCCCACGCTGAAATCAGAAAATGAAATCTATGCAATTCCTCTGCGATTTCCTTTAGCCACTCCCATGTATCATTGACCTCATTAAAATGCTTCTAGAAGAAATAGCTCTGACCCTTCCCCGCCCTGTCCCCAATTTCCAGCCCCTATTCTCGTTTCCCTCCCGGGGGGTTGGGGGGTATCTTTTTCTTGCCAGGGCACTTCTTCCTCACCTCTTCACCCCTTGTCCAACCCCTTCATGTCCAGGGAGACTGCAGAAGGTGCTGGCAGCTCCATGGCGCCCACTGCTTGCCACCTTTCTCAACCCTTCCCATAGTCCCCCAGTCTGTAATAAATCCCCCCACTGTAAGCTGATGGCCCTTCTGTCCCCCAATATGTGAATTTTGACTCAGTATATGATCAGCTGTGAACACCAAAGCATCGGTGGGTTTAACACCTTGAAAAAGGCTTTGGGCATTTTCTTAATTCAAGAGATTTTGCTGTTGCAGAGGGCACTTAGTCATTAAGAAAACTTCATTTCCAACTCATTTTCGATAAGCTGAGTTACTTGCTCTAAAATAAAAGATGGCAATAAATATCTCATCTTTGGATATGAACGATTCACCCAAGTTCAGCCTGCATCTGACTCACTTCAGTCCATTTAAGAGAAATAACCCACATCCAAAGGGTTAAACATCAGAATGAGAGCTGACTCATTCAAACAGGGCCACATGTGAACTCGCCCTGAGCCCTGTGTGCCCGTGATTTGCTGCCCGAGGGCTCTTGTACTCACCCACCCTCAGAACCTTCCTGGAAATTGTGCTCTGTAGACATCTATTGCTGCCCAGTACGTGGTGCGTTTAATTTTATTTAAATATAATAATGGAAAGGTATCAGTGTAGAATGTAGTATTGATGACTCTTCCTAATATCAATTAAAATTTATTTCAATATTTAATATCAACTAAAATTAAATATTTTTTTCTGTGCGTGAACTCAAAAGTCCTAATTTGGCCCCATCTCCTAGTTTTGTCAGTTGCCTGGCCCAGCCGTCTTTATTTCCTTCTGACCCTCGTTCTCTCCCTCCCCCGTGAGTGCATGCCTGTTACTGTTTTGGTTGTATAAGGTAATCGTCTCTGAACTCACTGGACTGATGTACCTTTGCGATGCCGTGAGGGTGTGAGCCTCTCTCTCCTCTCTGCTGCCCATTTGCTCTGATTACAGGGACTCTCCGGCTCCAGCCTTGGGCTTGCCGGTGGTGGCCTGGCTCCCACACCCCTGTCTGCCCCAAATGGAAGCTGGGTCTGTCTCCTTTTCACATCACTTTGTCGCTCCTTCCCTTTCCTTCTGTGCATCACTTTAATTGCTGATTACATTTAGTGGATAGTTCAGCCTCCTCTACACAAAGTCACAAGAGCAAAGCTTAGCAACTGTTTTAATTGGCTTGACTAGTTTGCTAAGACTTTTGTCAATCTTTTAGAAAAACCATGTCAAATAAGTTAGAACCTATATAGAAAAGGAGACTTAAGGAAAAGGAGGGTTTTATTAAATGCATATTTTCAAAAACTCGAGTCCAAAAAATTGGTCTCTTGGGTCTCTCCTCCTTTTCCAGCAATTGTTCCCCATTTGGGGTTTCATTTGTTTTTTTAAAAATATTTTTTCTCTTGTAAATGTGTCCAGGAAGCAATTTGGAAGGTTTTTGTGCCTAATCTGCCTCCTTGGTCCCTGAGAAGTGGACAGAACAGTGTTATTCCTTTGGCTGGGTCTCCCCGCTGTTTCCTGTTTTTACAAGGTCAGGTTCAGGTCCGGCCCTGAGGTGCTTGGCCTGTTAGCTATAGGTATCGAGTCTTATTCTAATCCAAGGAAGTCGGTGTCAGAGGTGAAAGTACACGTCCTATTTGGAGGTTGAACTGTCCCTCTCCCTTGCATGTCGACTGGAGCTGCTGAGTGATCACCGCCTGGCCGTGCACCTTGCCTGACTTGCTCAGTGTGCCCTGGAAATGAGTCCAGATTCTGTCCCGTGGCACAGTCTCTGGACACTGGGAGCTGCCCTTGTGTCCCAGCCTGTCCCTTCACCAGCACTGCCTCCCCCTGACGTGTGTGCTAGGCAGGATTCTCCTTTGACAGGGCTAGACCGCGGCTCCTCTGGGGGTGCCTCCCACACCAGCTGAGGCAGCCTTGCAGTGACTCCCTTTGTGTCTTGAAGACTGTCGCTGGGCCCCTGGCATAGAAATAAAGACTCTTCCTGCTCCTGTCTTCATGTGTGGACATCTGCGTATTGAATACTGCCAAGTGTGTCGTTAACCTTGGATTTGAGCTGTGGGTTTTGTTGCTGTTGTTGTGTTGACCTTGTCACCATTCTGTCTCATCCCCTGACCCTTTCTTCCAGGAATGCCTGAAATGACTAGAAATGATCGTGTTTTAAAGATGCTGGGAAGTTTACTGTTTTAAAGTTAAAAATCATCTCAGTTATCTTTCTTGTAAATTTTGGATTTGCATCTATCAAATTTGCAGAAAACACGGTGCCTCGATCGGTTTGTTTCTGTTTAACCACTGTACAGCAGTTGGCTATGGTGAATGCTGAAACTATCGTGATGGCCTTTTGCTGTCATTTGTTGCTGTTTTTTCAAGGCTTTTAAAACCTGCCATTTGCTTTCATCCTCCAGCCCTCCTGTCTGTACAGCGCTGCCCGGCCTTCGGGGAGTTACCGGGTGCGTGTGCTGCCCACCCTGCTGCCCCGCACCCCCTCCCACTGTGCATGCACCGCCCCCACCAAGCCCAGAGCCGGGGATGTGCCTGTTCCCAGCCCCCTGGGGGAAGTTGCACCTTCACGTGGAGCTTACATGTGCCAGTGGGGAATGTCTGTCCCCTTTGGCCAGATCTGGGTTTTCTCTCCCCCGATTGTTGACTGTAGCTGCCACACTGCTCTGTCTCCAGGAAGCCTTGTGTTTGCTGGGATCGTTAGGCAGGAATGGAACAACAGCAATGTTTACTTTACCTATTGGCAGAAAGAATGGTGGCTTTTTAATGCTTTGGTAACCTGGACAGATACTAATCCATGTTACTATATTACTTTGGAAATTTCCAGTTTTAAATATAAGTACTTATGCTATGCAAGAAACGTAAAGTAAATACTCAAAGTAGCTATATTGTCTTGTTAATAACCTTTTTTTTTTTTTTTTTTTTTTTTGGAGACAGAATCTCCCTCTGTCACCCAGGCTGGAGTGCAAGGGCACGATCTCGGCTCAGTGCAACCTACGCCTCCCAGGTTCAAGTGAGTCTCCTGCCTCAGCCTCCTGGGTAGCTGGGATTACAGGCACGTGTCACCACACCCAGTTACTTTTTGTGTTTTCAGTAGAGACGGGTTTCACCACGTTGGCCAGGCTGGTCTCAAACTCCCGACCTCAGGTGATCTGCCTGCCTCGGCCTCCCAGAGTGCTAGGATTACAGGCATGAGCCACCACACCCAGCCATTAATAACTTTCTGAATTTCCATCAGATTGCATACTTATGTGTTTGATATATTAATAAATGGCTGAGCAAACTAGTATGTCCTCAAGGGAAAATAGGGAAATTAAAGTTCCTTTATACCGGGCAAAGTTTGACATCACCATTTGTGGCAGTGTAAGCTCCTGTTTACCCACGTTGATTAATTAAGTAGCATTTTCCAGTTAACCAATTACTCTTTCTTCTACTTAGCAACTTTTAAAGGGTTATAAAATATTTAACATTAAAACTATAATTAACATAATTTGATATTTTATCCCAAAGTCACTTCACATAAGAGTAATTTTCTAAGCATCAAGTATGAGAATGCCATGACAAAATTCAGGATGTTCGAATTATCTGCTCATTTTAACCTGGATTAACAAGTTTTCACTTAGGCCTGGGATGTTTTCCAAAGTAATAGATTTAAATGGTCTGTTGGAGATTACATTGCACACCTCCTGACAACGACTAAAACCGGTCTCTCCTCATTTCCTTGTCGCACTCTGCAACCCTTTGAAGAGCTGGAAAGGTGGTTCTCAGCCTCCCCTGCATGCTTTTTCAGGTCATGCTCCTGGCACGTGTCAGTTTTTCACAGCTCACGTTTTCAGCACTTTCTGGGCACTCTTGGAGAAAGGAAGAGCGCCCATCCTGACAGTCTCTTTTGGTCGCAGGCGTCTGTGTTGGATGAAGGCAGCTTCGGTGGGACCCGACGGGGCAGCACCTCCGGCTCCCGTGCTGTAAGGCGCTTTCGGTGATACCTCCTTTCCCCCGTGCCTGCTGCATGGCCTGGGGATGCTCGCTGGGCAGGGTCCAGCCGTGGGGGGTGACTGGCCATTCTCAGGAGGAAGCGCCGAGTCACCGGGCTAACCGCCACCTTCCATTGTAATGAAGGTCACAAATAATGTGAATCAGGAAACCTCTGGTTGTTGGTTTCATGTCCTCACTCATCAGGGAGAGTAACTTGCACTGAGTTTCATCTGCTCTCTCTGCAGCACGCCAACCATACTAACAGGTGGTGAAACCGTCTTCGGTTAATAAAAACGGGAAAAGGACAACTTGACAGACCACACATCATTCTCGTCCCTGGATAGTTGAGGAAGAGGAACAAATTTTAAAACTTGGAATGTTACGCATATTTCATTCCCTGTTTGTATTTTGTTGTCTCTCTACCTCTTTCTTCAATTTGAAATGATAGGCTCAGCTATGAGGGTAAAGATGTAATAGGTGCACCATAAACATTTGTGAATGAATGCGTGAGAAAAGCAACAAGGTAGAAAAATGAGATGGAACCCGTGGAAGTGGGGAGACGAATTTGCGTGTCCCAGGGACCTGTGGAAACGGAGCGTTCAGTGCTAACCGGTGCTCCCTGGCGGTGGATCTCCTGTATTCAGAGGCTCCTCCCCAATCCTATAAAAATGTCTTCAAGCCCTCCAGGAAATAGAAAGGTTTACTAAGAAATACTTGAAATGCTTTTATAATTTTGCTTTTGAAGTTTATCAGCTACTTACTTGACTAAATCCAGTTTTATGACTTACTATGCTATTTGTCCAGCCATCATGGATATTCATGAATTCTTATGGTGTAAGCCAGTCTAACCTACAGTTTTCTTTAAAATGTAATTTATGAATATTAAATCCAGTAGTTGACATAGCATTCGTTTTTGTCGACAACTGATTACACATTTATCAACTTTTATATTACATAAGTTGTTCAGTATTTTGCAGCCCACTATATAACATATTTTTCCCAGTTGGTAAACATTTTCATAGGCCATTAGAAAGCTCATAAACCATGCATGAAGAATGAAATAGCCCTGCCTATGATGTGATGGATAAAGCACAACTAATGATTTTCTTTTGTCAGAAAAGAGGGAGAATACTAATTCAAGAGAAATTTCCCCCAAGCACCAGGTGGTTTTCTGGTGGCTTCAGTAGAGAGTCTAAGATCTGGCAGGACGGAGGGCTCCTGATGCTCTCCAGATGCTACTGTGTCACGTCTGAGATGGGCTTCGGGAGTCGTCAGCCCTAGATCCTTGGCCTTCATTGCTCTTCTGCGAGCAGTGATTTCTGTGCTTTTAGCCCCCACAAGAATTGCCTGGGAGTGATGGCCTTAGAGAGTTAAGAAAACAGGAGGTCATCTTGTCCTGACAGCACAGCTGCCTAAAATAGGGATGGTCAGCTCTGCTGTGAGCAGGAAATTAGCACCATGAGGAAGACGGAAGGGACAAAGAAGTTCCTGACCTCCCAACCTCTGCCATCGTTTCCCTGGAACCCTCACAGTTCCCCTCCAAGTGGATACTCCGTTCCTTATGTTTACAGGAGGGCCTTGGGAGAGAGCCACCCCTGCTCTCGGTCCAGCGTGTAGGGAGGTTATGGCCCAGGACGGTGTCCAGAGCGGCCCCGGCGCCCAGGCCTGAGGTCCCAGCCCCAAGTGGTCGTGACCTCAGGGTCCAGGCTTCCCCCAGGCCTGCACAGACAGCCCTGGTCCTGCTGTGGAGGATTTGCCCTGCCCCTGGAGGACCAGGAATTGCCCCCGCGCAGCTCCTGAGTGTGAAGTGACTTTCTTCGGTGTTGTGACAAAGCTGGGACGTAGTCATCACCAGTGGCATTGTCTGATCCAGGAGCCGAGGAAGTTGTTTCTGGCAGAAAGTGGAAATAAGAAGCCCAACATGTACCCCCTTTCCTAGTCCTCAGCTCCTCCATTTGGCCCACGTCCTTACTTCCATGTCACAGATGCCGGGCTAAGGAACTTCCACAGCCACGTGGCCAACAAGAGATGGAGCCATGATTCAGACTTAAAGCTTTCTGACTTCTGCACATTAGCCACATAACTCCTAAACATAAGGTGCACGTGGACCGTGGCGATATAGACTTTCACTTTGTTCTTTTCTGCGTGATTAGGTCCAGTTGGAAGGTTTGAGAGCTGCTTTTGCTTAGGGAAGCTGGGGTGGGCAGTAAGCTCTATTCACAACAGTTCACTGTGTCTTTGCACCATAAACCAGGGCATGAATGGCATAGGATGGAGAAGGATTTGCTGCAGGATGAAGTTTTCCTCTCTCTTACATCAGGAAACCCTCAGGCAAAATTCTTCTGCTTTAAAGTGTTGACATTAAGTGTTTTCCTTATTTTCAACAAGAATGCCAAAAAGTGAGGCTAGTAATACTGGTGATTTTCTTGTATATCTCAAATGTGGCATTGATGCTTTACATGTGCTGTGTACACAGCAGTATTAATCTGTGAATCTGAAACAACGTCTTGCCCCTGAGTGTAAGTGTATAGTAAACATTTATCAAATAAAATAGAGGTGGATGGGTCTGGGGAACTTGCCCATCTTGTCCACAGCCCTGTACATTTAATGCTTTCAATTGACATTTGATGGTTATTTTAGTCTACAGTTGAAATCATTCGTTCATTCAACAAGTATTTCTTGAGTTTGCCAGGCCTCATCTGGTCACTAGCCCTGGTGAGGAAACAAACTAAGAGATGGTATTTGACATGAGATCATGAGCACCCCTGAAGATCTATATGAGATCACAAGCACCCCTGAAGATCTGGATGAGATCATGAGCACCCCTGAAGATCTGGATGAGATCTGGAGCACCCATGAAGATCTGGATGAGATCTTGAGCACCCCTGAAGATCTGGATGAGATCTTGAGCACCCGTGAAGATCTGGATGAGATCATGAGCACCCCTGAAGATATGGGCTTCCTTATAATTCGCAAGCAGGGCACTTCGGCAGGTCCCCAGCAGAGCCTGTGAGGCCAGCAGAGGGTTCTGTGCCCAGCACAGTGCAGGGTGTCCAGGGGCTGGAATGGAGGGGCCTTCAGCAGTGGCGAGGCTTGCTATATGGTGCTGCGTGGGTCTCTCTTGAAGATGCTCCTCAGGACATGTCGGGATCCTAAATAGTGTTCAAATCCTGCCCCCGCCCCACCATGCCTTGCTCAGGAAGAATATGAGAATGTTTATAATAACGTGAAAATGTATCTAAGACTAGCAGATGTGAACATAAATCAAAGTTACAAGGGCGTAGCTTCCAGATAATCGAGTTGCTGGTATTTTCCTTTACCAGAAGTGAGAAAGTTCAGGTAAATGGATAGACAGATGTGTACATAGCAACCACCCAGGTAGAAGGTAATCTGGCAATTTAAAAAGCCATACATAATTTTGTATTAACCCTAACTCTCATTTTGCTTCCACTTGGAAAGATAGTGGAGAAGCAAAATTTTTGTTCCCTTGCTAAAGCGCCAAGCGCCCTGTGCAAGTCTTCAGTTTCTGTGCCGGAAGGCAGCTTAAGTTCTCAAAACAGTCATTTCCACATCCACGGGGTGACTTTCTGTGTCTACACTAGGTGTGACTGCACACCCAATTGAACGGGTGCTTTGTGTTATTTTCTTCTTCCTAACTCTGAGAAATTCTGTGTTCCTCTGATAATGTGATTGGCTTTTTTATTCTTAGCGAGCACTGATTTGAATATGCGTTTGCTGTCTAACCCTAACTCTCTTTTCCTTGCCGTGCGTGGCTAACCTCACCACTTACTGCAGCATGTTTTCTGTCGGCCTCTATTCTCCTTGCTCCTTTGCTGACCCTGTTCCTTTGTTTCTGGCTGCGTGTCCTGGCGGTGGCTGTGTGGGCAGCCCTCGGAGTACAGCGGCCACCTCAACTCCAGCTCCCGCGCCTCCTCCAGGGCCAGCTCGGCCCGGGCCAGCCCTGTGGTAAGTCGGCCTCCTGGCCTTGCTCCTACTCAGTGTCACCCTCCCTCCCCCTTCCCTTATCCTCCTCTTCCAACGTCTCCAAATTTAGAATATTACTCTGCGGTGATATTATTAGGATTACATTGCTCAACTTTTCAAGGACCGTAAAAGAAATTGTTAGCTGTGCTTAGAGATGGGGATCTTAGAGGAGGCAAACTTTATACAAAGGGAGAAAATAATATAGCCATGTGCACGGATGTGTGGTTTTCTTTTTATGATTTAAAAATTTGAAGTATTGACTGTTAATGCTTTGCTTGAAGTGTTACCTGTGATCAGACCCCGACAGTGTTTAAGGTAAAGCGTGGCCTGTAGATCCCGGGACGCTCCCAGTTTGGCCCCAATCATTCGTTACCCTCCTGGTTCTCAGATCCTTCGAAATGTGCAGATTTGCAGCCCTGCATCCTGCTTGTCACTCAGCGTGGCCCAAGTTTTGTTTCAGAAAATAGGAGCCCTATTAGGTCATCCCCAGCTTGTTAAGTCTCATTATTGTGTGTTTTCCCCTGGGTTGTTGGAATTTGACACAGTTTTACCTGATGTGATGCTTGAAGGCGACCCTATGACTCTTTTTAAAGGAAGAGTTTGCAGGACGGTTTTGGACTGGGGCTTGTGGGAATGGAGGAGGGGAGGTGGGCACATGGCCGGGGAAACAGCTCCAGGCTGCACGACCAGACCAGCGTTCCCACCCTCAAGAGCCAGTGAGAAACCTTGGGGAGAAAAAGCAAAGATGGGCAAGGCTTCCCTGTTCGTCTCCACTCATATCAAAATTTCCAGCCTGAGCTGGGTGTGGTGGCTCACATCTGTAATCCCAGCGTCATGGGAGGCTGAGGCAAGAGGATTTCTTGAAGCCAGGAGTTGGAGATCAGTTTGGCCAACATAGCAAGACCCCCCATCTCTAAACAGTAAAAAAAAAAAAAAAAATTAGCCAGGTGTGGAGGCACGCATCTGTAGTCGCAGCTACTCAGGAGGTTGAGGTGGGAGGATTGCTTGAGCCCAGGAGTTCGAGGTTGCAATGAGCTATGAGTGCCACTGCATTTCAGCCTGGACAACAGAGTGAGACCCTGCCTCTAGAAAACAAAAACAAAAACAAAAACTTCTCCCAGCCATCGAGAAGTTAAAATGTGGCTCTTAAGTTAGTTACTGAACACCATACTTCAGCGTGCTGATCCCTACAATTTCTGTAACGTTCCTAGTAATCAACCAAGAAGTCGCAGCGCTGAGACCTCCTGCTTGCGTGGATGTACCTTTTTTGGCGGGCTTTTCCTATTGTGGTGCTGGTGGTTTGTTTGTGTTTTAAATTAGATGCAGTCTTTTAAAACTGTGAGGTTTCCTACCTCGCACCTGATACCTGCATTCAGGTATCAGCAAATGCAGGTATCAGCTTCTTTGGGGGAAGAAAACCCAGGATCTCTGGCCACTTGACTCTGAGGCTGCCTTGCAGAACTGCACAGCCTCCACCCCACCCACTATTTTCGTGACCCCGAGGCCACGGCCCAGGTGCCATTCATCACTGTGCAGCATGGCTTTCCTGTGCTAGAGGAATGTTTATCTCCTCCATCCAGCCATGGAGAGCAGGAAAATAGAGTTCAATATGGGTGGGCATTGCAACGCCAGCGCCTCTTTCTCTGGGGGAAGACTCTCCCCTCTGTATAAGTTGCAGACACCCACTCTTGTCACACATTTGGCTCTGCCCACCTGGCCTCACAGGCATTTGAGTTTGTGTTCCACCCCTCCCCATCCCAGAGCCCAGCAGTCAGCAGTGAGAGAAGCCAAATGTGTGCAGGGAGTGCGAGGCGGCAGCTACCATGCAAACTCCAGGGGCACACCGCCCCCCAGTAATCTCTCCCCAGAGTGCATCAGGCAATAACAGGAAGATACTCAGCTGTTCATTATGACATGATTTCCCATTTTCAAACCTGACAAGTTGGTCTTGATGCTGTTATTCAAATAACTGAAAGTAAATGGTTGTGAACAAGGAATTTCAGATCACAGACTCAGTAAGCCTGGCCAGCCCCCAAGGCTGTGTCTTCCTTAAAGTTGGGATCTCTGTATTATCTCATACTCTATAGTAGAGCAATAAACATAAGCTGACTTATGTGATCACTTAAAACTACCAGGAAGAAACATTTTCCGTAATAAATTTAGTGTAGGATTGCTTTGTCTTCTCACACTCACTTTTCAGAAAAGAAAATGTAAGTATTGCCAGGCGCGGTGGCTCACACCTGTAATCCCAGCACTTTGGGAGGCTGAGGCAGGTGGATCACTTGAGGTCAGGAGTTGGAGACCAGCCTGGCCAACATGGAGAAATCCCATCTCTACTAAAAATACAAAAATTAGCCGGGTGTAGTGGCGCATGCCTGTAATCCCAGCTACTTGGGAGGCTGAGGCTGAAGAATCACTTGAATACAGGAGGTGGAGGTTGCAGTGAGCTGAGATCGCACCACTGCACTCCAGCCTGGGCAACAAGGCAAGGCTCCGTCTAAAAAAAAAAGAAAAAAGAAAAAAAAGAAAGAAAAGAAAATATAAGTATTTACAATTGACAGAAGAATGTTGTGGCTTTACTTTCAGTGAATCCCAAACACGCTTAATGCCCTCTGTACCCTCTGCCTGGTTCCAGTGAGACATGACAATTGGATTTTGTTAAGCATTGTCTTTATTCAAGCATATGATGAAGTCTCAAAATAACAGGGCTCAATATAGTCACTTAGAGATTGAAATGACACAAATTTCTTTGTCATACGAAATTGACCGAAGAGACTGAAATGATACAAATTCCTTTGTCATGTGTTTTCTAAATTTGTATAAAATTTACTCACAGGTTTATTAGATGATCATAAACAGAAAGATGTGAGTTCAGCCTTCCTGGGCGTCCTGGGACCTGATGGGGGTGGGTGATCTCCTTGTATCTGCTCTTCCTTCCCTGAATCGATTGCTCAACTAGCAAAGGTCAGTTGATTGCGGGCTGGTTGGCACGCTTAGGGAACAAAGGTCAGTCCCGCAGTGAGGGACAAGGCTGTCCCCCATCTCATCCTGGGTGCCTTACATCTGATGAAACCTCCCGTATGTGGTTCTTAGAATGCAGAGAGGTCTCTGTAGAGTGCAGGGCAGTTCCCTCGCGGATGTGTTACGGTATCCCTTGATTGATCGTGTCGAGAATAGAAAGACGGTGAGCACAGGCAGCATCCCTGGTATCTGAAGAGAGCCTGGGAGACAGAACTAAGCTAGCTCATTTCCATAATTTCCAAAACTCATGGTCCTCTTATACTAAATTGACTCCATTTCTGTTTTCTGTCTTGGGACATTTACACCATTGCTGGTATATTTTGGATCTCCTGGGACAACAGAAAGTGCTAGTGGTTGTGTTTGGCCTTGTTGATGGGAAGAAGCCAGGAGAGCCTGGATAGGACTCCCCGGTCCTTCTGCCTGGGAGGGAGGAGCAACAGGTCTTGGGCAGGGCCTGGTGTAAGCGTGGTGGCAAAGGTGAATGACCCTCCAGTCTGGCCTTCCTTGAGGTCATATGGAGCAGGCAGTGCTCTGAGGCAGGGAGTTTCAGAACCCGGGTTCAGATGTCACAGCTCTCATTCCTGGCTTGGGACATCTAGCTGGGCACATAAACTTCTTGTGCTTCCCCTGGAAAGAGGGGTCATGATACCCTTAAAAAGCAAAAAGAAACCCCCCCAAAAAAACAAAAAAAAAACATATGGTTACTTTATTTCTCCTTGGCTGGGGTTAGCCAGGGATGGGATACAGTTGTTGTAGCGAGAGCTCATGGGAAATGCTCCCAGGCCGGGGACTTCGTCAGGGACACGTATCCAGGGCCAGTATGAGTGAGGACAGAGGACAAGAAAAATATGAAGTCAGGGTCAGCCCTGCAGGCTCTGTAGGGAGTCCCGCCCTGGGTTTGGGAGATACAGGTGCACAGGTGAGTGTGTCACACCCATCAGAGGGGAGGGAGGGAGGGTGGTGCTGTTAAAGGGCAGTAGTAACCAGAATGAAGGAAGTGACTGCTTGTCCCACTTCGAGAAAATGAAAATGCTTCAGTGTCCAGAGACCACCACCAGGGACAAGACTTCAAGTTTTCTCCACCCACTTGGTCCTCCCAGGGTCCTTGGGAAAGCAGAGAGGGCATCAGCCCCATCTCAAGACAGGCATAGAATACTGTTCACCTCATTCTCATCTTCTCCCATGCTGTGGATGAGCTGTGTTTTCTTCCTCTCCAGCACGACCAGGATCTTCTCCTTGAGGAAGTTATTTCACTCATTCATTCAGTGTTTATTGAGCACCTAGAATGTTCCAGAAACAGGGCCGTTGTATGAGCAAATGCAGACTTGCCCCAGCCCTCATGGGACGCACAGACAGGGGCAGACGGATGCTTGTTGGGTGATCACACGTTGTGAAGCCCAGCAGCGGGGGTGTGAGGGGAGGCAAAGGTGCCTCGAGAGAGCTGGGATCCAGAGGTTTGACGGCCAGAGCTTGGGCCACACCCAAGCAGAGTGACTCCACCTAGTGAAGCCAACAGATCTGGGTCATCCAGGCCCCAAAATCTCACTGGGAACCTGGTGAAGCCATCACGTTTCTGAAACATCCATCAGGAATGTCCCAAGGGCAGCCTGGGTCCATATCTTCCCTCGTGTACTCAGAGAAGACAGGAGCAATGAACTCAGATCTCTGCCCATTTGGACTAGAAAAACAACACTATTTTGACTCATGTTTTTTGTTGCACAAAGAGGCAGGGGCAGGGACCAGGTGGAAAAACGGGTCTTGAATTACAAACACCAGAGTTCAAAGATAAGTCATTCAGGCTAAAGTAAATATTATTGGATTTAAAACCAAAAACCGTCACCCTAGTGGTGGACTGTGCTATCATTTAAATGTGAAGGAAAATTACCCTTAAAATGGGTGTTTTCTGAGCAGTGTTTGCTGTTTGTTTGTGTCTCAAGAAGGACCTCGCAAGGATGTTGCTTCGGTGATCCCTTTTTCCATCCAAGTCTGGTGTTGCCTGGCTGGGTGTTGAGGACAGGTTCCTTTTGTACCTGGGCCCTTGAGTAGGGTCTCTCTGGGTACGTGAACAGGTGCCACATATTCTTTCTTTAGGAAAATGGCAGGCAGCTGGAACATGGAAAACTTAGCGTTTTAGCCTCACCAGGCATCGTGTGTACAGGAGCCTAGATAGCAAACTCCTTTAGACACAGTGTTAGAAAGTTGGAATTAATAAAATATTTAATGTGCTCCTTGAAGCATTTGTTTTTGAAAGGAAACTTGACGTAAACTAAACTTCCACAGACGTGTTTTAGAAGTGACTGTTTCCAGTAGATTTTCAATGATGTCTGTATACACTCAGCTGTGGCTGTAAAATACAACACACATACTTTGTAAACCTGTTAGTGTGACGTTTTCACCCTGACCTGAAATGTTTAGTATCACTCAGAATACGAGAGTCATGAAGCTAACAGGCTGCAATGTGTTCGGCGCTGTCGCCCTTCCCGTGCAGGAGGCCACTGTCTGCGGGGTCCGGTGCTTTCCCGTCCTGGGCTAAGGTGGGTGGGCAGAGCAGCCTGGACCGTCTGCAGCCACCATGTCCTCTGGACCCCTCTCTGCACCATGCCCACCTCCTCCAGGCCCCCACACCATGCCATGCAGTGGCCGTGACAGTGTTTAGAATCCTTTCTTGTCTTCCATTTCTTCATCATTTTAGGGAGGAAGTGCTGTGCTTTATGTCAAGATGAAACACAACATCTGATTCCTTACCTGGCTCTGCTAGGGCTTAGGAAAGGGGGCTTGGTTAAGGTGGACTCTGCTGCCTGCGGCTTCTGTCCGGGCCCGGCCCCTGCAGCTGTGACACACTGCCATCTGGTGGACACGAGTGGGGCTGCGTGGCTTTCCACGGGGCTGAATAGCCTTCCTGTGTTTGAGGAAAGCTGACAAATCCTTTTTCATTCGGAAGACACACAAAATGAAATTTACTCTACTATGTAAAATAGAGATAGGTTAGACGTTCATTTGCCATCACCTTTCAACAAGAGCTTAATTTTTAGTTTTTCTCTGCATGGTCTCTACTTAAAAATATGCCCAGATTTTATTTTGAGTCCGTTGTGTTCTTCGGAGCAAGGACTTTTTTAAAATGATAAAAACAGCAAACTATGGTTTTTGGGGTTTTTTCCCTTATTTGATATTTTACAAATTATAAAAACAAATGATGTAGACGGTTACAAGCAAAACCATGCAGAACAAAGATGTGTTAAAGCCCTGCCCCCCCAAAATCAAGGTTTGTGGACCCCGTGTGTTTTCTTTCTCAGCTTTCTTGCAAGAAATACCAGAAAGAAAAAAGGGCTTGGGTGGGCCCTTCTTTTACGGTCTCAGATATCTTTGTAGGTAAACGAATGCATTCCTGGAGCTTCATTTATTTCTCCACAGTATTTATCCATTGCTGACCAGCAGCCAGAAAACATACGTTTTACACCGTGGAGCAAACATGCCACAGGCTTTTCAGTGGTAGTTTGGCAGTCTATTAAACTGGATTTTCATATCCCACCAAGAGTTAAACTAGCCTCTTTATTTTCATCTTATTAATATTTGTTCAGCAAACTAACTTACTCTAAGGAATAAAAGGCTTTGGGCCCAGGAGATTTAATGAATTTATTCTCCAGCACGCTAAGTGCTAGATAGATAGTTCACATTTCCTTGTTCTTTGAAATTTTATTTATTTTATTTTATTTATTTTTTTTTTTTTTGAGACAGAGTTACACTCTGTCGCCCAGGCTGGATTGCAGTGGCATGATCTCAGCTCACTGCAACCTCTACCTCCTGGGTTCAAGAGATTCTCCTGCCTCAACCTCCTGAGTAGCTGGGATTACAGGTGCATGTCACCACACACAGCTAATTTTTGTAATTTTAATAGAGACAGGGTTTCGCCGTGTTGGCCAGGTTGGTCTCGAACTCCTGACCTCAAATGATCTGCCCACCTCGGCCTCCCAAAGTACTGGGATTACAGACAGGAGCTACCGCGCCTGGCCTTGAAATTTTGATTTGAAAAATATTTCAGGAATATTTTTCTTTCCATGTGAAGTTGAGAACCACACTTGAATTGCTCCAATCATCCTCACAACTCAACATGGCTGCAGGGCTTCTGGGGCTCTGCCAAATGAGATGGTGCCCATCTGATCAGAGTCTGCCTTCGTATCTGTCCCATCGGAGTCTGCCTTGGTACTCATCTTATCGGAGTCTGCCTTGGTGCCTCCAAGTACACAGTTAGGCTGATGTGGCATGCACATCCGAAAAAATAACTCTAGATGTGCATTTCGACACATCAGCAAATGCAGATGGTATGGGCTGCAGATGGTATGGGCCACAGCTGGAGAGAGCCGTCTTCACTGCGGTATAGCTGGGCTGCACCCAACGTGAGAATGGACATCAGGGCAGAGAGCCGTAAGCAGCTGGGATTGTGGAAAGCGCCCGTGAACACATGGTCTTGGACAGGGCCTCAGGTGGGTCCTTAGCAGCTGTGGCTAAGTGGGCAGAGGGACCACCCCACCACCACCCTGCCCAAAGGGCTTATTTAGCAAAGAGGGGAGAGAGGCCAGCCTGCCCCTGACTGCATCCCACTGGCCTGAGGGATGTGGCCTCTCTGCCCCCATTTCCACTCCTGCTCTTGGGACACAGGAGACTGGTTAGATGAGAGTAGAAAGTTTATTTTTGAACACCCAGGTGTGGGGTGGCTGGGCGAGACCATCTGATGGCTTTGGGAGCCAGGCCGCAGGGTTTAGCTTGGATCTGTTGAGTAGGAGACCCTTAAACATGGCCACCCTGAGCTAAGAGCTGGTCTTGGATTTTGCTTTCTTTTGGATTAACCGAGTATTTTGTGGGATTCCATTTGATCCCTTAACTGGCTGACCAGCTATAACTCCTGGTTATGTTGTTTTAGTGTTGCTCCAGGTGTCGTTGGAGGAGAAGTTGAAGGTACAAGGAGTTTGCAGGAGGGAAGGTGGCAGTTAATGAGCCTTCCTGGTGGGACCGGATGGTGAGGGCAGGGGCATCTGGCCCAGCGTGGACTCGGGCCATAGATGGGAAGTGGTCATTTGGAGGTCACCATCTCTCTGACACCCTGACCATAGCACCTGCACCCCTGTGCTGAGCTGCAGGTCCCCGGCACCAGCGTCTGTGCAGCTCAGGTGTTGCTGAGCCGTGGCCTCCGCAGCTCTCCATCAGGATTTCTCAAGCTTCATTATGAATTATCTCTGTGTGAGCTCACAACGGTGACTGCAGAGTCCCAGGTCATCTCTCAGATCTTCTGAATCAAACATATGGTCTGCAGTTGCCGCGCATGTCTTTGGCCGATTTTCTGACAATCAAAGTGAAGAAGTTCTGAGCTACGGGAAGTTGGGTTGAAGGCATGATGGGGAAAACATGATTAGTTGACAGCTTTTCCCAGAGAGTTTTTAGACAAACTCAACCTTGGTAACCTTCTCAGTGGGCTTATGATAAGAACCTTCAATGTGCCAAAAAATAAAAAAAGCAGCACTCCAGGTAGTTAATCTTTGTTTAAAAAACCCTTCCCCCCACCCAGTCCTGCAAACAAACAAACAAACAAAAAAAGGAGAAAAAAAGAAACCTGTCTTTTGTTGGATGCTGAGCCGAGAAAGAAGTAACACCACTGCCGGCCTCTGCCTCTTGTCCCGAGACACCCTCATGGTGCAGGGCTCTCTCCAGGGTCCGTTCCTCATGTGCACCCTCTCTTGTAGTTCCACAGCCCGCTGTGGGTCCCACTGAGACTCCTACCTGAGGACAGGAGAAGAGGGTCCTCAGGGACGTCCAAATGAGGACAAGAGAAGAAGGGGCCTCACAGACATCCAAATAGGAGAAGTGTGAAAAGCTAAATTTGGAGTGTCCCATTTTTCTGCTTCTAAATTACAAAGGAAGCAAATGTTTTGTTTTGTTTTGTTTATCATTCATAGCCCCATCTTCATGTTATCCATTTAATGCTTTTAAAGTATTTAATATTTTGTCTGTTTTCGTCTACAGGTAGAAGAGAGACCAGAAAAAGATTTTACTGAGAAGGTAAGGAATCGTTCATAAACCTAGAGGGTCCCAAAAGTTGTGGATGAAATTGATAAGAAAATATGTTGCTTGGTTTTTTTTAATAAGGATGTTCCCCAGCGAGGGAACTGGACTAGAAAGCGGCCCACCTAACCTGGTATCACCTTCCCGGAGGTAGGCCACCGGGAGTCCTGTCCGGTGTGCGTTAGATCCTGTAGAGCAGGGAGGCGTTTATAATGGGCCCCACCATGGAGTTTAGGGTTAATCCAGCTAATCGCAGAGCATCCAGGAGGTGCCTGGAAATGATCCCCTCCTTACAGTTTACTATAAGCCCATGAAGAGTTTCCAATTTGGAAATGGAATTAAAGTAACAGTCCTGTGATGTTAGATTTATATGCAGTTTTGGTTTTGTCTGAAATCGCATCTGTGTTAGTCCGTTCTCACACTGCCATAAAGAACTTCCCTGAGACTGGGTAATTTACAAAGAAAAGAGCTTTAATTGACTCACAGTTCCGCATGGCTGGGGAGACCTCAGGAAACTTACAATCATGGTGAAAAGGGAAGCAGGCACCTTCTTCACAAGGCGACAGGAGAGAGAACATGTGAAGGAGGAACTGTCAAACACAAAGCCATCAGATCTCCTGGGAGCCCACTCACTATCACGAGAACAGCATGGGGGAAACTGCCCCCGTGATCCAGTCTCCTCCCACCAGGGCCGTCCCTCATCTTGTGGGGATTATGGGGATTACAATTCCAGATGAGATTTGGGTGGGGACACAGAGCTAAACCATATCAGCATGTGATCCTCTCAACGTTCCAGGGGTCTCGTAACATGCCGGGCCTGTCTGCAGCCACGCTGGCCTCTCTGGGTGGGACTTCCTCTCGGAGAGGCAGCGGAGACACCTCCATCTCCATCGACACCGAGGCATCCATCAGGGAAATCAAGGTGAGATGCTCTCTTCTTACTGACAACTTGAGAGAACCTTTTGTAAAAATCAGTCTTTAGATTAAAAAAAAAAAAGTTAATTCATAAAGTTCTGGATCTTTCTTCTTGGTCCTCTCTCCCTCACCTCCCCTAAAATACGGTGTTCTCCTAACATCAAGACCCAGCTCAGATAGTGTCTCCTGCAGGAATCTGATCCTACCCACTGACCCCCCAGCAGGGCGGACCGTGTGCCGGCCCCCTGCGCCCCTCAGCACCCGGGGAATACCTTAGTGAGAGCACTTGGCACGTTGTGTTGATGCACTTGGTCGTCTCTGTATGCTTGGTCTGCATAGACATTCAGTCCACAAGTTTGGACACCAGACGGCTTTACCTACTTTCACACAACCCCTCCCCACTAAGTATGTTCCCCTTCGGCCTAGAACTTGCCCTTTCCTTTCTCTTTGTAATGTGCCTTTAGTAGCCCTCATCTTTGTATTTTAATGATTTTTTTTATCCCACTGTAGTGTAGGTATTATTCTCTGCTCTATCCTCAGCACCCAGGACAGTGCCAGGCATTTGGTAGTATTCTGTGTGTGAAAGAGAAACACGGTGCTATTTGTTAAAGTAACTAGGGACAGTGCATCTGAAAACCTGAAGACTGGAAGGGCAGGTGAGGTGACTAGACCTGTGTCCTCCAGGGAGCAGAACCAAGACAGAAGCAGCTGAAAGGAGCCAGAACTGACTCAGATTCTGAATTTTCTAGTGCTTTAAACTAGGTTTAAAAGGGAAGCAACTTCCACTGGGGATGTCTGAGCAGCTGGATGGCCGTTTGCCAGGGAGGACGGAGAGGGATTTAAGCATCCACCAGAGTTTGGCCAGGGTTACCTTGAAGATGCTTCCAACACCTATGTTTTATAAGTTTACAAAACCAGAAGAGCCATTTCCCATGTGCCACCCCTGGGCCACCTGCAGCTCCTTGTTGCTTCCCTTTTTTTTTCCTTTTTCTTTTCTTTTCTTTCTTTCTTTTTTTTTTTTTTTTTTTTTTTTTGGAGACAAGAGTTTTGCTTTTGTCACCCATGCTGGAGTTCAATGGCACGATCTCGGCTCACTGCAACCTCCACCTCCCAGGTTCAAGTGATTCTCCAGCCTCAGCCTCCTGAGTAGCTGGGATTACAGGCGCCCGCCACCATGCCCGGCTAACTTTTGTATTTTTAGTGGAGACGGGGTTTCGCCATGTTGGCCAGGCTGGTCTTGAACTCCTGACCTCAGGTGATCCACCCACTCGGCCTCCCAAAGTGCTGGGATTCCAGGCGTGAGCCGCTGCGCCTGGCCTGTTGTTTCCGTTTCTACAGCAGAGCAGCAGAGTTGGCGGCAGTCCTGATGTTTCTCTGCCCTTAGGTTGCGCGTGCCGTTCATTTGTTCAGGTACTTACTGAGAGGCTGGCTGGTGCCAGATGCTGTCCCCGGCACCAGGAATTTGGCAAAGTAGAGACTTGGAGCTCCATAAATGCAGGGAAAAAGTGCTACTGATTTTTGCCTCTAGCATCTTACTGTACATTGCACAGAGTAGGAACTCCTAGTGCTTGAATGAATTACTAAATAGGAGTTGAAATAACCTGTACCGTTTTCCGAGGCTCTATTTTGTCTGTTTTTTAAACTGTGTAAAATCATATGAGATACACTAAAATTGTATAAAATCATGTAAAAATATCATATGGGATACACCTGAACTTTAATCTTTAAATATTGAAGTTTATTTTCCCTTAACGCTTAATAAAATAAAAAAGAAAATTGGGTGCTCAGACTACCCAAATAGAAACTACCCTGAAGTATAAAAGATTTAGGGAATCACCTGTTTTCCCTTGACATCATCTGCCTTTTTTGCCATTTCCCCCAGGAACTCAATGAGTTAAAGGACCAGATTCAGGATGTAGAAGGCAAATACATGCAGGGATTGAAAGAGATGAAGGTACCAATTCACAGACGTGTGGTCTCACGATATTAACCCAACTTAACTTAAAAAAAAAAACAACATCCTAAAGAAGAAATTCAAAGTGCATGCTTACTGTAAATAGGCTCCAGGGTGTAGAAGAACTCACAATGGCAGGAGTGCCGGCATGGGTGTACACTCACCATTTTCCCAAATGCATTGTTTGAACCAAGATTGAAAATGTAACTGCCCAGTAGAAAAGGTTACTAACATACTCCCTGATGCATGCCTTAGACTTACCATCCTTCCCCCAGGCTTAAAACCAGTTTCTCATTTCCCATAGGCGTGTGCCAGACACTTGAAGAAGGTTCTTGGTTTTCTTCACTTTTTGTAGTAGTTGTATACAAAAATGCTTCAGTTGATTTGCTTCTCAAAATATCTGATGTCTACTAATAAGGCCGTCCTCACATGCCACACTTTTGAAACATCCCAATTATTTGCACCCTGTAAAATGCTACTAATTGAAGTAAAGACTGACTATGGCATTGGCTTTCTTGGAGCGTGTGCACACTGCTTTTAGAGTGTGCAGTGACTTCATTGCACCAGCCAGGAGATGTGGTTGCCCTGTTCCTTGACAGTAAGGTGGGCAATCAGTGACTGTCTTCCTTAGGCAGCAGCGGATCATGGATCTGGAAGTGGGTGGCGTATCTGTTACTTCCTTTTCAGCCCCCTAGAAAGTACCTGCAAGATCATTTGAATTTAATATCAAAGGGCACCAGACAGAGGAGGTGACATCGATCATGACTAATTCACTATCTTCATATCTGCCACCTTTCCTGAAAGGGGGAAAAATAAGACTCTGGCTTTCAATTCATGCGAAAAGGAGCCACTTGGCCAGGCGTGGTGGCTCACGCCTGTAATTCCACACTTTGGGAGGCCGAGGTGGGTGGATCACCGGAGGTCAGGAGTTTGAGACCAGCCTGGCCAACATGGTGAGACCCCGTCTCTACTAAAAATATAAAAATTAGCCAGGTGTGGTGGTGCGCACCTGTAATCCCAGCTACTTGGGAGGCTGAGTCAGGAGAATCACTTGAACCTGGCAGGTGGAGGCTGCAGTGAGCCGAGATCGTGCCACTGCACTCCAGCCTGGGTGACAGAGCGAGACACTGTTTCAAAAAAGAAAAAATGCTGCTGGGGAGCCACTGAACCAACCGGAGACCCGCTGGTCCCACGTGAAGCAGCTGTCCTGGTGTGGAGGTACAGAGCTAGACCAGCACTGGTCCCTCCAGCCCCCTGGTAGCCTCTGCTGCACCTGAACTGGCAGCTCTTGCCGCTGCCTTTAGCTCTGCATGTATGCGCCCTGAAGGTTCTGCCTCTCTGTTTTGGAATCGCCTTCCCCTCCTCATGTTTGGGGACCTGCAAGGGTGTGAGGCACGTGAGGGCATCGCCATGCGTATTTTACAGGCCTCTTTCTCTGGACTGTCCTTCAAAGGGAATGACCTTTGTCTTTCCAGGACCTACCCAGTGAGATCTGCCTGCCATTTTCCTATGAGTCAAAAATCTGAACTCACTACTGCTCCTTTCCTGGTTCATAAGCCAGAGTAGGGCTGGTTGGCAGTCACTGGCTTGTGGCCCTATGTAATTATCTCAGCCATCACACACTGGCTCTTTCACAAGGGCTGGTCACACGCCTCGAGTGATTCTTCAGAAATCTGTTGAACAGCCTGACACCCAGCCCTAGGACGCCGTGCTGGGGGGATTCCCCAGCTACTGAGTGGGGCCAGAGACTCTACTGCCTCTGTGACCACATCCCTTTCCATACTGGTATCTCGTTTGTTCTAATGAGTGTGTCCATTGCTTTTAATAGTGAATTTTCTGAGCAATGAGAATTTGACCAAATTGAAAAGGGGGATTTCCATGCATTTGAAATTGCCATGTGTTTCTTCTTCTGATCCATTTGCTCTAAGAAATATAGTCTAAGTTTAGGACTGAGGGTTTTTTTTTAACAGAATACTGAATGATTCTTTGTTTTGATTTTTTTATTGCAATTTCAAAAATATGACCTGCTTTCCACAGGACTCTCTAGCAGAAGTTGAAGAGAAATATAAGAAGGCTATGGTTTCCAATGCTCAGCTAGACAATGAAAAGACAAACTTCATGTACCAGGTTGATACCCTAAAAGATATGTTGCTGGAGCTTGAAGAACAGCTGGCTGAATCTAGGCGGCAGTACGAAGAGAAAAACAAAGTAAGCATTAGTATGATACAGAATGTTAACAATAGGCTGCGTGCAGTGGCCCATGCCTGTAATTCTGGTACTTTGGGAGGCCAAGGTGGGAGGATTACTTGAGCCCAAGAGTTCGAGACCAGCCTGGGCAACATGGCGAGACATCATTTCTAAAAAGAATTAAAACAATTAGCCAGGTGGTACATGGCTGTAGTCCCAGCTACTTGGGAAGCTGAGGTGGGAGGATCACTTGAGCCTGGAAGGTTGAGGCTGCAGTGAGCTGTGTTGACACCACTGCACTCCAGCTTGGGCAACAGAGAAGACACTGTCTCAAAAAAAAAAAAAAAAAAAGGGAATGGTAGGGTGTGTGTGTGTGTGTGTGTATGTATGTATGTATGTGTGGATATATCGTGTGTATGTATGTATATATAATGTATAATTTACATTATGTATTTTTATATTTTTAAACAATGGCTCTCCGCTTATCCAGGAAATCCAAACATCTGAGAATAAAAGTACCATACTCTTTGCCAAGTGACTTGAAATATTGATACGTATAATTTCAACATGTAAACTGGAGACAGTTTTTCTAGGAGAACATCTAAGCTAAAAGCAAAACCATGAAAAAACATACCTATGAAAGAGCCACCATGCTCAGATAAGGTGCGATCAGATGCTTCAAGATTTTCCTATTCATATGTATTTTCTGATTTTTATTTTGTTCTCTCTCAACACCATAGGGAAATAGTTATGAGTATCAAAGATTTTAAGAAAATTATATTATTTTCTGCTGATTGGGAAAAGACACAGTTACTCTACTTAAGAATTAAATATATCACCAAGCTCAGAGAGAGAGATAGTCTTATCTGAGCTTTCATTAGGAACCACTGGAACTAGTTTGTTAATAGCTGAGATCAGATATAATTTCTATTGAGAGTCTCAAGCATGAGTCATGTGTTAAGATAAGTAATGACAGCGGACTGATTCCACGAAGGCTGGGCTTGGATGTTCTTTAGATAGAAAGCAAGGAATACTTTTTTCATACTTTTAGGAATTGTCCAATTTTTCAGAGATTCTGAGAAAAACAGAAAATGTAATGTGTGAGTGTCGTTGTTGTTGTTGTTTTTAACTGGCTATTATCCTCTAAATCCAAAGGGTTAAAACCAAGGTACCCTTGACAACCTTCAGGCCTGCTTCTTCGACTGCTATAGAATTGAGTTGGAAGCTGAAGAACATTTTACGCACAAAGTTCCTTATAGCTGAACTCTGCAAGAGGGGAGCTTTTCACAAGACTGATGTCATGTGGGAACGGAGGAGTGGAGAGCACAGCCCAGCCCCCCTTCGGGTGGGGGCCTGTAATGCATATGCATTCCTCCTGGAATGCTGTCATTAGGCATCATTCAGTGGACTGAAAACTCCCGAGTCTCACTCCAGAGAAGCTGGATGGTGCTAGAATGCTGTCCCGAGATGGACACAGGGGCCATGCAAAGCCCCACAGGAGGGCCCTTGTCATAGCCAGGAGGGCACCAGCCACCCCCAAGCTAAAGGAAGTGGGCGAACAGAAGTGCCAGGGTGAGCAGAAGCTCAGGCCAGATCCCATCTCAGATCACCCGCCTGACAGGTCTAGGGAAGGAGCGTCCTGCAGGCCTGTAAGCTGTCAGCAAAGTGAGTTGGGTCTCAGGCCGTCACCAGGGATTGCGCTGCTGTGACTGGGCAGGAACACAGCAGAGCCGAGCTGCCAGCTTCCTGGGCTGAGCCTCAGGTGGGGAGGCCAGGCCTGAGGAGCAGCTAGGTTTTGCAGGCTCTCCATTTGCTCCCCCAAACTCTCCTGTTTTTGTCTCTTAAGGGGCAGCCCTGAAGCACAGAGCTGGCCACCAGCTGTTCATGAGAGATGCTTTAGTAGGCCATGTTTATCTCCTTTTTATCCCAAAGAGTTTTCCTTGTCATATTTCAGCAGGGGCCATTTTATGGTAAGTCCTTGCAGGGCAGCCTCACCCAGGCTCTCAGCACAGTGCTGTGGAAGACACCAGGCTCCCTGGGGGGGCCCTTCGTCGGCTCTTGCTTCACTGTAGATAAGAAATCAGAAAATCCTTGTTGATTGCATCAACTCCTCAGGTTAATTTGACAGTAAGTCATCAGGCATCATCTATAAAGTCCAGAGGAATCTGTTTGTGTTGTTTGAAAGGGCTTGAAGGCCAGGTGCAGTGGCTCATGCCTGTAATCCCAACACTTTGGGAGGCTGGGGCAGGTGGATCGCTTGAGGTCAAGAGTTTGAGACCAGTTTGGCCAACATGGTGAAACCCGATCTCTACCAAAAATAGAAAAATTAGCCGGGCATGGAGGCAGGCGCCTGTATTCCCAGCTACTTGGGAGGCTGAGGCAGCAGAATCGCTTGAACCCAGGAGGCAGAGGTTGCAGTGAGCTGAGATCGCACCACTGTACTCCAGCCTGGACAACAGAGCAAGACTCCATCTCAAAAAAATATATAAATAAAAAATAAAATAAAAGACCTTGAAGATTGTGATGATGTAGTAGCAGGTGATTTGTTCCACAGAAACTATAAATCGTGAGAGCCTGAACTGGCATGCCAGAAACATGGGATTCCACTGCTTTAGTGCTGTTTTTCTCCTTTACAGGAATTTGAAAGGGAAAAACACGCCCACAGTATACTGCAATTTCAGTTTGCTGAAGTCAAGGAGGCCCTGAAGCAAAGAGAGGAAATGCTCGAGGTAGGTAGCATTCTCCTGCTTTTCTTTTCCTTTTTTCCCTTTGGAGCATTTTGTCAGGCCATGACTATCTTAGCTTAGGCTGCAGTAATAAAATACCATACACAGCATGGCTTAAACAACAGAAATTAATTTTCTTACAATTCTGGAGGCTGGGAGTCCAAGATCAAGGTTGGGTTCAGGTGAGGCCTCTCTTCCTGGCCTGCAGACAGCCACCTTCTTGCTATATCCTTCCTCCAACGGTGGAGAAAAAGCAATGTCTCTGATGTCTCTTCATATAAGGACACTAATCCTATTTGATCAGGACCCCACTCTTATGACCTCATTTAACCTTAATTACTTCGTAAAAACCCTATCTCCAAATACAGTCACATTGGGCATTAGGGCTTCAACAGATGAATTTAGAGGGACACAATTCATTCCATGGCAATTACTAAAGTTTTCAGTTTTCTTAAATCTGAGAGTTTAGGCTAACTCTCCATCCCTAGATTTACGAAACAGTCCCTCTCATTGGTGAACATTCCTATTCTTTGGTGATCTTGTATTTGTTTGGGGAGGTGTGGTAGACAGAATAATGGTCCCCCGAAGTTGCCTACATCCAGATCCCTGGAAACTGTAAATATGATGCCTTACATGGTTAAAGGGCCCCTGCAGTTGTGATGAGAGACCTTGAGAGAAGGGATTATCCTGGATTATTTGATGGAACAAGCATCCTTCTAAGAGGAAGGCAACTCAAAGGCAGAAGTAGAAGATGTGACACAGGAAGCTGAGGTTGGAGCGATGCGAGAGAGGGGCCATGAGCCAAGGAAAGCAGCTCAGTCTTAGAAGCTGAAAAAGGCAGGGAAACAGATTCTCCCTAGAGCCTTCCAGAAAGGCTTGATTTTAGCCCATAAGACTCATTTTGGACTTCTGACCTCTAGAATTGCAAGAGAATAAATTTGTGTTTTAAGCTGCTGAATTTATGACGATTCATTACAATGGCAATAAGAAACTAATACAGGGTTGGTTTTTAATTTTTTGACTTAATCGGTTCTTTAACTGCTGCCTTGAAGTGAGAATTTCACCCAAAGCAGGTTTTCTTCCTGCACTTCTTGAAGCCGGAAGTAGGACAAGGAAAAAAATCCTAGAATGCTGACAATGAGTTCAGGGTTGATGAGGTGAAAGAGTGCTTGCGGCCTCACTCACTGTCCCAGCTCTCAGGTTCTCTCTCGGGCTGGGGTTTTTCTTCCTCTTTAACCCTTTATCTGCTTTCTGTCTGTTCCTTTCCTCAGGAAATCCGACAGCTACAGCAGAAACAGGCGAGTTCTATCAGGGAGATTTCTGATCTTCAGGAAACAATAGAGTGGAAAGACAAAAAGATAGGGGTAGGATTCCCAAGTCTTGAAAATCTACTCAAATGGGCAGCCTGCTTAGCAAATAGAGTTTTTTCAGAGTCTTTAGTTTGCAAAACCGCTTGTCTGAGTATGCATGCAACTCCCACGTGACACAAAGTCGTATTAATTTATTTAATTTTATTAAGTAGTGAATACACTAACTTATCCAAATTGATATGAACTTGGATTGTGACACGGACTCTCCATGGAGGGTCTTGTGAATGCGTAGCTGTGCGCTCTGCCTGCCCCGTGGCTGGGCCGGGCCGGTGGTTGTTGAAACAGCTGGAGTGAGGAGGACACTCTGAGGAGGTCTGATGTGTGCAAGTCCAGACGTCTTGGGATTATCTGCCTGGTGGTGCTTTGAGAAAAAAAATCTAAGCACCACCAGGCAGATATCCCCACTTTGAAATCTTCCCCAGGGAAGGTCTCCACATACCCTTCTCCCTCCACAAGAAGAAAAGAGGCAGTTCTACACTTAGAATTGAAGGATAGGGGGAACAGAACCCCACAAAGTAGTTGTCATGATTGGTAACAACAAATGGTTTCCCCAAAATGGTGATTCCTACACATAGCTCTAATAAAGACGTCGAGATACCTGCACAAACCATCGGCACGTTGACTCAAGCCACACTGTGTTTCCACTGTCACGCTCATCAGCACTTAGGAGTGTGTGTGTGTGTGTGTGTGTCTGCATGCACGCACACTTTAGGACCACTTCATTTATCTGAGATGATGGATACCAAGAATCAGTGTATAAAAATAGTCTAAATGGCTACAACAGCCGTCCTGGGAGGTGCTTAAGCAATCCCTTTTCTTTACTGACCCCTCATTCAAGTGGAGACTTTGCGTAACTCTAACGCAGCTGTGAACACGCAGACAAAGCTAGAAAGTGATGCAAATATAGTAACCTCTGGGGCCCCGTGCTGTGTCCGTGTGCTTCAAGATGCGCATGTCTTTCATGGAGTATGAACAGTAACATTTCTTGGATTATATATACTAAGCGAAAAGCTTAATACTTGGATTTTGTTAGTATCTTTAGGCAGAGTCTCTTTAATGTCTAGAGTCCACTAGTGTTTTAGATGGTAGAAGCCTCCTTCTGGTTCCTGCTTCTGAAGTAACTTGCTCATCTGTGCAAATCTTCTTCTTTCTCTTGGCTCTGCTGCACACTCAGGCATTAGAGAGGCAGAAAGAGTTCTTTGATTCCGTAAGGAGTGAACGGGATGATCTTAGAGAAGAAGTAGTCATGCTGAAAGAGGAATTAAAGGTATGAAGCCAAACTACAGTTTTATTTAAAAAAAAAGAAAAAAAATCCAGGTGACAACAGCAAATTTTGGGATGCTGTGAATATGTGTGTACATAATTCATTTTATGTCATTTAGTTCTGTTAATAATTCATATATTGGGTTAACTGACAGCGATGAGATGTAAAATAAATGTAGGTTCAGTGGGTGGTGCCCAAGGCCTTTTGATGTTAATAAACATAGCCAATCTTGAATGCAAGAATTTTTTGATACATTATCTAAATTTTTCTCATACTCACTAGTAAATTCTCCAGGATATTACTCAGACTTAGAGAATTAATTTGCCTCTTTATATTAAAACCCCCAATTTAAGGACTTCTCTAGAGGAACAGTGACTTGGGTAAGTGGTTTGGGCAAGGATCCCGCTAATTAGACTTTGAGACCTACTAGATTACAGGTGGAAGACGGTTCCCTGTCCTTGGTGGGCCACGCCAAGGCGTCTTCAGCCGCTGCTTGACACAGGTGAAGCGCCAGTGGCAGCACTCTGGGTGGGGGGGTTCCTGAACCGTCACCATCTGCTGCTTGGCCTCCAGGGTCAAAGCCAGAGCAGTGAGCCAGCCAGCTACAGGCTTAGAGCTAAGATTCGTAATTCTGCTCCTTGAAGAGGCGATCAGTTCAGGGGAGTTCCTCACACACAAGGGAGAGAGAGCCACAGGCGGCAGGAGGGCATGGGTGAGTGATGTCTGCAGTTGGGAAGTGCTGCTGTTTTCAGTGAATTCTGTTTCTTTTGAATATACTGAACATTCTAGCCACCTCTGAATTCCTTCTTTAACATAAGTTTCGTGTGTCTCTTTCAGAACATGTATATATTTCTTTCTTTATCTGGTTTCTCTTTTTAAAGAATGCAATCAGGGTTTTGAAATGAAAGGTCACTTGGCAGTGACTTGCTTACTGCTCCACTTGGGGGCAGCCCACAGGCCACTACCTGTAGTTAAAAAGGATGCCTGGTGGAAGTAGCTTGTCACCAGCAAATGAAAGCATGGATTGGAACATCTGAGAAAGAAGTAGCCTTTGGAGGACGATATCCCAGATTTGTGTGTGTTGACCGAATATTTACGAGTGCTGCACCCTAGCATTTCTCTTGTCTCTGTGGAGTTACCCTGTACTTCAGGAAAAAATGGTTTTCTTTTTTATTATTGTATTAAAACAGAGTTTAACCTAATATCACTGAGTAAATATTACGATGAGCCTATTTTTGTTCCCAGAAACATGGAATAATCCTAAATTCAGAAATAGCTACCAATGGAGAGACTTCCGACACCCTCAATAATGTTGGATACCAAGGTCCTACCAAGATGACAAAAGAAGAGTTAAATGCCCTCAAGTCGACAGGGGATGGGACCCTAGGTAAGTATTTGCTTTCCTTCGGCTCCTCACACCTTTCCACTCAGCATTGGTTCACCCTCCATGCACTGCTGGGGTTGGAGCCACCGTCGCTGATGGGTTAACAGTCACCAGCATGCCATTTGTTTCATCACTTCATGGTAATTTCCTTGCCCACCCGGTGTGGTCACCCACGTGTTGTCTGGCATGCATCTCTGTGTAGTGCACCATCAATGGCTCAAGTGAACCTTTTCTTTTGCTGCTCAAAGCTACCAAGCAAGACTGTGAAGGCAAAAGGAAAACAGTCTCAAAATTAAGTAACAATGTGGAGAGTACTATTTGGTTTTCCTCAGACACATATATATCTGTACCTATAAAGTGTGGCTTTTTAAACCGATTCTATGACAGAATTATCAAAAGATCAGAATGGTTGAGGCCGTCAAGTCAGTTGGCCATATTTGCAAGCCAACATCGACATCCTGGGCAGCATTCAGCGCTTTGAGGGTACGGGGTGCCTGTGGACAGCAGGTCCGTCTGTGTTGCCTTTTTCAAGCCACCGCTCGAGGTGGGCAGGCGGCCGTGGTAGTGGGTGTGGCGGTGCTGAGAGTCTGAGTATGCCCACCTTTGTCAGAGGGGATCCTCCTTTGTATGCCACGTGTTTGCTTCTGAAAGAATATAAAACTGGGGAATCCAGTAGATCAGAGGAATATTTTATACCATTTTCAATGATCTGATTTGTCATAATTTGTCATAAGAGTTGGCTTTGGGAGAAACCTTCAGATTCTGGCGTGCAGCCTGAAGTTGCAGCGTGCAAGTGAGGCCTCATCTGTCACTGGTCACCCTCTGCGTTCCAGTGTTTTACAAAGAGGCTGGAATAAGGTCAGGGTCCGTGACTTTTCATTTTAATGTAGAAGCTTTCATCTTATTTCTTTTTATTTATGGAAATGTAGACACCTCCAGGCCCCATCTTCTCAGGCCTCGCATTCCAGGGAGGTACCTCATTCATTATCTTTATGACTATTAAAGAAACACAGCTCTTTTCAATTGTGTAAAAAAAGTTGTGGCCTAGTGCAGTGGCTCACACTTCTAATCCCAGCGCTGCGGGTGGCCAAGGCTGGAGGATCACTTAAGACCAGGAATTCCAGGCCAGCCTGGCAACCTAGCAAGATTCCGTCTCTAGATAGGTATGTAGTATCTATATACCGTTGTTGAGAAAAGATAAATTAATCAATTTCCATCATACCTTTATATGAGCTACCCGAACAGCTAGGAATCTGATTACGCTGCTCTTACTCAAATACACATTTTATAAATCTTTGATAACCATTGTGAAATGTTGTAAGAACCAGAAATGTCAGTTTTGAAAGTGGCCTTCAAATGACTTTTGATCACATATTCCTTCAGCAAAGAATTGTAGGATCCAATATGTATGTTTATTTTAAATCTACATATGTATACTATTTCATTAATATAAAATGTACGTTATAAAATATATGCAAAGATATGCAAAGAAGTTTTAGAGTAAAACTCTAAATAGAATTCCTAATATTTCCCCCATTTTCCCTGGGATATGGGCACCCCACCATGGAGATCACTGGGCTATAAAATTATCTAGCTTTGACTTTCAGTAACATAGTACCATATCTAATCTGCTGGGGTTTTGTTTGGAGAGTCCAAAAATTCCAAAACAGTTTGATGTTCTTTAGACGATGAATAATTTATCATTTAATTTAGTGGTCATCTTGATCTTGAACATTTGCCTCCTGCTGGTCCTCTCTCCCTAGTCCCTTAGGGAATGGAGCAGAGGTATCAGGGCATGGACACAGGGTGTTTTCTCAGGAAAACAATAGTTGAGTGGCAGAAGATAGATTTCCTTTCATATGAGCTATTTCAAAAGCATCTTCCTTGAGACTGACCTTGAGGCTGCATTTCTAAAAGTGCACTGAATATTCTTTTTAAAAATTACTTGAAAGCTGCTTTTAGGGCTGTGTGACATGGAGTGCAGTTTGACAGCTGCAAAAGTACAAGTTGTCAAGTTGTTCATTGAGAAGTGAGAGTGGGGAATTGAACCTTCAGTCTGTTCCTAAACCCATCATTGTGGATTGTTTGGCTGCCTGATCCAGAGTTCTTTCTATTTGTTGAAACTTAACGTCACCTTTAAAAATCTGTCCACACAAGATGGCACCAGCAGCCACTCTGGCCTTTGATGTGGTGGCAGTGGCCCTCACTGACCCAAAATTTACTAATGCAACTGCTGCTTTGCCGCACAGAACTGGCAAAGGCTTGTTTCTCATGACTCTTTGATGACTCTGTCTTTAGGAATAGGGGTGGGTGGGATTTGGAACGTGTGTTTACATTCTAATGTAGATTATGTGGCCGCCACATCATGGGGTCCCTTCAATTTTCTCAATGGTCTTTTAGGAAGAGCCAGTGAAGTGGAGGTGAAAAATGAAATCGTGGCGAATGTGGGGAAAAGAGAAATCTTGCACAATACTGAGAAAGAACAACACACAGAGGACACAGTGAAGGACTGTGTGGACATAGAGGTATTCCCTGCTGGTGAGAATACCGAGGACCAGAAATCCTCTGAAGACACTGCCCCATTCCTAGGAACCTTAGCAGGTGCTACCTATGAGGAACAGGTTCAAAGCCAAATTCTTGAGAGCAGTTCTCTCCCTGAAAACACAGTACAGGTTGAGTCAAATGAGGTCATGGGTGCACCAGATGACAGGACCAGAACTCCCCTTGAGCCATCCAACTGTTGGAGTGACTTAGATGGTGGGAACCACACAGAGAATGTGGGAGAGGCAGCAGTGACTCAGGTTGAAGAGCAGGCAGGCACAGTGGCCTCGTGTCCTTTAGGGCATAGTGATGACACAGTTTATCATGATGACAAATGTATGGTAGAGGTCCCCCAAGAGTTAGAGACAAGCACAGGGCATAGTTTAGAGAAAGAATTCACCAACCAGGAAGCAGCTGAGCCCAAGGAGGTTCCAGCGCACAGTACAGAAGTAGGTAGGGATCACAACGAAGAAGAGGGTGAAGAAACAGGATTAAGGGACGAGAAACCAATCAAGACAGAAGTTCCTGGTTCTCCAGCAGGAACTGAGGGCAACTGTCAGGAAGCGACAGGTCCAAGTACAGTAGACACTCAAAATGAACCCTTAGATATGAAAGAGCCCGATGAAGAAAAGAGTGACCAACAGGGAGAGGCATTGGACTCATCGCAGAAGAAGACAAAGAACAAGAAAAAGAAAAACAAGAAGAAAAAATCCCCAGTACCCGTAGAAACCCTTAAAGATGTTAAAAAAGAGTTAACGTATCAGAACACAGATTTAAGTGAAATTAAGGAAGAAGAGCAGGTAAAGTCTACTGACAGAAAGTCAGCAGTGGAAGCCCAAAACGAGGTGACTGAAAATCCAAAACAGAAAATTGCAGCAGAAAGCAGTGAAAATGTTGATTGTCCGGAGAATCCTAAAATTAAGTTGGATGGAAAACTTGACCAAGAAGGTGATGATGTACAAACAGCAGCTGAGGAGGTACTAGCTGATGGAGACACATTAGATTTTGAGGATGACACCGTTCAATCATCAGGCCCGAGGGCTGGTGGTGAAGAATTAGATGAAGGTGTTGCAAAAGATAATGCTAAAATAGATGGTGCCACTCAAAGCAGTCCTGCAGAACCAAAGAGCGAAGACGCAGATCGCTGCACCCTGCCCGAACATGAAAGTCCCTCACAGGACATTAGTGATGCCTGTGAAGCAGAAAGTACAGAGAGGTGTGAGATGTCAGAACATCCAAGTCAGACCGTCAGGAAAGCTTTAGACAGCAATAGCCTAGAGAACGATGACTTGTCGGCACCAGGAAGAGAGCCAGGGCACTTCAATCCAGAAAGCAGAGAAGATACCAGAGGAGGGAATGAGAAGGGCAAAAGCAAAGAAGACTGTACCATGTCCTAAGCTGAGGCAGGCGGCAGGCGCGGTGCACAGGAAGTCTCAGTGTGAAGGGGTCTTTTCTCTCCACTGCCAATGTAAGTAGAATGTTCTAAATTCATAGAGAGGCACTGTATGACAATTACCAGGTGCTCTACTGCTTTAAGTTATAGACTGTTACTTGTAGATTTCCATGTAATCATTGAGGTTATCACCCAGATTAGAAAGACATATTTGTTATCAGTGTACGTTCTAATTGAGAGCATTCCAGTAGTATCAAACAATAATGTCTACTGTTTATAGTCCACTTAATAAAAATAGAGGCATTTACTATTTGCCTTAGGCTGATAGGAATGTGGGTTTTCTTGACCAAATATATCAGCATCTAATTGAAATGACCAAATAGCATTCTTAGACTTCTGTATTATGAATATAATTGATATTTAAATTAATGTCTTGTTCACATATGTGTACTTTCATATTTGATTTTAAAATGTACATTATAACCTGTATGGTATTTTATTTAAAGGAGATAAACAGCCAAATAGCAAATAGGTCACTGAATGATAAGATTTGCACCTTAGAACAATAATCATTTTAAGGATAACAAGTAAATGTCTGAAAGCATGAGGGGCTTTATTTGCCTTTACCTCATATGAGTCTTTGATCTTGAACCGATACTTTTGGATCTCATTGTTGATATACCTGAATTTACTTTGTAAGAGATTTTAACTTCACTTCATGCTGATGATGTATCAAATTCATTTTATAGAAAGATTTAAAGTTTTTTTCTGGAAGTGATATATGTCAAATTACATTTCCTACTGCAGTATTTGAGCAGGGACAGTCATTTTTTAAATGTTTTTGGCCGGGCGTGGTGGCTCATGCCTGTAATCTCAGTACATTGGGAGGCCAAGGCAGGTGGATCACCTGAGGTCAAGAGTTCGAGGCCAGCCTGGCCAACATGGTGAAACCCTGTCTCTACTAAAAATACAAAAAATTGGCCGGGCGTGATGGTGGGCGCCTGTAATCCCAGCCACTCCAGAGGCTGAGGCAGGAGAATCGCTTGAACCTGCGAGGCAGAGATTGCAGTGAGCCAAGATCAAGCCATTGTACTCCAGCCTGGACAACAAGAGCGAAACTCTGTCTAAAAAAAAAAAAAAAAACACACACACACACAACACAATGTTTTCACGCCTGTAAACCTAGCACATTGGGAAGCCAAGGTGGGAGGATTGCTTGAGGCCAGGAGTTCAAGGCTGCAGTGAGCTATGATTGCACACTGTACTCTAGCCTGGGAGACAGAGTGAGACACTGTCTCTAAAAAAAAAAAAAAAAAAAAAAAAAGTTTTTGAACCTTAAAATACTTTGTTTGAATTTCTAATCATCATTCAAAAGAGCAGTAAAAAATGGTTACTTGTTCTTGTACAAGCTACTAATTAGACTATAGTAGGATATTTTAAAGAGCTGAATCACTTTTGGTATTTTGGTATAAATATTTTCATTTGTTATGTCCCAGTATATTCTTACTGGAAAATTCTTGTTTTGATCTGCCTGAAGAAAATATCTGTTTTCTATATAAAAAAATTTTTTAAAATAATTGTAAAGTTAGATTTAAAATTGTAAAATATAAAATCACAAAGGAATGTACCTTATGAATGTTGTTGACATTTTATGAAATTATGTGGATTCATATTACTGTTACAAGATAGAATTGAATGCAAAAAGACCAAAACCTCAATAAAATTTGAGGAAAACGTGTTATTATGTAATTGAAATAAAAACATTTTATAATTGTGCAAGCCTGTGGTTCCACTCTTTGGGCTGCTTGAAGTCTGAGTCTGACTACTGTTGTATGTAATACCACCTTTGAGTAATATCTGCTTGGGGGTTGCTGATTCCTATTGGGGTTCCGTGGAAGACCCACGCCTGATGCCCTCCCTCAGTAAGGAATGCACTTCCCTCCTGGCATCGAGCCTGGGGCTAGCATGGGCATTACTGGGAGAACTGAGACGATTGTCACGCACCATCCCCTGTGATCTGTGGTTCTGATGTGCAGCCTCAGCTGAAAACGGTCTTCACCTGTGGCTGTGCTTACCTGCGCCACTACTTACAGTGTTTTGAAGAGCAGGATGAAAACGGCAAAAACCTTGACTGTTTCTGCTCAAGTGTCCTGAAGTAGAGGATGGTGGGGATGATAAATGCTTGCTAGGAAATAAGTCCAAGGGCTCTATAGGACTTCACAGGGTTTTAGTTTATGTCTCTAACTTTAGCAAAGCTGCATTCCTATTGGAATGCATACTGGAAACAGCTCTCATTCCTACCTTTAAAGGGCTCTTGGAAAGCAGTGTGACAACCAAGGTCACTAAATGGTGAGATCATCAAGCCATTTTAAGTTCTTTCTCATGTTATTCACCAGCACCCTGCAGGACGTTGGGCACACATCACATCCCTCAGCTCAGCCATCCAGCCGTCTCAGTGATTCACCACTCATTTGCTTAATTAATAGACAGGTTTGATCACTTTGTACATGGAAGGCACTGTGCCAGTGAACAAGCAGTTGGACCCAGCCCTCCAGTAGGGAATGGACAGCTGAAAATCCATGAGCAAGAAAGAAGGAAAAAGAAAGAGTTCTGAGCAGCCAAACCATTTCTCGATGATTTCAGAGCCTTCATTCTGAGCATCAGTTATATGCTCTCCAGTGTAATGACTTTATAGCCAAGCACAGTAATTGATATTACTGTGAAGGCCCTTAACTTATCAAGAAATGGTTGAGGCCGGGCACATTGGCTCATGCCTATAATCCCAGCACGTGGGAGGCCGAGGCAGGCAGATCACTTAAGCCCAGGAGTTCAAGCCCAGCCTGGGCAACATGATGAAAGCCCATCTCTACAAAAAAAATATACAAACAATTAGCCAGGCATGGTGGCATGTGCATGTAGTCCCATGTAGTCCCAGCTACTTAGGAGGCAGAAACACCTGAGCCTGGGAGGTCGAGGCTGCAGTGAATTGTGCTCACACCACTGCATTCCAGCCTGGGTGATGGAGTGAAACCCTGTCTCAAAAAAAAAGAAAGAAAAGAAAAAGAAAGTTGACTTAGCTATACTCCATATAAGAAGGTATAGAAATATATAGAGCAATTTAGAAAGATTATAGTGTCAAAAGATTCAAACTCAGAAAAGAATTGAAAGGTTGCCTGCCAGCCATATCCCCAGACGAACCTAGACCACTGGGGTTTCACTATCATACAGAATAGAGAAAAACATTGGTTACTGACACCTGAAATCAAAAAGCTTGGATATTTTTCAGTCCCAAACCAGAACATAGCTCCCGTATATAAATGTAAATCTTCCTTCAAAAGTATAATTAAGTATAATTATGGGTGTATGTCAAAAATATAGAGGAAGATGGATTTTTACTTATAGGTTGTTATACAAAGTTGGGACAGCAATCAAATTTTTAAACAGTTTTCAAGAATGTATGACCTTAAAAGAAATGTGTGACCCTGATCACTTTCCATATTTGTAATTAACCGGAGACCTAATGGTCTGAACACTTAAGTTTCCACTATCACTAGGACCCTGAATGCTAATTCTGGGGAGTTTAGATGGTTTGGGGCTCCTGTTTTCTATTCATAGACTCCCTTTCTGGGAGACCACCCCCCAACCCTGTACAGCGTACCACCCGTGGCCACCAGCCAAGGGAACACAACAGTAAGATTTGTTCTAAACGTCTGGGCCCCTAAGGGAAAGGGAGGGGTGTTTGTGTGTGCATGTATTATGTTCAGAATATGTACTTGTTCAGTGTGATAGTTGTACGTGGAGAAAACTTTGTCTTTCAAGAGGAAAATCCTTTTGTTCTTTTTGTCCCTATCTACTGCCTCTCTTAAATATTTTTCAACATGTGAATGGCTGGTGGCTGATACAGGGAAAAATTTCCCAGCTATACAGACACTATAAGTCTACCGGTGATGTGCCACTATTTATTCAACAATATAGACTTGGTGGTTTTTAACGCTACGAAAACTAGTACTCTTTATTTTCTTCATGTCAAATTATTTTGCTTCATTTCTTTTTCCATTTTCTTCAAACTCTTTCGTTCTTGTTTTCTTGTCCAAGTCTCCTTTAGAATTTCTCTTCCTGAAAAGTTTCTTCTCTATTTATAATGTTCTCACTATACAACTAAATGTCAGATTACCTATATCAATTTTGCTTGCACTCTTATTACATTTTAACACTTATTTTCTAGTGCTTATGTAGAATATTTGAAGTTTTCTAGAAGAAAACAATAACAATTGTACAATAGATACTTGAGCTTCAAGATCACATTCTGGTGTATTCAGTGTTTCTTATGACGCCTGTAGTTTTTGTATGTAGGAGTATTAAAACATGTAAGAAAATGAAAAGTGATATTGGGCAAAAGAATCAGGTTCATAACTGCAAAAATGTTTTGTTTCAATGTTGGGTGGGTTATGGGGGGGAGCGAGTAAAACATCTGTCAGAAGTAATTTGACTGTAAATTAAAATAGAACTCAAAAGGATGATAAATTTAATTTATATTGTGCTTAACATTATCTGGTGTTTACTGTGCCTTTCAAAACAACTTAGGATCTTTGGAAAACATAATTAGAGAAAAATGTAACTTGGATTAGCATGTGGCTAGATGATTTTTTAAATGAAAATGAAGATGCATTTTATATGAATTATTTTCTTTTCACATGGCTAATCAAGGTTAGTTTTTCATTCTATGAAGAATCTGGAGGTAGGCCGCATGACAGCAGTGTCCTAGTGAGCTAAGAGCTTTGAGTCAGGGTCTGACTCGGGCGTGTGAGTTTGGATCTGGAAAAACAGCGGGTGCAGTGTTTAGGGGAGTGTTCCCGTGGCTGGGCCGCAAGGCCTGAAGAAACTTGCTTAGTGGTTCTGGGCCTCTGAGCCTCATCTATAGAAGGAGGCTATGATGAAGCCTACCCATAGGGCTTCTGGGGCTGAAACGAGCTAATGATGTCGAAGCTGCTAGAACTGTACCTGTGTCAGAGCGAGTGTGCAGCATACGTTATCATCACTGTCATCACTCCAGCATTCTGACTGTGCCTTTAAACTAGTGTGGGATTTTGCCCAAACCTCTAAACCCTCCCCTAGCCGTGGTTTCCCCCGCAGTCTGAAGACTCTAATACTTGACACTCGTTCAGAGAGATGTTTGGGGAATTTATAGACACTTAACATTTATGCATCCTTATATATCGGGTCCAGGAGGAATTACAGACACTTAAACCATTACTGCCTTCTTCCTCAAAAGAATAACAGCTTTGGTAACTGGGTTAGCAGAGGTGTTAGTGGACTTAGGGTTGTAAACAGATACTCATGGCACTGACATCGATGAGTCTATGAGGGAAATTAGAAAGATAAATACATCTGGGATGTAAACTCGGAAAGGCGAGGCTGTTCAAAATGTTGGTGCTATTGAATTGTGATTCTCGGTGTTTGTACATTGCTAATAATGTTAAACCATGAAGCCTGTGAGATCTTGTGTTGCAGCGTGGTTTGGCCCTAGCGTTCTTGCATGCTAACCTAAGGTAGAAGATTAGCAGCCTGTTTGCATGCAGCCGGATGCTGCCCCTGACGTGAAGCATGTTCTGGGAGGTTGACCCAACCTCCTTTGGCTGTGGCCTCATTCACCCCGTCCTGTCTGTGGCCTCATTCACCGTGGTACGTGTATAACTACTTCCATCATTCATTTCACTAACCTGAACGATCATTCTTCAGTTTAGCAATGTGCTGAAAGGCGCGGCACGCGGATTCACCTAAACCTGTGTCTTTGTGATTTCTTTAGATATTAGGTTGAAAAAGCTGGTTGATGAACGGGAATGCTTATTGGAACAGGTAACAATCTTTTTATTACTTTACCGGTTCATGAACAGGGCACCTGAAACCACCTGCCCATCCTTCCTTCTTGCTTACTCAGAAAACCCCTAAGTTAATCATGTCTGAAAGTCTTTATCAAGCCAACTGGTGTTCTTAAGATTGCTATCCAAATAGAACATCAAAGTTAATATTTTCATCCAAAGAGAACATCCTGAGTCATATGAGGTTTAATAAGGATGTCTCAAAGACCCAAAGCCATGGAATTGAATTTGGTACATTTTACTGAATTGCTGCTTAAAATAAATATAAATGTTGATTATTAATAATATTAATGATTAACTGTTGAGAGACAAGAGCATTACTGAGTCATTCCAAATAGCACTTCTCTTGTCCATATGGGTTGTTTGTCCATAAAAGTCAGTTTTGTACTCTTGGTGATCAGCACCCCTCTCTCACAGGTGTTTCTTTGTTACAGCTAAACAAAGTTGTTTTAACCATGTTTATCTTCATTGCTCTCTCCTACCTCAAGAAGTAGCAGGCCAGGTGCAGTGGCTCACACCTGTAATCGTAGCACTTTGGGAGGCCAAGGCGGGCGGATCACTTGAGGTCAGGAGTTCAAGAGCAGTCTGCCAACATGGTGAAACCCCGTCTCTACTAAAAATACAAAAATTAGCCGGGTGTGATGGTGCGCGCCCGTAATCCCAGCTACTGGGGAGGCTGAGGCAGGAGAATCGCTTGAACCCGGGAAGCAGAGGTTGCAGTGAGCCGAGATCGCACCACTGCACTCCAACCTGGGTGACAGAGCAAGACTCCATCTCAAAAACAAAGAAACACTGAACAGTTATCCTATCTGATCTTTTTATATGCAGGATAGTGATTAAATCACTCTACAACCACTTTCCTCTAATTTCTCCTCATAAGCCTAATCAAATGTATTTGCCTTACTTCCTACCATTCTGTTGAAGATTCTCCGAAAATTGGAGAAAGCACTAAATATGGTAGGAAGATTCTCTTGAAGTTCCTGTGATCTTTTGAAACTGCATTCCTGAGTTCTATCCTTACTTCCTTAAAGCAGCATGCACTTTTGGTTTGTTGTTAATCAGGGGTCTCCTGTGCTTGGTGTGTGGGGTAGGAAGGCAGGTGATCACCTGCAACAATTCTTCACAGATTGGAAGTTAAACATGAAAAGCCCCCGGAGACCCCACGAACTAGATGCCAGAAAGTTCTGCAGTCATTGACTGTTAACTGCAATTCCAACTATACGGTCAGCCCTCCATATCCATGGGTTCCATATCCGTGGATTCAACCAACATGGATTGAAATATTCCAAAAAAAAAAAAAAAAAACCCATAAATTCCGCAAAGTTCCAAAAAGCATAGCTTGAATTTGCCCTGCACGGAGTCCTGCACTGAATCCACACAAATGAAGTGAGTTGTAGGCGTTGGGTATTAAAAGGAATCTAGAGGTGATTTAAAGTGTACCGGAGAATGCAGGTAGGTTTCTGCAAATACTGCACCATTTTATATCAGGGACTTGAGCATCCACAGATTTGGTGTCTGAGGGGTCCTGGAACCAATCCCCCCCCCCCCCCGCCCAGATACCAAGGGACAACTGGACATGTTTCTGTCTTGCTTAGAGAGGGGAAAGCTAGCTAGAGACCAACTCCCTGAAAGCTGGCAAACCGCCTCTGAACACACCTGCAGCTGGCCTGGACGCTGAGAAAGCACTCGACTTTTGGGGGACTTAATTACAATATATTGGAGCCCAGAAGGCTCCAAGTGGCCCTTTCTGGTTTCTTAGTAAATAAAGAGAAAGTGAATAGCATGGTGACTTACTGAGTCTTAAACATTGCAGGTATTTCATGTACAGTCTCCTCCTGAGTCCTAGAAGAATTTCACTTTAGAAATGACTTTTCTCTCAGAGTTACAGTGTAATTCATTTTTCATTCATTGTACATTGAATTGTGTTTCTGAGAAGAGTACTGATGGACACAAAGTGCCTTCTGTCATTTGACATGCTGCTTCCTTTCTGATGGGCTCTAACTTCAGCTTTTCGGTCTCATTCAGAGTAGAGAAATTAACAGATTTTACTGGCGGGTGTTTTCAGATTAAGAAACTCAAAGGGCAGCTGGAGGAGAGACAGAAGATTGGCAAACTAGACAATCTTCGATCTGAAGATGATGTCTTGGAAAACGGGACAGACATGCATGTAATGGACCTACAAAGTAAATGTCAATTCTTGTGTAGAAGTAAATGCTTTCACATGTGCTGTTTTAGTATACTTGTGCTGGCAGAGAAAACTGTCACGGCAAAGAATGCCCTCATTCCCTCACATCCCCACAAAAGCCCTTAAAAATAAAAGCACAAGGAGGGGTAGGTAGACAGAACAATGGTGTTTCTCTCTGAGCCTATGAAATAGAACAGGTACCCAAAAACGTGCACCAAGATACCACCACATGTTGTGCCGATGGAAACCACATTTACTTTGCTGGATACAGCAATCTTTCGATCTGTTGATTGTATGAAAAAAAAAAAATGAAAGGCTTTTTTCATGCTAATAAACTAGAAACAGTCTTAAGGGAGATAAAATTATGCCCAGTCTCTCTCCGCCCTTTTCCCTACCCCCTACCATCTCTTTGTCTTCTTCACTCATAGGCACTCTCTTGCCTGAGGTTTCCTGCCCCAAGCACAGGGGCGGAAGGCACTTTCCCTGGGTTCATGGGGAGAGAGTGCCTTCTCCTACTCTCAGCTCTGGGAGGTTGTGGAGGCAGGGCCAGAACTAACAGATTTGTGAGATGATTACAAAGTAAGGGCTTGGTTCCCAGTAACTATTGTTTTAATATTTGAAAAGCCCAAGAGCTTAACAGATTTTCCTTCTCTTTCAACCTTTAGGGGATGCCAACAGACAGATCAGCGACCTCAAATTTAAACTTGCAAAATCTGAGCAAGAGATAACTGCATTAGAACAAAATGTACGTGTAAGCAACAACGGGCAGAACTGATGATTGACTGGAGTTTTACTTGCTAGAAATAGCCCTGAAAGGCTGAGGACCAGAAAAAGCCGAGATTTTTAGAACCAAGAAATGTCCTAAGAGGGATAAGTTAAGACAGCAAGTCTTTCCATCCGTTTCTTACAGAGCAAGCAGGAAGGAAAGAATTCTTAGAATTTAAGTTGTTACAGTAGATACTAATCCTTTATCAACAACAGTTAGTTGTAGAAAATAGCTAATGTGGCTTGGGAGTGTTTTAAAATTTTGTTCTTTAAAATTAATTTAGTTAATTGGCCGAGCGCAGTGGCTCACACCTGTAATCCCAGCACTTTGGGAGGCTGAGATGGGTGGATCACTGAAGGTCGAGAGTTCGAGACCAGCCTGGCCAACATAGTGAAACCCCGTCTCTACTAAAAATACAAAAATTAGCCGGGCATGGTGGCAGGCGCCTGTAATCTCAGCTACTCAGGAGGCTGAAGCAGGAGAATCGCTTGAACCAGGGTGGCAGAGGTTGCAGTGAGCCGAGATCACGCCACTGCACTCCAGCCTGGGCAACAGCGAGACTCTGTCTCAAAAATAAAATAAAATAAATAAATAAATAATGTAGCTAATTAAAAAAACACATCATACTGGGACGTCCCTCTTGCCTGGGCTTTTAGCCTTTCTCTTGCAGCGAGGCCCGCCCTCCCTGGTGTCTAGACATGGGGCACTCCTGCCTCTAGCACCCTGGGCCCTAGGGCAATTTGTGTTCTAGCCAGAAAGAGAGAAAAAAAACAGGACTGTTTCCCCCTCCATTGTGGGTGTACTTGGCTGGAACTTTTTAGAATGTTTATAGAAACAAAAATGAGAACAGCACAGGTAGAGACGATGTGTGCTTTTGATTGCGGCAGAGTGAAGGTGTCCAGCAGGCCTTCGCTGCTGCCGTCTTTCATCTCAGAACCTTGGCTGGGGAATGCCATGCCGAAGCCGCCTCCTTTCACTCCTCGCCCTGTCCTTTCCTCCTCCCACCCCCGCCACCCCAGGAGAGATTAGACTGGAGCTGAGGTCGTGGCGGAACACGTCCCTTACCAGCACCATTCTGCCTGTTCCAACAGAACAGCCCCACGCAGCGGGAGAAGAAGCAGGCAGCAAGGTGCCAGCACTGCAGAAACCACCCTGGTGGACGGGGTCAGAGGAAATGGGTCCCCATCATGTCAGCACAGGGTCGCCCAGAAATAGTAACCAAGAATAGCTTGCTTGGCTCAAACCCACACCATAGTCCAAAATGTTATAAGTATTTACATGGTGTATTCTCCCATTTTATTAAATCACACTCTTTGATCTCAAAGTAAAGAAACTGAAGAAAGAAAACAGGCTTATCAATTTATACATATGGTTTTTTTTCTACCTTTTAGGTAATAAGGTTAGAGAGTCAAGTATCACGTTACAAATCAGCGGCTGAAAATGCAGAAAAAATAGAAGATGAACTTAAGGCAGAAAAACGGAAACTCCAAAGAGAGGTAAATTTCCTAGGCAATTTCTAGGAAGAGAATGGCTGCCAGTATTTCTCTAGTGGGGACGGTACAGAGAGGATTTACTACTGTGACATCTGCCCCTGGGCTGGTCATTGTCAGATCATCCCACACCACTCTGCAGTGCCGGTGTCTTAATAAAGGAAGGCATGGCGCAGCCAGTTAGGGCTTAGGGCTAGACCCTTGCTGGCATCAACTAGTTCATCTGTCAGTTTTGAGCATCTCCTATAGGTCTTGTCCGTAAACGTCAAGAGAATGAGATAAAGGAGTAGCCAGGCCTCTTATGCTCCGAATATTTTTTGTGTCATGCAGAATGAGCCCAGGTGGAGGACCAGGAGCCCATGGGCCTGCTGTGGCCAAGAGCTGGGTGTGGCACCAGGGCCAGGCCACAGCTGTCTCAGGTCACCCTATGGAGAGTGCCCTTGAGAAGCCGAGCTGCTGTTACTCCACCTGCTGGTCACACTCCCAAATTACCATGCTTGCCAATTAAAACACATACTTTACCTTACTGAAGACACTTGGCAAAGTTGTTTGTTCAACAAATATTTACAGCACCCGTTGCATGCCGGGCACGGGTTCAGGTGCTGGAGATGCAGCTGTGACCTTACAGACAGGAGTCTCCGCCTCCATAGAGCCTGTGCTCTGGAAGAGGGAGGTCCATAAAAGTGACCACAGGCAGGAGAGGGGCTGGGGTGCGGAATGGCCCAGGCCAGGGCAGTTCTAGGTAGGTGGCCAAGGAAGACTTTCCTTCTTGTGGCATATAAGGACAGGCCTGAACAGCCCAGGGAGTGAGCCAGGCAGAACTGGGAGAAAGCCTTCCGCGCAAAGGATCAGCACGTGCAGGGGAGCTCGGGGCAAGGCACTGCCTTTGTCAAGGAACAGTCAGAGCGGTGGAGGCCAAGTGAGCAGGGGGTGAGGGGGTGGAGGGAGCAGTGAGAGCACCTCAGCCCGTGAGGCAGGGCCCTGGAGGCCATGGACAGGACTTGGGATCCTCCTGTGCATAAAGTGGGAGCTACTGCAGGGTTTTGAGCAAAGGAGTGGCTTATGTTGATTTATGTTTCAATAGGATCACTCGGGCCGGGCGCGGTGGCTCACGCCTATAATCCCAGCACTTTGGGAGGCCAAGGTGAGCAAATCGCTTGAGCTCAGGAGTTCAAGACCAGTGTGGGCAACATAGTGAAAACCTGTCTTTACATAAAGTGCAAAAAAACTAATTAGCCGGGTGCGGTGGCCCGTGCCTGTAGTCTCAGCTACTTGGGAGGCTGAGGCAGGAGGATTGCTTGAGCCTGGGAGGTGAAAGCTGCTTTGACACATGAGCGTGCCACTGCACTCCAGCATGGGGCGACAGAGTGAGACCGTTTTTCATTAAAAAAAAGGAAAGAATCACTCATTTTATATTTAAACTGTAGGAAAGGGACTGTGGAGGAGAAACCAAAGATGCCATTTCTCTCCTCTTTATTTTATTTATTTATTTATTTTATTTGATTTTATTTTATTTATTTATTTTTTTGAGACGGAGTCTGACTCTTGCCCAGGCTGGAGTGCAATGGCGCCATCTCGGCTCACTGCAACCTCCACCTCCCAGGTTCAAGCCTCCCACCTCAGCCTCTCGAGTAGCCGGAAATACAGGCACCCACCATCATGCCTGGCTAATTTTTGTGTTTTTGTAGAGACGGGGTTTCTCCATGTTGGCCAGGCTGGTCTTGAACTCCTGACCTCAGGTGATCCTCCTGCCTTGGCCTCCCAAAGTGCTGGGATTACAGGCATGAGCCACCATGCCTGGCCCATTTAACCTTCTAGCCTACTTTTGCTATGGTCAGAGAACATGGTCCCTGTTATACCTGGTCTTTGAAATTTGTCAATACTTGCTTAATGGCCTGATACATGATTCACTTTTGTAAATGTCTCCAATGTGGTTAAGAAGAATGTGTAGTCTCTGATTTATGGATGCAAAATTCTGTATACTTCCACTGATCAAACTTGTGAAGTGTGCATTCAGATCTGATTTCTTTTGTCTGCTTAAATTCTCAGTAGCTGATAGAGATTTGTCAAGCTCTTCCAAAAGATGATGGTGGATTTATCTCATTCTCCCTATTTCTCCTATATATGTTGAGGCTATTGATACTAGATGTTTAAAATTCTGATATCTTCTTGATGAGTTAAACCTTTTATCACTTTGTAGTGACCCTTTTGGTCCCTGCTGCTGTTGACCTTGTCGGGTATTCACGTGGCCGCATCAGCTTTCTTTTGGTTAGTGTTTGTCCACTTCTGATTTTTGCATCCCTTGGCTTCCAGTCTTCCGTGTGTTGTTATGCGTTAGATGATCTCCTTCAGATGCACATAGCTAGGTGGCGGTGGCTCTTAGTTGAATCTGGAATCTGTGGATCTTAATAGAGCCCTTAGTCCATTGTTATTGGTATATTTGGACTCGTTTTCACCATCTGACTGTGGATAACCATTTGTTCTGTCTTTTGTGTGTCATTTTTCTCTTGCCAAATTTAAATTTTATATTCAATTTCTATTCTTTTCAGTGATCACACATGGGGTATTTTTATTTAACTTAAAAAAAAATTAAAGTTGAACACTATCTTTACTCCCCTCCTATAAAATAGAAGGACTTTTGAGCACTTTAGCTTCACCCTCCTGCCTGGCATGCACACCCTCACACATATGTGTATATGTGTATATGTATATGTACACATGTACATCCACACATAAATACTTTTGAGCTTCATAAATCCCACTTATCAGATAATACTATTGTTGTGTTGTTGTTGCTGTTGTTTTATATTGCCCATGTTTGTTTGACATAACTACATATTGGCCATTTTATATGTCTGTCCTGCTAGTGTCTCAGACTGTACTAGAATCATTTTCCTCCTCACTGAAGTACATACTGTAGAAATTCTTTTAGAGCAGACTTCTTGGTGGTGAATTCCCTGTTTTTGTTTGTACATGTTTTCGTTTCATCCTTGTTCTTGGACAGTAGTATTCAGGGACATGCAATTCTGTGTGGTGGTCATTTTCCTCAATGATTATAGCGATTATGCCACCATCTGCTGGCTTCCATTGAGCTGTTGAGAAAGTTGTTGTTTTAACGGTCGGTCCTTTGTAGGGACCTTTTTTTTTCTTCTCTAGTTTCTTTCAGGTTCTGTTTGTCTTTGATTTTCTACAGTTTTACTGTTAGATGTAGTTTATTGGAATCTTTCTGCTTGAGATATATAGTGTTTCTTGGATCTGTGAAGTCTTTTTAAAAATTGATTTTGGAAAATATTCAACCATTAACTCCTTAAATAATTCCTCTTTTTTAGTCTCTCCACTTTCCCCTCTGGAACTCTAATCAGAGGATGTTAGAGATTCTCATTGTCTCCACATTTTTTAACCATCTCTCTTTCATGTTTTCTATCTCCTTACCTCTCTCTATTGGATAATGCCTAAAGTTTTTGCAAAGATTTTCCAGTTCACCATTTTTTTTAAAAAGTGTCTTCATTGTTGATAGTTTCTTGCTGCATGTTCATGTATGTCCTCTTTTTAAATTGTATTCTTATTCTTTAAATATTTCATACACAGCTGTTTGGTTTTCTGTATCTGACAACTGAAACATGCTCAGTCTTTGGGGGTCTAATTCTGTCATTTATTGCTTCTGTTGACTCTCACTCAAATGGTTTGTCACCTTAGTGTTTTGTGAGCTTATGCTTGATTTTAATTTGTAGGAATAACTCCAGGCTTAACTTGTGGAAACTTCCTGCAAAAAGGGCTTGCTTCTGCCTCTGCTAGTGAGGTGGGGTCGGGACTTCTGTCCCAGGACCCAAACAAGCTTCCTTGAGTGTTTTGGGTCGAAAGCAGAGCCATAGACCCTGTTCTTGTCACCCCTCCAAAACCACGTTCTCCCAGCTTAGGGCACCCCACTCTGCCCTGCTGCCTGTGGGTCCAGATGATGCCCTGCTAATGTGGCTTCTGCAGCTCGTCTTCTGCCTGACTCTCAGGCTCCATGGCCCTGGCTCCCAGGTGTGGCCGTCTTGGCCTCAGGCATTCCTGCCTTGGACTCTGGCTGCCAGGGCTGTGGGGACCACCTTCGCCATGCAGTCCAGGCTCAGCTCTTGTTGTTTGTGTTTGTTTACCTCATGCCTCACTTACCTTTTGTGAAACCATCAGGATCCCCACTGGGCGTGTGGCTCACGCCTGTAATCCCAGCACTTTGGGAGGCCGAGGTGGGTAGATCACCTGAGGTCAGGAGTTCAAGACCAGCCTGACCAACATGGTGAAACCCCATCTCTAATAAAATACAAAAAATTAGCCAGGTGTGGTGGTGTGCACCTGTAGTCTCAGCTACTCAGGAGGCTGAGACAAGAGAATTGTTTGAACCCAGAAGGCGGAGGTTGCAGTGAGCCAAGATCACACCGTTATACTCTGGCCTGGGTGACAGAGCGAGACTTTGTCTCAAAAAAAAAAACAAACAAAAAAAGAGGCCGAGCGTGGTGGCTCATGCCTGTAATCCCAGCACTTTGGGAGGCCAAGGCGGACAGATCACGAGGTCAGGAGATCGAGACCATCCTGGCCAACATGGCAAAACCCCGTCTCTACTAAAATACAAAAAATTAACTGAGGGTGGTGGCGCACACCTGTAGTCCCGGGAGGCTGAGGCAGGGGAATCGCTTGAACCCGTGAGGCGGAGCTTGCAGTGAGCCGAGATCACGCCACTGCACTCCAGCCTGGGCGACTGAGCGAGATTCCATCTCAAGAAAAAAAAAAGAAAACCATCAGGATCCCCAAGGGTGTTCCCTCTCTGGAGTCCAGTTGTTTCAGAGGAGGAAGGGCATCATGAGGGACCAGGGGCCAAGTTATCATTTTATTTTTCAGTAGGATTGGAATTTCGGTAACACAGAACCCTGTTATGTTTGGAGGAAACAAGTTCCTTAAAGCTCACTGCCTTTCCTCCGTTCCCAGCTCCGCTCTGCATTGGATAAAACAGAAGAGCTCGAGGTGAGCAACGGCCACTTAGTGAAGCGTCTGGAAAAAATGAAAGCAAATCGGAGTGCACTCTTGTCCCAGCAGTAAATTCCAGCTCTGATCAGGCAACTGGTTGGTGACTGGAGAGCATTGTTTCATAGGCTTTTCTCTGTCCTATCTGGGAGCGCTGCTTCTTCCCCTGCCTTCCGAGAGACGAAGACCGTGGCGAGCTTGGCGCTTAGGGGCTCCCGTGCCATGGCTCACCCCAGGGAGCCCCAGCAGCCACCAGGTGCCTCTGTCTGCAGACCCCTGGCCCGGGCTGGCGCCGACGCTCAGAACCTGCAGGTACTTCATAAGCACACAGGGGCCTCGAGGGAGCTCTGTGTCTGACCGCACAGCAGCCTCTGAATGCCGCTGGAAGTGATGATCAAAGTAAAGATTCAGTTGGGACTTGAGTTTTTTTTTTTTTTCATGTGTCTTGCTGAAGATTAAGGGGAAATGTTACAGTGTTGGGACTTCCTTTCATGGCAGAATCTACAATTTGAGCGACTTCAGTAGTATCTCTTAGTCTACGCTTTTCATACACAAAACACTGTGGAACCACAAGCCATTACCAAGCAAAACTCTTTCACTGGAAACAAGGGGGCAGTCTAGAAGTAAAAGTGACCTTAAGAAGACTCTTTACAGGCAACAAATGAAGCTTTTCTAAGGGATTTTTGCATCAGTTCAGTCATAAGAATACTTTTTTCCAGGGTAATTAGGCAATAGCTTCACTGAAAATGACAGCTTTTCATTGCATTATTTAATCCTTATATTTGGAATTGAAGTCGTTAACTTCTTTTAAAGAATGTACTATTAGAAAAATTAAAAATGAAATGTTGAGAGACTTCAGCAATGTGGTTCTAATTTTTTTCCACTGAGAAAGAAGATCTTTAATTTCATATTAATGGTTCTGTATATTTTGGGTCATCTTTTTATTTTTTAAGAATATCAAGTCAATTCATTTTTCTTTCCCTATTTAAAAAAAAAGGTGTTTTCACAGAATGAGTGCACTTAAAAAGTGAAGTGAAGGAGGAGGTAACAGTAGAGACGATGGCAATATCATCAAGGACAAAAGTAAAAACGTTTAGCTACCTGCTGATTTTTAGTGACTGTTCATATATGTTGTATTTCAAGTATGGCTGGTGAAGCCAGTCAGCTTTTCGGGACGTTAGCAAGTGGAAACTGAGTCAGTATCATCCAAAACCATATCTAGTCTTAACACATGGAGAATGCTGGAGTGAGGGTTGTGAGTTCAGGGTATATAATCAAGAAAACACTCCCAGCATAATGCTAGGGGTCACCAGTGTCCATCCCCCAGAACTGTATGGATCTAGGATATACACAGCTGCGTTGCATTAAGAAAGAGATGAAATCTCTATTAAAATACACAAGATTTTTGTATCTCCTTGTGCAGAGGATATTTGCCACTGCCCATTGGGAAGCAGACAAGTTATAGGGGGCTGGGGGCCAACACTGGCAAGTAGGAAACCACGGGTCGGACAGGTGAGCAAAATGTGCTGGCAGGTGGGCACCACTGGGAGACCCACACTGCACACCCGGGCACCGTATGAACAGGAAAGAGGAAGGAAGCTGGACGAAGCCCCTCAGGGACCCTGTGCTGACCATGCTGGGCCCACCGGCAAAAGGGAGATATTCAGTTCCTTGTCTCATCCTTAAGGTTTCTTCCACAACATCTGAATACAAGCATGTTTAACTGGGAAAATGTCTATGTCATGCGTGAATAACACCAGCAGCAAACACTCACACATCACGCAGACACGGCCGGCAGCATGCTGACGCTTTTAGGTATTTTTCACTCATGCAATTTTCACATATTTTCACTCATTTCATTTGCACGGAAATTCTATGAGGTAGATGCTGTTATCAAATCCACATTACAGATGAGGGACCCAGGGTCCAGGAAGGTGAACTGGCAGAAGTCTCCCAGCTGGTAGAACAGGGCTGCAAGGCATCGATTCCCAGGTGTCTCACAGCCCTGAGAAGATGGCGTTTTCCCTATCAGTGGCTCTGAGGAAGTCAAGCCTTCAGTCTCTACCTCTCCCACCAATTCTTTTGGAAACAGCAAACCAATGTTACACACACTTCCTAATCCAGAGGAAGCTAGAACACGATTTTTAAATTTATTTAGTAAAATAAAACTTTTTTTGCAGATGTAACGAATGGAAATTGGTTGCTGGCTTCTTTCATCCCTGCAACCTAGCGTTTCTCAGCCTCAGCACGACGGTCGTCTGGAGCTGGGTCGTTCTTGGTGGCTGGGGTGGCTGTCCCCTGCACCGTGGGATGTTGAGCAGCAACACTGAACTCTACCAACTCATTGCCAGTAGACCCCACTCCCGGTCATGACACACAAAAACATCACCAGACATTGCCAAATGTCCACTGCGGGGGTGAGGGGCGTGTAAAAGCGCCTCCCATTGAGAACCACTGCTGTAACCTGAATTAGAAGATTTGGAAAAGAAATGGTTGAAAACCCAGACCAGGATCCCTGTTGTATGTTTCCTATGAATGATTTTCATTTTTAGAAATGAAATAACATCTAGGACATAGAGCAAAACACTCAAAACACATCATAAATGGATAACATAAATAGATAAAAATCCAATGCAGTTCAGAATTACAATCAAATGTTATTTTCTCTTGTGTTTTAGAATTCCTCATTTTCATAGTCAAAATATCAACTAAAGCATCAAAAGTTCCTGTTGATATTTTTGAAAATGTGTTACTACTTAGCAAATTTGGATTTCTGGTTTGTACAGTGCTGAGCCCTTGAGGAATACCAGAAGAATGCACACCTTAAGGAGGCTGTGGTTTTCAGGGAGAGAACAGCCATGCATGAGGATGGCCATAGCAGAAGGCGGAGGGGTGGGGAAGTGCCAGCTGTTAGCTATGTGGAGCCAGCCAGTTGCAAATTTTCAAACCGGCAGAAGCATCTGTTGTGTTTCACTAAATGACCCGAGCCAGATGTGGCCCACGTGTTCCCGAGCCTGCCTGAGTATCTGAAGGGGATAGAGCTGATGTCCACTGACCTGCCTGGCTCCCTGCACCTTCAGCCACATTTCGGAAGCACTTGCTACCCAGTGTTAAGGATGTGCGGAGGCTTAGAGGATTCCAGCTCTGTGGTCAGGGCCTTTTGCCCTTGTGTCCAGGAGCCTCCAGGGCTAGCTCCCATCACTCAAGGACTGGACAGTTGTCCCTGAACCCCAGCCCTGTACTTGCTGCCATGCCCCTCGATGCTGCTGCCTAACCACTTGCTAGTGTGTATCTCCATGTATGGCCAGCCCCCCACCCCTGCCAGTTCCCCCTTGCTTGCTTCTTTCCCCTCTCTGCCAGAATAGCTCTGATCACCACTTGTGGATGGCTCCTACCTGGTCCCCAGGTGCACTAAATGCTAAGCAGGTCCTGAGCTCCACTGGCCCTGAGTGAAGTTGCACTGTCTGTGGCTGGATTTGTCTCTTCCAATTGTCCATCCTCTTGGGTGGCATAGAAACAAGAACATCAGAGACTTGGGAAGAGAACTCTGAGCTAGAAATATCTGTTGGCTGGGTGCAGTGGCTCATCCCTGTAATCCCAGCACTTCGGGAGGCCAAGGCGGCTGGATCACGAGGTCAGGAGATTGAGACCATCCTGGCTAACACGGTGAAACCCCGTCTCTACTAAAAATAGAAAAACAAACTTAGCCGGGAGTGGTGGCAGGCGCCTGTAGTCCCAGCTACTCGGGAGGCTGAGGCAGAGAATGGCATGAACCTGGGAGGCAGAGCTTGCAGTGAACCGAGATCACACCACTGCACTCCAGCCTGGGCAACAGAGCGATACTCCATCTCAAAAAAAAGAAAGAAAATATTTGAAGTTTATGTTAATACTTCCTAAATCCCAGGGGGCTGCTGTATTAGTCTGTTTTCACACTGCTGATAAAGACATACCTGAGACTGGGCAATTTACAAAAGAAAGAGGTTTATTGGAAGGTGAAAGGCATGTTTCACATGGTGGCAGACAAGAGAGCTTGTGCAGGGAAACTCCCTTTTTTTTCTTTTATACTTTAAGTTTTAGGGTACATGTGCACAATGTGCTGGTTAGTTACATATGTATACATGTGCCATGTTGGTGTGCTGCACCCATTAACTCATCATTTAACATTAGGTATATCTCCTAATGCTATCCCTCCCCCCTCCCCCGACCCCACAACAGGCCCCAGTGTGTGATGTTCCCCTTCCTGTGTCCATGTGTTCTCATTGCTCAATTCCCACTTATCAGTGAGAACATGCGGTGTTTGGTTTTTTGTCCTTATGATAGTTTGCTGAGAATCATGGTTTCCAGCTTCATCCATGTCCCTACAAAGGGCATGAACTCTCATTTTTTATGGTTGCATAGTATTCCATGGTGTATACGTGCCACATTTTCTTAATCCAGTCTATCATTGTTGGACATTTGGCTTGGTTCCAAGTCTTTGCTATTGTGAATAGTGCCGCAATAAATATACGTGTGCATGTGTCTTTATAGCAGCATGATTTATAATCCTTTGGGTATATACCCAGTAATGGGATGGCTGGGTCAAATGGTATTTCTAGTTCTAGATCCCTGAGGAATCGCCACACTGACTTCCACAATGGTTGAACTAGTTTACAGTCCCACCAACAGTGTAAAAGTGTTCCTATTTCTCCACATCCTCTCCAGCACCTGTTGTTTCCTGACTTTTTAATGATCGCCATTCTAACTGGTGTGAGATGGTACCTCATTGTGGTTTTGATTTGCATTTCTCTGATGGCCAGTGATGATGAGCATTTTTTCATGTGCCTTTTGGCTGCATAAATGTCTTCTTTTGAGAAGTGTCTGTTCATATCCTTTGCCCACTTTTTGATGGGGTTGTTTGATTTTTTTCCTGTAAATTTGTTTGAGTTCATTGTAGATTCTGGATATTAGCCCTTTGTCAGATGAGTAGATTGCAAAAATTTTCTCCCATTCTGTAGGTTGCCTGTTCACTCTGATGGTAGTTTCTTTTGCTGTGCAGAAGCTCTTTAGTTTAATTAGATCCCATTTGTCAATTTTTGCTTTTGTTGCCATTGCTTTTGGTGTTTTAGACATGAAGTCCTTGCCCATGCCTATGTCCTGAATGGTATTGCCTAGGTTTTCTTCTAGGGTTTTTATGGTTTTAGGTCTAACATTTAAGTCTTTAATCCATCTTGAATTAATTTTTGTATAAGAAACTCCCGTTTTTAAAACCATCAGATCTCGTGAGACTCATTCACTATCATGAGAACAGCGCAGGAAAGACCAGCCCCTATAATTCAATCACCTCCCACTGGGTTCCTCTCACAACATGTGGGAACTGTGGGAGTTACAGTTCAAGATGAGATTTTGGTGGGGACATAGCCAAACCATATCAGCTGCTATACTGGATTTAGTTGTAGGAGGCAAGAATAATGGTGGAGGAGGCTTCTTTCTGTTTGTGTTTAGCCTTCTGGACCCACCACCACCACCACCACCACCACCACAGGCACTCAGGGGTCCCACCGAGTCTGCCTTCTGAAGACAGCTGATACTGTGATCTTGAACAAGTTGTACCCCACAGCTAATTGAGATGTGCTGAGTTTTTCCCCTGCTTGAGTTGCTTTCATTTAAATTTCCCCAACCACCAGCCTGCTGCCCCAGGGAAAAGCCACTCAGCTTCACCACTCTGGCCTGCTTGGACTTTCTTCCTTGGATTTTCCTAGGCTGCCTTAGCCACACTGGAATTTTGTAGCAACTAAGAGCTGTAGTTTTTCACCCACCATGGTTTTGTTAAATGTGGTTTTAAGGTAATGTGGCTTAATATTTCCATATCAAAAAATTTAAATCCACTCTCTTTTAAAAATCTAGGTCTAACTCCTAAATCTGGGTCTAGATGCCATAAAAGAACAAAACAATGATGGTTTCCTCTCTCGTGGACTATATGGGCAGCCTGTGGGGTAAAGAGAGAAGCTGTCTGTTGCCCTAAGTACCACAATTTAGCACAGGCAAGATTTCACATGGGAGAATGCAAAGGTAAATACATTCATATTACAGCAGGAAGGGCAAGTTTGAAAACAAAATTTGTGAGAAACCCTGACTTAAATCTGCTAAATCTTATCTCAGAAAAGGCAGTTGCCTCACTCAACATGAACACCTGAAGCAGCTGAGTCAGGGGAAGATACAACTTCAGAACAGGTTCCTAATACCCAGGAATCTCGTTGTGTTAGAAGCAGATGTCTTGTCTTTACTGTGATTTTTAAAATATATTATTTTTGTTCTTATCCTAAATACCTCTGCGTGTGTCTGTTTCCATGATTTTATCAAGAGTGACTTTTCAGATTTCCTGCAAGTTGGCCTCTCTAGAGTTTATTAGAATAACTCTCTAAATATTGATCAAGTACTTACTCAAGCACTAGGGGTTCAACAGTTCTGTTCCAGTGGGGAATGCAGACAATAAACCTGAACGTGAGTGAGTAAGATTTTGGATAATGAAAGGTACTATGAAAAAAGTTGAAAGCAGGTAGTGGGATAGAGAGCGAGCTAAGGCACATGTGGTCAGGAGTGTGTACGTTTGGGGAAGTTGCTGCTTTAGCTGTCTGGTTAGGAAAGGCTTCACAGAGTAACATTTAAGCTAAAACCTGAGGATGAAAAAGTCCTGGCTATTTGAATGTCTAGAGCAGCACTGTCCAATAGAAACATAATATGAGCCATATATGTAATTTTAAATTTTCTAATACTTATATTTAAAAAAAATAAACAGATGAAATTCATTTTAACAATACACTGTATTTAACCCAATATATCTAAATTATCATTTTGCCATGTAATACACATTTTAAAATTGTTAATATTTTATGTTTTTTAATAGCAAATTTTCAAATCAGTATATATTTTGTATTTACAGCATATTTCAATTCAGGCAAAGTTTTCATGATAAATACTTGATCTGTGTTACTATTTCATAAAATTAAATAGAACACCAAAAAAATCATTTTTCTTTTTTTTCTTTTCTTTCTTTTTTTTTTTTTTTTTTTTTTTTGAGACAGAGTCTTGCTCTGTTGCCAGGCTGGAGTGCAATGGCATGATCTTGGCTCACTGCAACCTCTGCCTCCTGGGTGGTGGGAAAAGTTGAGGCAGGGCTTGCATGTCTGACATAATGTAAAAGAGTCTTGGAACACGTCCTGGGTCCAAGGTCTAAAACCCCTCATGGCCTTTGGAACACCAAGCTCTGTGCTAAAGAGTGGAAGGCTGCCCTGCCGTACCATAATCTAAGCCCAGGGCATAAAACCCCTCGTGGCTTGGATGGAATCCAGGACTCAGGGCAGAAAACCCCTCGTGGCTTGGATGGAATCCAGGGCTCAGGGCATAAAACCCCTCGTGGCCTCTGGAATGTGTCTAGACTTGCTGGCTTCTTGCTTCTAGCACTCCCAGGCTCATGGATTGATTGTATCTTAGACTAGAAGAACATGTTCCCCATGATCTCAAGTAGCAGAACATGTTCTATATGCTTCAAAGGGAATGCTAAACTGTCACAGCTATAGATCATATGCTTGATGCACCGCTACCTTTCAACCCCCACATCCTCACCACCTGTTTCTTTGTTTGATCACCAATAAGTAGTGTGGGCTTCCAGAGCTCGGGGTCTTCACAGCCTCCATACTAGCGTTGGCCCCCTGGACCCACTTTATGCACTCCTAACTTGTCTCATTCCTTTGACACTGCCAGACTTTGTAGCCCCCACAGCCTGGTGTTGGGTCTGGCCACCCCAACACCTGGGTTCAAGCAATTCTCCTGCCACAGCTTTCCAAGTAGCTGGGACTACAGGCATGTGCCACCACGCCCAGCTAATTTTTGTATGTTTAGTAGAGACAGGGTTTCCCCATGTTGGCCAGATGGTCTCGATCTCTTGACCTCATGATCCGCCTGCCTTGGTCTCCCAAAGTGCTGGGATTACAGGCATGAGCCAACGTGCCCAGCCCATTTTTCTTTGATAATTACACCCATGTTGATAAAACTGGTTTATGTTTTTCAGAAGAATTGTTTGACTTTAAAGCAAAAGCAAATGTTTCAAAACTACATCCAAATTAAGTAAATCCATCGACTCTTGTGTTGATTCAGGATTATTAACATCAAGTTCAAAGAGATATCGCATAAATTGAAAAGCAACTCTAAATTTATCAATGTCAACAAAGTATTCTTCAAATTTTTCTCGTAGTTTTTGGAACTAATTATATACCTCTGTTGATTATACTTAAAATGATACACATATTGATGCATGTGTTAAAATCATTATTATTGATGTGTAATTTGAAAATTTCCATTTCAACATAAATCCTTATACCTGCTTAGATCGATTACATATAAGTGTCTTCTTGGCGCTTCATATTTAGCTCATTTATACGTAATATAATATTAGTGAAAAAACACTAATCACATTGCCAATTTCTTTAATTGTTGAATATTTCACAAGTTTCTTTTCATTTCAAGAAAATTTTGAATTGAAGTTAACAGAAAGCAAATCTTTGTAAAACTCATGACTTAACCAATGAGCACTGGCAAAGAGTGCAAGTTCATTAAATTCATTGTCTTCTATTTCCACAATATATTTTTTTTAAGAGACAGATCCTCTCTCTATTGCCCAGGATGAAGCGCAGTGGCAAAATCACGGCTCACTGCAGCCTCGACCTCTGGGGCTCAGGTGATCCTCCCCCCTCAGCCTCCAGAGTAGCTGGGACTACAGGCATGTGCCACCATACCTGGCTAATTTTTTTGTTTTACTTTTTGTAGAGATGGGGTCTCGCTATGTTGCCTAGGCTGGTCTTGAACTCCTGGACTCAAGCAATCCTCCCACCTCAGCCTCCCAAAGTGCTGGGATTACAGATGTGAGCCACCACACCCAACTATTTGAACAATTTCATAAACTGGTGATTCATAGCATTTGTCTGTGTATAGTGAATGATTTTAACAACCATCTCCATGACTCTTTATAGAGACTGCTTTAGAAAACTAAGCACAAATATTTTCAATAGGTACCATACAGTGAAATGGAGCAATAAAGGAAACATCAGTCTCTCGTTTTAAAATGCCAGAAAATTTGTATTTTTGACCTAACATATCTGGAGCATCATGATAGAAACTAATGTTTTCATATCTCATTTCATATCTAGCTGAAGTTCTTCTCTGACAGATGTAAAGATTTTTAAATATGCATATCACAAGTTCAATTTTTTAGGTTGAAAAATTTACATTTCTTTGTAAGTTTGGAAATCCCTTTAAACAGAATGTACCCAAAGTATTAATTGGATTATCTTTCTTACATTAAATGACTCATCTGAAACTAAAGAAATAATTTTGAGTCAATTGATCTTTGGTATCGTTAAAAAGTTCTTGTATTATACAGGCAATTGTATGGTGGCTTAACTAGAGATTCTTTACATGAAATGTCTTTTAGTTTTCCCCTCATAACTTTCTAACAAAATGTCCCTAACTGAAATAATTTTTATTATATCTCTATCTAAAACGATTTTGTCTTTTGTGCAAGGATCCAAGCCATTTCATTGTTGGCCAAAATTACAGACTCCGATCCTATAAAACATCACTTAAAAATTTGTGGGGAGGGGGTGCCAGGTGCAGTGGCTCATGCCTGTAATCCCAGCAGTTAGGAAGGCTGAGGTGGGAAGATGACTTGAGCCCAGGATTTGAGACCAGCCTGAGCAGCATAATGATACCTCATCTCTACAAAAAATAAACAAAAAGTAGCCACGTGTGGTGGCACATGCGTGTAGTTCCAGTACCAGGGAGGCTGAGGTGAGAGGTTCACCTGAGTCCAGAGGTCGAGGGTGCAGTGAGCCAAAATGATGCCACTACACTCCAGTCTGGGCAACAGAGTGAGTCCCTGTCTCAAAAAAAAAAATTGTTTTAAGTTTTTGGACATTTAATTATAAATTCAGGTTACTAATTGTGTCAATTCGATTTGAACTATTGAGAAGAAACTTTTTACCAAATTCATTGTGTAACATGTATTGTTGTGTGACAAATTAACCCAAAACTTAGCCTCTTAAACAACAAATATTTATTATCTCACACAGATTCTGTGGATCAGGAGTCTGGAAGTGGTTTAGCTGGGTATTTCTGGCTCAGGGTCTCTAATCAATAAAGCTGTCAGCCAGGGAAATAGTCATGGGACGGTTCACTGGGAGTGGAGAATCTGGTCCAGGCTCTTTTGTATCGTTATTGCCAAGCCTCCTCATTGGCTGGAGATCTGAGTTCCACACCACAGGGACCATGGACCTCTCCATAGGCTGCTCATGACCTGGCAGCAGAGAGAGAGAGAGAGAGAGAGAGGAGAGAGGAGAGAGAAAGAGAGAGAAAGAATAGGAAAAAGAGAGACAGCATGCGTGAGAGAGGGAGAACCCAAGGTGGAAACCAGTCTTTTTAAACTTAACCTTGGAAGTAACAGCTCATTACTTCGGATATTCAAGGGGAGAGAAATTAGCTCCATTTCTTAAGGAGAAGAGTATGAAACAAATTTCGGACATGCTTTTTAAGCCACCACACTATTTGCTGAAAATGTCTCGTCTCTTAATATTGTATCTTAATATTATCCTTGAACATTTTTTATATCACAAACCAACTACGTTTTCATTTTGTTCTTCCCAGAAAACTACAATTGCTATTCATTGTGGAATTTGTAACGTACCTTCTCCCAGGCTCTTTTTTCTTTATTGTTCCAGTCAGTGTTTGCTTCTATATCTCTACTTGATTCTACATCAGTAGCATGTCTTTGTTTTAAAGCTATAAGATTATCCAGAGTTATTTTTGAACTAGTAAAATAATTTAATTATGGTCAAAATAAACCTAAGTATTCCAATTTCAATACCACATATAATTTAATGTGTTTTACTATAACTTGTGCTGTCTGCATATAATATTCAAATAAACACATTGTGATGTTATATTGGTACACAGAAAAAAAATCTGCACTGAATCAATCCTTTGACACCAAATAGATGTGTTTATGTATAATAATAGGAATGACAGACATGCCTGACTCACACACTACAATATACAGTAAAGTCGTACATGATGCAGCAGTGAAAGTGAAAGTGAGTGTAGTCCCACCAAAACAATAAAGTCAAAGAGGAGGGCCAAAGAGTTCTGTTTAGGCCACATCAAGTTTGAGAAGCTTATGAAACATTAAAATGGCTGTGCCATGAAGCAGTAGGCACTACCGTGACCACCCTATCTAAAACTGCCAATCCGGCCGGGTATGATGGTTCATGCCTGTAATGGCATGGTGGCGCTCACCTGTAATTCCAGCTACTTGGGAGGCTGAGGCACAAGGGTCACTTGAACCCAGGAGGCAGAGGTTGCAGTGAACCAAGATTGCACCACCTCACTCCAGCCTGGGCAATGAAGTGAGACTCTGTCTCAATAAAATAAAATAAAATTCCAATCCTTCAACAATTCCTGTCCCTTTTCTTGATGCGTTTTTCTCACCTTAGCACTGTCTAACATACAATAAATTTCCCTTTACTGCCTGTCGTCCCCTGCTGGAACGGAAGCTGCATGGTCGATGGTAGGGAACTGAGTGTGGAACTCAGGGAATAGAACCAGGTTGGAAATGTAGATCAGGAGTCGTCAGCAAAGATGCAACTTTCAAATCTTGAGACTAGACTTTCTTAGGGGGAGGGTGTAACTAAGTAGAGGGCACAGGAAGCACCTAGAACAATCTAAAAGGGATTAGATAGAGGAGGAGAGGCCAGGAAAGGGCACTGAGGATGATGGCAAAGGGTTACGTACTAAGAGATGCAAAAGGCAATACAGAGTGTAAAAATACAAAGCCAGTGCAGCTGACGAAGCCAAGGTTTCTGACATAAACTGAACTGCGTGCCTCCCTCCCACCTGCCCCCACCAGCATGCTCCTCTTCCCCAGATCCTCGGTAATACAAGCGCACCTTCATCTATGCCACCAGCCTGCTCAGAAGCCTCAGTGTTCTGTTGGCCCTTTCCTCTCCCTCATCCCCCCTCCACTCTCATCCTATCAATTCCACTTCAGATCTCCCATGTCTATCCTTTTCCCATTACCATCTCCAATGCCCCTGGACCGGGCCATCATCATTAGCAACCTGTCCTCCCTGGTCTTCACAGTTTCAGTCTTCTTCACAGTTCCCATGAAACTCAACTTGTAAAAAACCTGATTATGTCACTACCCCCTCTCCAACTATAATCATTTTTGTTCTTTGCAATAACTCATTGAAGCGGGTACTCTTATACCTCCATTTTATAAAAGAGGAAACTAAAAAAATTAGCTGGGCATGGTGGCACACACTACTTGGGAGGCTGAGGCAGGAGGATGGCTTGAGCCCAGGGGTTAGAGGTTACAGCAAGCAATGATTGCCACTGCACTCCAGACTGGGTGACAGTCTCAAAAAAAAAAAAAAGATGATGATGATAAAGAAAGAAAAGAAATAAAGGGGGCACAATGGAGGGTCCTACAGTAATATTATTTTGGCCCTGGTCGTAACCACTCTACTGCACTGTGGGGTCAGGAGCCATGTCTCTCTTGCTCAGCACTGTGGCTCAGTGCTTACAACACTGCCTGGTACACGATGCTCAGGAGGAGATAGCTGGTGGTTTGTCTTCGTTGTCATGACAACTAATATTACTGTCAGTCATGTGTTTCCCAACATGTTTTATCATGAACCACTAATTTCTTGGAATGTTAGGAGGGGTTCTAAGTAAATAGCTCTATAAACAAATAGCCTTTGGTAACAGTTAAACAGGTGATGAGTTTACTCATTGAGAAGCATCTTTCATTGGGATTCCTTAACAGGGAGACAGATTAGGTAACATTTCACAAACTTTGAACATGGAACCCGTTTCTTCACAGAGCCTTCTGGGATCAGGGCTCTGCAGAACACATTAGGAAATGCACTTCTAGCCTCCAAGTCAGGCACAAGCATTTACGTTCCTAGCCTGAGTTCCTATTCCCAAGCCTGCCTCCAGGGGACCCCCCACTATCCCTCCCTGCAATGTTGTTCAGAGTCCAGAGAGCAAAATTCCATTCTCCTCTCACTACAGAAAGCCCTGGAAGTTGCAGATGTGGGCATGTGAGGCACATGTCTGCTTAAGAGGATGAACCCAGGAGGGTCTTCAGCTGTTCTTCAGGTGTGGCCACTATGTTTCAAGACGACCAGCAAAACTACAGCTTCATTCACTGAACCACTCATGCCTTACCCTCTTCATCAAGGTTTCTTTGTTCCACCATTTTTCCTACTTTTAGAGCCCTATGTTCTTCTCTCTCTGGAGCTGGTTTATCCAAATATATGAAGGTAGAAGCAGAAGGGTTGATTCGCAAACTTTCATAAATGAGAATAATATATTTGTTATGTTATTGATTTGGTTGGTCATAGCCTTCAGTATGTTTTTGACCAAACTAATATGTTTATGGGGGTTGGGGACAGGGTAAAGAACAGGAAGAGTTTTGATGGTCTGCTATCTGCTGAAGTCCAGCCTTACTTATCAATATAGATGGGAAACTATAGATCCTGAAAAGATTTCATAAAGACAAAGCAGACAGAAATAGAAGGGTATTTCTGCAATATTGTTAAAAATACTATCTCAAACAGTTAACATCACATTTGGTAGAAAAACAGCAAATTGACACATTTACATTTAAATCCAGAAGAAAAAAGATGCCTTGAAGCCCTAAACTTTAGCACTGTTGTAAAGTTTCAGACAGCACAGCAAAACACAAAATAGTAATAAAATATTGGAAAACGGGCAACATAAGTATTGTACTCAATTGCAAAACTACAGATGATGTAATGAGAATTCCTTAAAATACTAGGATATGTGATCAATATTCAGAAATGAATAACTTTCCTATATATCAAAACTTACCAGTTAGATTTAGAATATCTAACTAAAGATTAGTTCATTAGGATCTCATAATCACAAACAAAAACCACCCAAAAGACTGGGTACGGTGGCTCATGCCTGTAATCCCAGCACTTTGGAAGGCTGAGGCAGGCAGATCACGAGGTCAGGAGATGGAGACCATCCTGGCTAACACAGTGAAACCCCATTTCTACTAAAAATACAAAAAATTAGCCGGGCGTGGTGGTGGGCACCTGTAGTCCCAGCTACTTGGGAGGCTGAACCTGGGAGGCGGAGCTTGCAGTGAGCCGAGATTGTGCCACTGCACTCCAGCCTGGGGGACAGAGTAAGACTCTGTCTCAAAAAAAAAAAAAAAAACCCCACCCAAAAAAAGCCTCCCACACAAATTGAAGCAATAATAATAATCCTAAGAAATAGAAGAACCTACATTAGGAAATCTATACATTCTGCTGAGATACAAGACACGAAAAACTGTAGAAAGATGTATGGTAAGAATAAATATCATAAAGATATAACTTTCACGTTTATAGATTTAATACATTTCTTATTTTTATTTTATTTTATTTTATTTTTTTGAGATGAGTCTCGCTCTGTCGCCCAGGCAGGCTGGAGTGCAGTGGTGCGATCTCGGCTTACTGCAAGTTCCACCTCCTGGGTTCACGTCATTCTCCTGCCTCAGCCTCCTGAGTAGCTGGGACTACAGGTGCCCGCCACCACGCCCGGCTAATTTTTTGTATTTTTAGTAGAGACGGGGTTTCACCGTGTTAGCCAGGATGGTCTTGATCTTTTGACCTCATGATCCACCTGCCTTGGCCTCCCAAAGTGCTGGGATTACAGGCGTGAGCCACTGCACCCCGCCAGATTTAATACATTTCTTATGAGAACCCCTTTGAGATTTTTGGGGAGGTAATCTCACAAAATTATTATTTTTTTTTCTTTCTTTTTTTTAAGAAAAGAAAGATCTCACTCGCTCAGGCTGGAGTGCAGTGGCATGTACTGCACTACACGGAGCTCACTGCAGCCTCAAACTCCTGGCCTCAAGCAGCCCTCCTGTCTCATCCTCCAAAAGTGTTGGGATTACAGTGAGCCACCATGCCTGGCCAACAACAAAATTATTCTAATATTCACTTGGAAGTTTTAAAAAAACCAACATTGCAACTAGACTAGATGATTTTGATAAAACAACAGTTGAGGGGGCCTCTGCCAGGTATTTTCAGTGTTACAAAGGTGCAAGGATAGGCCCCTGCAATGGGGCGACCCAGCCTTGCTCAAAAGGGCCCAGCTACTCTGCTCTGCCTTATTTTCTGCATTCCCTGAGGATTCCCAGGGTGTGGCTTCCATGCTATTGAGACTGCTCTACAAACACGCCGCCCTTTTCTGCATCCTGTCTATTCCACACGTGTTAGCCCCCACTAAGTTGTGTGGTATCAGTTATACTGTACGTTCTTCAAGAACTGCTGTAAGCTTTTCATTCCATGGCCTGCCTAATGCAGAGCAAGACCTCAGTAGGTGTTTGCGGAATAAAAAATTTTAACGGCTCCTGAATAGAGAGGTTAAAAATGTAGAAAGGCATCACAGTCCATGTGGGAGAGTAGCTCCATGGTTTCTCTCTATAGATAGCTCCCCGAAAACACCCACAGTGAGGCTCTGTGAGAAACGGGATTATAGGAGATTTCTATTTTCTTTTTCACCCTTTCCTGCATTTTCTACATTAAACACATGTGACTTTAATAACATTAAATATTTCAAAGTTATAAGCAAAAAAAAGTGTAAAAAATCAAATCATAAAAGGCACAAATCAAAGTTATTGTGTGGCTGGGCATGGTGGCTTACGCTTGTAATCCCAGCACTTTGGGAGGCCAAAGCGGGCAGATCACTTGAGGTCAGGAGTTCGAGACTAGCCTGGCCAACATGGCAAAACCCCATCTCTAAAAAATGGTAGCTGGGTGCGGTAGTGCAAAACTGTAATCCCAGCTACTCGGGAGGCTGAGGCAGGAGAATGGCTTGAACCCAGGAGACGGAGGTTGCAGTGAGCCGAGATCGTGCCACTGCACTCCAGCCTGGGTGACAGAGTGAGACCATGTCTAAAAACAAAAACAAAAACAACAGAAAATACTATTGTACGAATATGTTTATTCTGAACTTGAGCTGGAGTAAGCATCTCTAATATCACTGAAAATAAATGACAAAGAGACGGATGGATTTCTTTTTTTTTTTTTTTTGAGACGGAGTCTCGCTCTGTCGCCCAGGCTGGAGTGCAGTGGCACGGTCTCGGCTCACTGCAAGCTCCGCCTCCCGAGTTCACGCCATTCTCCTGCCTCAGCCTCCCGAGTAGCTGGGATTACAGGCGCCCGCCACCACGCCCGGCTAATTTTTTGTATTTTTTAGTAGAGACGGGGTTTCACCATGTTAGCCAGGATGCTCTCAATCTCCTGACCTCGTGACCCACCCGCCTCAGCCTCCCAAAGTGCTGGGATTACAGGCGTGAGCCACCCCGCCCAGCCAAGAGACTGATGGATTTCATAAAAATGTAAAATTTCACATCAAAACAATATAATCCCCAAATCAATTACGTAAGTCCAAACGTGGCAGAGCTGCCTGGCAGAAAAGGCAGAACCACTAGCTCCATACACAGACACAGGAAACTCTGACCAAGAAGAGCAAGGGTCCCATGCCCTAGGGCCAATGGGGAGTATCTGGAGACAGTGTCAAAAAAAACTCAAAGAGGCCAGGCGCGGTGGCTCAAGCCAGTAATCCCAGCACTTTGGGAGGCCGAAGCGGGTGGATCACTTGAGGTCAGGAGTTCGAGACCAGCCTGGCCAACATGGTGGAACCCCCATCTCCACTAAAAATACAAAAATTAGCTGAGCGTGGTGGCAGGCACCTGTAATCCCAGCTACTGGAAGGCTGAGGCAGGAGAATCGCTTGAACTGGGGAGGTGGAGGCTGCATTGATCCGAGATTGTGCCACTGCACTCCAGCCTGGGCAACAGAACAAGGCTGTCTCGAAAACAAAACAAAACAAAACAAAACACCTCAAAGGGCCCAGAGGAAGGCAAAACAAGGACACTGGATCCCACAGTTAAACAAAAACAGCTGAGGTCACTTAAGTGGGAATGTTTCTTCCCCTTGCCGTAGCAGGAGGCTTGGTGTGTCTCATGCAAACAGCCCATTTGCCCTTCAACCCGCCTCCCTGCCAACAACCGGCAGCCCCTCCTGCCACCTGCTCAGTGGCTTGCCTGTAAGCACAGCATCACTGTCCGGCACAGCTTACCTTTTCTGTAGCCTGGTGACACATGTGATGTCTGTGCTCAGCCCATCCACTCATAACACAACATTTCATCTCTATTCCCTGAATCCCAATAATCCTCCCTAAGGATGGCATGATCACTGTCTTCGATGGTTTAAAAGGTTGATAAATGAAAGATTTGACTCTTTCTGTGTTGTACCCACCCACAGGGTGGAGAGGAGACTAACAGTGAAATGAGCATTTGGCAAATGGCTGTTCAGAGAGGAATTTCTCAAAATTCTAACTGTGGTGGAGCAGTCAAAGGAGAAACGCCAAGGGTCTAGAGTAGAACGTGGTTTCCAGCTGTCTTGACATCAGGGCTGCTGGCCCACAGACACACTTCCAGAGCCACCCCTTCCAGGGTCACCATGGCCCAGTCCTGCTCCAGATGCCATCTGCCCAGCAGCCCAGGGGAGAGTGTCCAGCCTTCTAATGTGAGCCTCAATCTGAACCCCTTTCTATAACAGAGGCCAGACCTCATAATCTCATCAGCAGCTCTGGCCTGCTGCTGCCGTGGCCGCCCTCTCCAGCCACTGGCGTTAACTTCCAATAACATAGGGACTTCTAAATGAAATCCACTGTAAAAGGACAGGCCATATCACTTTAAAAGACACTTGAAAGCACTTTTGGTAATGGCAAGATTTGCGATAAGTGTATTACATTATCCCAAGATCCATGCTCACGGTCCACTGTCCACCACTGCACCCTCAGCCCCTGGCCCCTGGCAGGCCAATAGCAATCTGCAGAATGAATGAATGAATGAATGAATGAAGTGCATTTCAGAGACTGCAGCCTCATTTGAGGGGATAATTTGGGGGTAGGTGCAGTTTTAGAGCCCCTCCTCTATCTGCCACCTATCCAAAGTCCTCCGTGGCCCAACAATCAAGTGCATGTTTAGACTAATAAGCAAATGAAGCCACCTGCAGCTCTATCCTGTCCCCACCCCTTCAGGACTGTGTCATTTTATACAGGTTTAAATTCCCTATCAAGGATAAGACTAGGCACAAAACATGGGGGGCAGGGGAGGGGATGCAAAAACTCAGTAATCTTTTAATGCAATCTTTTAAAAAATCGAAATTAATGCAAAAAATCCATAATAAAATATTCAAATTTAATTTAATTTAATTTATTTATTTTGAGACGGAGTCTTGCTCTGTCATCATCCAGGCTGGAGTGCAACAGGGTGATCTCAGCTCACTGCAACCTCCGCCTCCTGGATCCAAGCGACTCTCCTGCCTCAGCCTCCCGAGTAGCTGGGATCACAGGCGTCCACGACCACACCTGCCCGGCTATTTTTTGTGTTTTTAGTAGAGACGAGGTTTCGCCATGTTGGCCAGGCTGGTTTCGAACTCCTGACCTCAGGTGATCCACCTGCCTTGGCCTCCTAAACTGCTGGGATTACAGGCGTGAGCCACCGCGCCCAGCCCAGAATATTCAAATTTTAAATAAAGACAGGACCAGTAACAATGTACCCTGTGGAGCCATTTTAAGAGTCTGAGGCGAAAGGAAAAAATAGGACTGAATTTTTTCATTACTTTTGACTTTTTTTAGAGACTGCATTAAAATATTATTTATCTTGATTGCTATTTTGGCAGCCTCTGAAATCCTGTGCTCATGACAAATGCCTCACTGGCCTCACCCTAGTCGCGGCCCGACCCTGCTAACGGTATTTCTAGAAGATGGGCAGAGGACAAGCCAAACCCCGGGAGGGACCACGCGGCCTGGGAAACAGTTCGGCAAGGAGGCCGGGCCCCTGTCCCGCCTCTGAGGGCGGAGGACTCGGCCTGCACCGGACCCAAGCGAGGGGCAGTCTGGCCTCTGCTGGCAGAAGCAGCGCTTCCAAGTATTTTCATATGGTGACTTTGCAGAGCTGCGCGGTCCAGACGAGGGTTTCAGGCTGCAAAGCGGGAAAGTCTTGGGGGCCGCTCTGCGCTCCAAGACAGACGCCCACAATCTCTTCTACGTCGTGCAACATTCAAGCAGGCGGCCTCCTTCCCGCGCTTTCGCGCCCACAGGCTGGGCCAATCACAGTGCCGCACTTTTCATACTGCCCGACAGGCGGTGGGCGGGCCGCTGGTGACTGTTACCCAACAGGCGCCGCGGCTGCTCCGGTGGCGCCACTGACTCGGAGGCGGCTGCGGAGAGCGGGGCGCTGGCCCGTGGAGGCGGCAGCGGCGGCGGCTTTCTAGCGGATCCGAGGTGCGACGGACAGAGACGCGGGGCGGCAGGTCGGGCGGCGAAGCCGGCGAGGGCGAGGCCATGGGCTTGAGCGGTCGGGGTTGGCGAACCCCGCGTGTGGCCGGTCCCGGCGGCGAGGCCCGTCCCGCTGAAGCACGCGGGGACTCCGAACGGCGGTGTAGGCGAGGCCAGCGAGGCGGGCGGGGGACTGGCGCGTTCCTTGGGCGGCACTGGAGTTCCGGCGCCCTCATAGCGGGCGCCGACACCGCAAAAGTCGTTCTCGAACGAAGTCGCGGGGCCGGTCTCCCAAACTTGGTTATGTCCCCGGGGAAAGCTAGAAATTCGCACATATGCTTCTTCTTGCCGTGGAGACTGATGGAGCCTCTGCTGCGGGGCGGGGACTCTAGCGAGAGGGGGACGTGAAGTTCGTTCCGTACTCAGGCGTGTGTGCCCCTGACCGACGCGTAGGACGCCCTGGAGGACGGCGCCAGCTCCTGACCTAGTGTGAGGTGCCCGGACGGTTTCCCTAAGAAGCGCGTATTTAAGATGAGATCTGAAGTTGAGCGTGAACTCAAGGTGGGGTAGGGGGTGGGCAGGCGAGAGAACGCACAGGGCCTGACTTTTTGCATTTTTTTAGTAGAGACGGGGTTTCAACGTGTTAGCCGGGATGGTCTCGATCTCGGTCTCTATCTCCTGACCTCGTGATCATCCCGCCTCAGCCTTCCAGAGTGCTGGGATTACAGGCGTGAGCCACCGCGCCCGGCCAGGGCCTGACTTTTTAAGGAAATGGAAAGGAGGGTGTATCTGGAAGACACCAAGTGCCAAGGCTAACACAGAGCCCGGACCGTTGTAGGGTTTTACAGGACTTATTCAGATTTTAATCTGTCTGAAAACAGTGACAGTCCGTTGCTGAGTTTTAAGCAGGAGCGTAACTGATTCGATAAGCATTTTAGAAAGATTATTCTGGCCAGATGTGAGGTGATTGTCTGCATAGCTGTGAGAGTCAGGAGTTAAAATTGACAAGACCTCAGGGATAAGGGAGGTGTCAAGGGCGAGTCCTGTGGTTTCTGGCGATACCATTCCCTGGAGTTTCGTGCACTGGAGGAAATAGTTCGGTAAGTGAGAACTCAAAGAAAATAATAAAAATGGGCATGTACCTAGGAGTGGAATTGCTGGATCATGTGGTTGTCTTGTGTTTAACTTTCTGAGGAAGTGCCAGACTTCTCCAGAGTGGCTGCACCATGTTACATTCCCATCGGCAATGGATGAAGGTTCTGATTTCTCCATGACCTGCTCAACACTGTTGTTACTGTTATTGTTATTGTCATCCTAGTGGGTGTGAAGTGATATCTTTTGGTTTTGATTTGCATTTCCTTCATGACTCTTGATAAATTGAGCATATTTTCATGTGTTTATTGGCCATTTGTATATCCTCTTTGTCAAGTCATTTGCTCATTCTTAATATTGGGTTGTTTGCCTTTTTATTGTTCAGTTGTAAGAGTTTTTTCTATATTCTAGATAATAGACCTCTATCGCATACATGATCTGCAAGTACTTCCGTTATACTAAAATTTTCTCTTTGGCAAACGTTTTTAACTTTGGGTGTCTTCATATTTAAGAATGAAGCTTGCAGCACACTGCAGATTTCATTAAATGCAGATTTGAGTGTAGAATCAGATGTGAATGAGAATCCAGCTTGAGATAGTGTTGCTCTTCTCACCAATTTTTTGAAAATATGTTTTTAATTTAAAATTTTACTTAAGTAACGAATGTATTTTCTATGAATAAATTAATAAATATTTGAAAATGTTGCTTTAATTTCTAATATGGTAAGTATTGATGGATATTACCCAAATAAAAAAAAATACTCCTTGGGACTCTCAATCCTTTTTTTTTTTTTTTTGAGGCGGAGTTTCACTCTTGTTTCCCAGGCTCGAGTGCAATGGCATGATCTCGGCTCACTGCAACCTCCGCCTCCCAGGTTCAAGTGATTCTCCTGGCTCAGCCTCCTGAGTAGCTGGGATTACAGGCACCCACTACCACGCCCACTCTATTTTTAGTAGAGACGGGTTTTCACCGTGTTGGCCAGGCTAGTCTCAAACTCCTGACCTCAAGTAATCCACCCACCTCGGCCTCCCAAAGTGTTGGGATTACAGGTGTGAGCTACTGCGCCCAGCTGGGGTTCTCAATACTTTTTAAGAATATGAAGAGCGGGCTGGGTGCAGTGGTTTATGCCTGTAATCCCAACACTTTGAAAGGCTGAGGTAGGTGGATCCCTTGGGCTAGGGGACCATCCTGGGCAGCATGGTGAAGCCCTGTCTCTACAAAAAAGTTATCCAGGCATGGTGGTGCATGCCTATAGTTCAGCCATTTGGGAGGCTGAGGTGGGAGGATCACCTGAACCCAGGGACGTTGAGACTGCTGTGAGCTGTGTTGCTACCATAGCACTCCAGCCTCCAGCCTGGGCAACAGCGTGAGACCCTGACTTAAATATATACACACAATATTTTGAACAATCAAATGTATCAAATATATATGTATTTGAATTATCTTGGCCCGCTGCAACCTCCATCTCCTGGGCTCAAGTGATCCTCCCACTTCAGCTTCCCAAGTAGCTGGGAACACAGGCTCACACCACCATGCCCAACTAATTTCTTGTATTTTTGTTAGAAACAGGGGTTTCACCATGTTGCCTAGGCTGGTCTGGAACTCCTGAGCTCAAGTGAGCCACCTGCCTCGGCCTCCTAAAGTGCTGGGATTACAGTTGTGAGCCACCGCACCTGGCCAGACCAGTTCATTTTTATACATAATAACTCTAGTTATCTTATAATCTAAGAAGAAGGAATGACTCTTAACTTGGAGCCATTCCATATTTGTCCTCTTAAATTGGGATGCTCTATGCCCTTCTCTGCTTCTTCTTAGCCTGGCTAGCCCCTACTTGACCATCATTTACTTTTTTGATAAGTTTTTCCTTACCTTTATTAATGCAACTGTGCTATACAATTATTGTCTACTTAACTGTCTTATTTAACCCCAATTGTCTTATTTAACTTTGTGAATCCCAAAGTAGGTACAGGTTATATTTTTCTTGGTGAGAATTTTAGTTTTTAATTGCTTTTTTTCCTTTTTTCTATCAAGGATTTGAACATAAAATTAATTGCTTTTTAAAAACAACTAGCAGTTTGAAAAACTCCAAATATATTTTTGAGCATGTTACATTTTATCCTTTCAGTCAAAATCAATACTAAATGAGTCCTACCCCCAATGGCTAACTCTTACTCATCATTCAGATCTGAGGTTAAGTAACTCTCTGAAAAGCCTTCACTAATCCTTAGACTAGGTTAAGTCTTGTATGTTTCCCATACCACCTTGTGTTTCTCAAAATATCCAGATTGTAGGAATTACTTAGGGCAGGGGTTCCCAACCCCCAGCCTGAGCTCTGCTTCCTGTCAGATCAGCAGCAGCATTAGATTCTCATAGGAACTCAAACCCTGTTGTGAACTGTGCATGTGAGGGATCTAGGTTTCGTGCTACCTATGAGAATCTAACTAATGCCTGATGATCTGAGGTGGAACAGTTTCAGCTTGAAGCCACTACCCTACCTCCAATCCTCTGGTCCGTGGAAAAATTATCTTCCACAAAACCGGTGTCTGGTACCAAAAAGGTTGTGGACTGTTGTCCTCGAGTATTGTTTCTGGGCCCCAAATTAGGCTGTTGAATCTATATTTTTAATGAGCGCCCTAAGTGATTCTTATATCAGGTAAGTTTGGGAAAACATACTCTAAATTTATAGAAGATTTATGTGCATCCATCCCCCTTTTGGAAATTGTATGCCTGTTGTGCTTCATAGAGCCAGTGACTGATCACCTCTCTGTCCTCAACACTTAACATATAACTTAGAAAACAGGCTCAGTCATTACTGAATAATATATTAAAGAGTGATTCTCCAAAGAAAGGTATTCGTCTCTGAAACTGGAAATGTAATTGCTTGGTAATAGGGTAGACATGTATTTAACACCATTAGAAATTGCCCGGTTTCCAAATGGTTTTAACAATTTGTATTCCCTCAAGCAATGTATAAGAATTCTAGTTTGTCCACATCCTCACCAATATCTGGTGTTAGCACTCTTTTAAAAGCCATTTTGGCCAGGTGCACTGGCTCATGCCTGTAATCCCAGCACTTTGGGAGGCCGAGGCGGGTGGATCACTTGAGGTCAGGAGTTCAAGACCAACCTGGCCAACATGGTGAAACCCCATCTGTACTAAAAATACAAAAATTAGCTGTGTGTGGTGGTGTGCACCTGTAGTGCCAGCTACAAAGGAGGCTGAGGCAGGAGAATCACTTTGACCTGGGAGGTAGGGGTTGCAGTGAGCCAAGATCACACCACTGCACTCCAGCCTGGGCGACAGAGCGAGACACACACACACACACAGTCTCTCTGTCTCTGGGTGACAGAGCGAGACACACACACACACACATACTCTCTCTCTCACACACACACACATACTTTCTCTCTCACTCACACACACACACACAAATTTTAAGCCATTCTAATGAATGTGAAGTGGTACCGTGGTTGTTTAAATTTGCATTTCCCTGATGACTAATGATGTTGAGCATGTTTTCATACCTATAAGCAATTTAAAAAATCTATTTGTACAAGTTATTTATGTAATCTGAATAAGCGTCTCCTTTTGGATATATGGATTGTGAATACTTTATTCCAGTCTTTGGCTTGTGTTTCCATTTTTTAAGTAATGTCTTTTGATGAGGAAAAGTTTCTTAATTTTGCTGAATCCCAATCAACAACTTTTAAATCAACACCTTTTGTGTTCTAAGAAATCTTTGCCTATTCCAAAGTCATGAATATATTGTTGTGTTTTGAGAAACATTATAAATTTGGTTTTCACATTTAAAAATATGATTCATCTCACTTTTATTGTGGTGTGAGGTGTGGGTCCAGGCAATTTTTCCCTCTAGGTAAAAATCTAGATAGTAGAAATATACTTGTGCCAGTACCATTTATTGAATATGCCTTAGACCTTTTTTTTTTTTCTTTTTTTTGAGACAGAGTCTTGCTTTGTCACCCAGGCTGGGGTACAGTGGCGCAATCTCAGCTGACTGCAACCTCTGGGGTTCTGCCTCAGCCTCCCAAGTAGGTGGGACTACAAGCGTGTGCCACCATGCCCAGCTAATTTTTGTATTTTTAGTAGAGACAGGGTTTCACCATGTTGGCCAGGCTGGTCTCAAACTCCTGACCTCAGGCGATCCACCCTCCTCGGCCTCCCAAAGAGCTGGGATTATAGGCGTGCGCCACCACGCCTGACCAATACCACATTTTCTTTACCTGGTCTACTATTGATGGGCACCTGGGTTGATTCTATGTCTTTGCTATTGTGAATAGCACAGTGATGAATGTACAAGTGCATGTGTCTTTTTGGTTGAATGATTTATTTTCCTGTGGGTATATACCTAGTAATGGGATTGCTGGGTCAAATGGTAGCTCTGTTTTAAGTTGAGAAATCTCCAGAATGTTTTCCACAGTAGTTGGACTAATTTACATTCCCACCAACAGTTCCCCTTTCTCCACAGCCTTGCCAGCATCTGTTGTTTTTTGACTTCTTGATAATAGCCATTCTGGCTGGTGTGAGATGGTATTAATTACATTGTGGTTTTGATTTGCATTTCTCTGATGATTAGTGATGCTGAACATTTTTTTATATTTGTTAGCTGCTCATGTTTTCTCTTGAGACGTGTCTGTTTATGTCCTTTGCCCATTTTTTAATAAAGTTATTTGTTTTTCACTTGTTGATTTGTTTCAATTCCCTATAGATTCTGGATATTAGGCCAGAATCTATAGGTAGCAGATGCATAGTTTGCAAATATCTTCCCCCATTCTATAGGTTGTCTGTTTACTCTGTTGATAGTGTCTTTTGCTGTGCATAAGCTCTTTAGTTTAATTAGGTGCCACTTGTCTTTTTTTTCTTTCTGCAATTGTTTTTGGGGACTTACACATTCTTTGCCAAGGCAAACCAACAGCCAACATTATACTGAATGGGCAGAAGCTCGAACTATTCCTCCTGAGAACTGGAACAAGACAAGGATGCTCACTTTCACCACTCTTACTCATTGTAATACTGGAAGTCCTCGCCAGAGCAATCGAGCAAGAGAAAGAAATAAAAGGCATCCAAATAGGAAGAGAGGAAGTCAAACTGTCTCTGCAGACTATATGATTCTATACCTAGAAAACCCCATAGTCTATTCCTAAAAGCTCCTAGATCTGATAAACACCTTCTGAAAAGTTTCAGGATATATCAGTGTATAAAAACCAGTAGCATTTATATACGCCAACAATGACAAGGCTGAGAATGAAATCAAGAACATAATACCACTTACAATAGTCACAAAGAAAATGAAATGCCTAGGAATACAGCTTACCAGGGAGGTGAAAGATCTCTACAAGGCGTACTGTAAAGCACTGCTGAAAGAAATCAGACAACACAAATAAATGGAAAAACATTCCATGCTCATGGATAAAAAGAATAAATATTGTAAAAATGGCCATACTCCCCAAATCAATCTACAGATTCAACACTATTCCTATGAAACTACCAATATTATTTTTCACACAATTAGAAAAAACTATTCTAAATTCATATGGAACCAAGAAAGAGCCTGAATAGCCAAAGCAATGGGAGAAGGACTCCCTTATTCAATAAATGGTGCTGGAATAACTGTCTAGTCATTAGTCATATGCAGAAGATTGGAGATAGACCTCTACCTTTCACCATATACAAAAATTAACTGAAAATGAATCAAAGACTTAAATGTAAGACCTCGAGGCCAGGTGCAGTGGCTCAGGCCTGTAACCCTAGCACTTTGTGAGGCCAAGGCGGGAGGATTGCTTGGGCCCAGGAGTTTGAGACCCGCCTGGACAACATAGGGAGACCCTGTCTCTACAGAAAATTTTAAAATTAGCCAGGCATGGTGTTGTACACCTGTAGTCCCAGCTACTCAAGGGGGTAGGTGGGGGAGTGCTAAGGTGGGAGGATCACTTGAGCCTGGGAGGTCAAGGCTGCAGTGAGCTCTGATGGCACCACTTTACTCCAGCCTGGGTGACAGAACAAGACCCTGTCTCAAAAAAATTAAAACAACAACAACAACAAAAGAGTAAGACCATAAACTATAAAAATCTTAGAAGACAACCTAGGAAATACTCTTCTTGACATCAGCCTTATTTATTTCTTCTTGTATTCATTTTGGAAGGTGGTTTTCAAGGAAGTTTGTCCACCTGAGTTGTAGAATTTGGCAGATAAAGTTGTTTATTATATCCTCTGTAATTTTAGTGGCTGTAGATACCATAATAATGTTCCTTTACTATTCATGACATTGGTATTTTGTGTTGTCTCTTTTTCTTAGATACGTCTAAGAAAGGGATAAGAAGGGTTATAAATTTTGTCAGTCTTTTTAAAGAAACAATTTCTGGTTCTATTAACTTTTATCTATTCATCTATTTTGTTTACTTCTCCTCTTTTATTATTTCCATCCTACTTTCTTTGGGCTTAATATTCCTGCTTTTTCTAGTTTCTTAAAATAGAACCTGTATGAGAAAACTGTTATATGACACAGTGTAGGACTGTGATTTCTGAGAGAAAGGAAACACCCAGCGTGAGTCCTATGATGATAGCCTGGCTTCCTGCCTGGAAGCACATTGCAGACCATGGAAAAAGAACAAGGACTTCAAGCAAAGCAGAGGTCTCCCTGAGTTGAGACAGAGATTGGAGTTCAGAAAGGCTAAGGCGTTAGAAATTGCAGGACAGTGTTCCTGAGAGAAGGGAGATATATAAAAGAAAAGCTCCAGAAATCTGCAGGGGGACTCCCCCTTGAGACTTGTCAAACACTAATATGTGTATTTGTAGTTACAGACTGATGAAGTTATCCCATGCCTTGACCTTAATGTATATTTCTTCTACCCAGAGCATTCTGCTCAGAAGTTGCCCACCTGGCAAGGAGTTTTGAAAATGGGTGGGGTGGGGGGTGCGGGGAGTTTAGTAAGTCCCACTGTCACTGCCACAATATCTACTTTTTAATATTTCTCAATTTTATAAGATTGTTATCTTTTTCATAAATTCTCTAAAACTGCATATTTTCATTTATAAGTAGCTAAACGTATCATTTTAATAGTTTGTCTTTAAATCAAGAGATTTCACTCTGTCATGTAAGAACTTCATTTAAGTTTTTAATAATAAGGATAATGACAGGCTAAGTAATTCAGGCCTCTTATTCACTGAAGGCAATTTAAACACCTAGGGAAAAAAAAAATTTGAGATGGAATCTCGCTCTGTTGCCCAGGATGGAGTGCAGTGGTGCAATCTTGGCTCACTGCAACCTCTACCTCCCAGGTTCAAGTGATTCTCCTGCCTCAGCCTCCCTAGTAGCTGAGATTACAGGCACCTGCCACCACACCTGGCTAATTTTTTATATTTTTAGTAGAGACGGAGTTTCACCATGTTGGCCAGGCTGGTCTCAAACTCCTGACTTTAAGTGATCTGCCACCTTGGCTTCCCAAAGTGCTGAGATTACCGGCCTGAGCCACTGCGCCCAGTCCTGGAAAAATATTTTTTAAAATCTTCTCAAAAGCATCTGAGAACTAGTCAGATAAGAAGTTACCAGGTCACAACTTGCAAAAGAATAGGAACCTTAAGAAGTAAGCCTAGCATTACAAACAACTTTTGCCCTGAAAATATTTGCAAATTTAGAAGAAATGATTTGAGAGGATAGGCTGTGCTTTTGACAGCCTTAGGGCAGTAAGAGGACAAAAGTCAGAGTCTTTCGGGTGATCAGAGGTGAGACCCAAGGAATAGATTATTTGGCTTGGGATCCAATGTGCTTAGGTTCCCAGAGGGCTGTGCCTTACAATTAAAGTAAACCAGCCCTTCCTCAGACTATACTTTTCTGGGTAGCCTAGAACATCTCAAATTTCAGTTAGAGTAAAGAGATTCCAGATTACTAATTCCCTATGGCACCTAGAAGTAGCAAACAAGTTCTCTCTGAGGGACAATAACATCATTTTTAGGTTCAAATTATTTATATATACAACTTATCAAATATAGTTCTAGAACATAATTAAAACATCACCAGACATCCAAAATGACAAGACATAATGAGTCAGAAAACAATAATAGACAATACAAACAGATCCACAGAGATTCCGGTTACTGGAGTTACTAAATACAGACTGCAAAATAACTATATTTACTGTCTTTCAGGAGAAAACAGCCAATGTTAAAAGTTTTACTACAAATCATACATTAAAAATGGCATTACAGGGCCGAGTGCAGTGGCTCAGGCTTGTAATCCTAGCACTTTGGGAGACTGAGGTGGGCGGATCACTTGAGACCAGGAGTTCGAGACCAGCCAGAGATGGCAAAATCCCATCTCTACAAAAAAATACAAAGATTAGCTGGGCATGGTGGCTTGCACCTGTAGTCCTAGCTACTAGGGAAGCTGAGGTGAGAGGATCACTTGAGCCTGGGAGGTCAAGACTGCAGTGAGCCATGATCGCCCCACTGCACTCCAGCCTGGGTGACAGAGCAAGGCCCTGTCCCCTCACCCTCTCCCCCCAAAAAAAGCATAACAGAAAAAAAAAAAAACTAGGTAAAAATTCTAGAACTAAAAATTTCAGGTAAATTAGGAACTCAGTGGATGGGTTTCACATCAAAATTAGTTAGAACTATAGAAAGAATTTGTGAAATGGAAGGTTAAACTATCCAGACTGAAGCATGGGGAGACAAAAGGATGGAAAAATACAGAAGCAAGGTAGGAGATGTGACAGATACAGTGAAAAGGTCTAACATAAGTTCAACTGGAGTCTTATAAAGGAAACTACTTCTAGAAATCCCCAGTATTTTATAAACATTTTCCATATTATAAATAAAGATCTACCTCTTTTGTTTTTATAAGCTGCATGATAGGTATTCCATTATATTAAAACGCTATACTTTTTGATGCAATCCCCTTGGCTGTTTTAAAATTTGTTACTAAAAAATAATTCTTCAGTGAACATAATTGTGCATATCATCAAACATATATGCCAGCTTTCTTCCATAGGAATAGTCCTAGAAAAAGCATTTCTAGGTCAAGGAATATGTACCCAACATTGTCAAATCATCTTTCAGAAGGTTGGAAGAATTTCAATTCTCATTATATATGAATGTCCATTTCATGACCCTTAATAACACAATGTATGATCAGCCCCTACCAATTTGATAATCAAGAATCCATCCATTTTAATTTACATTTTTGACAGTAACTAGTCTATATATTTTTTTAATATAGTTGACTCTTTCAAGTCTTATGAATTGTCCAAACATAACTTTCATATACTTTTCTTTTGGTATATTACTAGTTTGCAGGAGTACTTTATGCATTAGGTCTATTACCTCTTTGTTTGCAATAATTTTCCTGAGTTTATCATTTTGTTTAATCTTTTTCTTGGTTCTAATTATTTTTTAAACTTTTTTCTTGACCCCCGACTGTCTCCTTTCTTTGTTTCCCTTTACAGCAAAAAATTTGAATGAAATGTGTATACTCAGTGTCTCTAGTTCTTTCTTTTACTTGTAAGTCTACTCCAGACAGGCATCTTTCAATATTCCATGTCTGCATCTATTGGTCTTTCTCCTACCACACATATTGCTCCTTCTCACTCTCCTTTGTTGGTTCCTCTTTATCTCTTCAACCTTTTTCAACTTTGGAATGCCTCAGTGCCTAATTCTTGAGTCTCTTCTCTGCCTGTTTCTATATTCAAGCAGTAGGTAATTACATTCAAGTTCATAGATTTAAATCTGTATTCTGATGATTCCCAAATTTGTATCACTAACTAGGTCAGTGCTATTCAGTAGCACCACAATACAAGCAATATATGTGATTTTAAATTTTCTAGTAGCCACATACAGTGGCTCATGCCTGTAATCCCAGCTACTCAGGAGGCTGAAGTGGGAGGATCACTTTAACCCAGGAGTTCGGGGCTGCAGTGAGCTGTGATTGTGCCACTGCACTCCAGCCTGGGTAGAAGAGCAAACCCCTTCTCTTTAAACAAAACAAAATAAAAAAACCTTTTTGACTGAAGAATAAATCAAAAATGGCAAACCTTCATGATAATATTCCAGCCCCTTTATTATTTTTAAAAAAGGCAGAAAGAGGTGAAATTATTTTTAATGCTTTATTTAACACAGTATATAAAAAATATTTCAACATGTAATCAAATAAAATGTTAATGATATGTGTTTTTCATACTAAGTCTCTGAAATCTGGTATGTGTTTTACACCTACAGAACATCTCAATTCAGATTAACCAGATTTCAAGTGTTTAATAGCCATGTGTGGCTGCTGGTCAATGCAGCTCTAGGTAATTTTGCTGATCTCCAGACCTCTATATCTCCATTTGAATGTCAAATAGATATCTCACAATTAACCTGTTTCTCTTACAATATGCATTCATTTTAACAAAAACAAATCCTCTTGGTTTGAACCTCAGTAGATCCAGTATCTAATCACTTTTTATCTCCTCTGTTGCAGTCACTGTGGTCCCAGCTATCACATCCTGACTGGCTAGGTATCTGCATGGTTCTTTTCTTCTCTTTCAGTCATTTTTCCAAGTCTCACCTTATCAGAGAAGTATTCCTTTGTTACTGGCCAGGTCCAGGTCTGTTATGCCTATGCACAGTAAATCAATCACTGTAACACAAATTTTGCAAAAGAGAAAAGATTTATTTGCAAGGGCATTGAGCAAGGAGGAGGGAGGGAGAAGAGCTCTCGAGTCTGCCTCCCTGAAGAAGATAGGGCTTAGGGATATTTATGGGTTAGGGAAGTAGAGTGGTCTAAGGCATGGGGAAAGGTGATTGGCACAGAGGAAAAAGGAAGTAACAGGTTTATTCTGCACAAACCTAGCCAGAGTTCATGGCATTTCATAGGATGCTTAGGAGGATCTGAGGGTGGCATTTTTGGCCCTCCAGCATCAAAAGGCCACCTCTCGGGCATTTGCATTGGCCCAGTTGAAGGGTCTGTGGTCTCAACCAGTTTGAATTGGACAGGAGCTGGCCCAAGTTTCTGAAAAACCGAAGCAACCATTACTGTGGTGACCTTTGAACATTGTCTATAAAGTGGCCAGGGAAGGTTAAGTTTGAATGTCACGCCCTTCAGCTGCTGCAGCCTTCAACTTCCAAAGAAAAGGAAAAAAAATGACAAGACGCAAGCTACCAAAGGCAAGCAGGGCAGGCAGACCTGATCAAATTAACCCTCAGTTTCACCTGGACTACCTTATTTAAAGTATAAACCTCTCCTCCTCACATACAAATACATATCCACAAAAATCAGTATTCCCTTATCCCTTCGATGCTTTATTTCTTGTGTTAATTTTTAAAGAATTACTGTTTCTTTTTTTTCCCCTTAATACTAGGTTTCCAGTTGCCCAGACAGGAGTGCAGTGGCATGATCATAGCTCACTGAGCCTCAACCTCCCAGGCTCAAGTGATCGTCTCACCCCAACCTCCTGAGTAGCTGGGACTACAGGGGCAAGCCACCATGCCTGGCTAATTTTTTAATTTTTTGTGGAGTCGGGGTTTTGCCATGTTACCCAGGCTGGTCCCAAACTTCCTGGGCTCAAGTAATCTGCCCACCTTGGCCTCCAAAAGTGCTAGTGTTACAGGCATGAGCCACCGTGCCCAGCTACCATTTCTCTTTGCTCCATGGTTTGATAGGAATTGATATAAGATGTATCTTTGATGGCCTTTTCATTTTTTTTCATGGTTGATAATGCTGTTCACCTGCTTCTGAGTCTTTAAAAAAAAAAAACTTTTCCTAGAAAATTGCCTATTTTTGTTAAATTTTAAAATTATCCTTCAGTGGCATACATGGCATTCTCAATTTTTAAAAGTACCTCTTTATTGCTTGCTAAAATGCTCCTTTTCTCAATGCTCATTTTTGTTTCAGTCTTCTCTTAACGAGATTTGTCTTGTCTTTTATCTACTTTTTCTTTGGAGTCTCGCGCTGTCACCCAGGCTGGAGTGCATTAGTGCAATCTCAGCTCACTGCAACCTCCATCTGCCGGGTTCAAGTAATTCTCGTGCCTCAGCCTCCCAAGTAGTTGGGACTACAGGCACATGCCACCACACCCAGCTAATTGTTTGTATTTTTAGTAGAGACAAGGTCTCACCACGTTACCCAGCCTAGTCTCGAACTCCTGAGCTCATGCAATCCACCCACCTCAGCCTCCCAGAGTGCTAGGATTACAGGCGTGAGCCACTGCGCCCAGCCTGTTATTTACCTACTTTTATTAGTCTTTTAAAAGAATAGCTCTCCATTTTAGTTACCATTTTTACTATTTTTAAAGTGATCACTTCTGTTTTTGTCTTAACTAATTACATTTTAAACTTTTTTGGCTTATTTTTAGTTCTTTCCTAGATTCTTGAGAGTTGACTGTTTAATTCATTTATTTCTAGCTTTATTTAATAATAAGCATCTAAAGCTGTGACTTCTTTTGGATGTAACTTTGACCATGTCCCGTAGATTTTGGTAGTCTGTATTCTTATTGTCATTAATTTATTTTAATTATCAAAGTCCACATAGCTTACTAAGTGGCAAAGTCAGGATTCAAGGCTGTCTCCATGACATGAGATCTGCTTTTTAATATCTTCTCCTTGTAGAACAGAGACAGTACATTTAGATGATTTTTTTCAGGATCAGTGATTGAAATAATTCAGAGTTAAAACAAAATGAATTCCTTTTTTTTCCCCAAATTCATCAGGAACCTTTGTAACACTTGATTAACAGAATTCTGCTGTAGATACCTCAGCTTTTAGGGGTATGGAGAGTGACAATAAGTAGGGGACAGAGGCTCAAAATGATTTTGTGAGTTGGCTGGACTTCCTTCTGCTTGTCGCCTCTGGGATCATTTCATGTGTCCATTGGGATATTCTACCAGTAATTAGCTTGGGCTGCTTCATGTGGCAGCTGGGTTCAGAGTCATTATATGGATATCCCGATTACCCTGAGTTGATTTTATGAATGTACCAAATTCTTGCATGTACCCCCAAAATATGTACATCTAATATGTATTAATAAAAAGTCATCATTATTACCTTTTTAAAACAGTTTTGTTGAGTTATATTTTACTCATTTCAGTGATTTTTAGTAACCTTATCAAGTGTCACAACCATCCCATCATAAACCTGTCTTAGAACATTTTTATCCCCCATGCCCATTTATAGCTAATCTCTCTTCCCATCTCCCACAACCTATCCCAGGCAGCTACTAATATACTTTCTCTATATACATTTTCTTGCTTTGGACGTTTTACTTAAATGGAATTATGCAATAGGTGATCTTTTTTATCTAGCTTCTTTCATTCAGCAAGTTTTTGATATTAACCCATGAGGTAACATATATCAATAGTTTATTTCTTTCTGTTGCTGAAAGATTTTCCATTGTATGGATTTGCCAAGTCATTGGTTTTTAGTAAGTGTACAAATTGTCTTGGAAACTTTTTATCTAGGTTCGACATAAATAGGGTGATATTATGGTCTTTAAGACTCAATTTTTTAGATTTAAACTTCTTTTAGTGACCTAATGCATTGGTTTTTTAAAAAATGTTCCTTGGAAATTTTAAAAGGACATATCTTTCTGTCCTTTATGTAGTTGTCAATTTATGCTTTTTAAGTATAATAATAGTTCAATATTTATACCTTTTCTAGATTATATATCTTTGAATGATGCAGGCCACTGCAGTGGTGGAGACAGCATCTGGTAAAGGCTACCACAGTAATGGAGGCAACCTCCAAAAAGGTAAGGGTCTAGTCCACTTACCCTTATTCTTGGTGGGGAAGGGTGTTAAATGTATTGTGCCAGACAGTTTGCCCTTCAGGTTGCTGCTTTTTAACTCTTCCTCCCTCTAAGGTGGTAAGACTCAGTATATTTTTAACTTGCCAAATTGACTCAGGTGATTTTTGGTGGATCAGGGCAGTCTAGGCAGGACCTTTCTTTAGGAAAGGGAAAGTGAGCAGGAAGAAAGGATTTCTGTCCAGCCAGCCTTTCAAGAACTGCTGACAGGTATAACTGCCTTCAGGGTGATAATCAGAAAGTGAGCAGGTTGACTTCTGCTGCCCAAGTTGTATATGTTTTCTTCTTCCCATAAATCTGAAATGTATTTTTCCTGGGTCATGGCAGCAAGAAAATAAGAAATAGCAAGAGTCTAAAAAGCAAGATGACTAAACTTTATGTGCTTATGACTGTATGTAGCTTAAACTATTAAGATATATATATTCTAGATTAAAACAAAAACTCTACATTGTTCATGAGACATATTTAAAACAGAAAAGAAAGGTTTAGGATAAAAGGATGGACAAGTTAAACAAATTAACTTAAAAATTTGGGGTGATAGTAGTAAAGAGCATAATCAATGCAGAAAGCATTGTAAGACGATTAAGAGGGTCATTTTAAAGTGATAAAGTTATACAATGAAGATGTCATTCATGAACCCTAATGGAATAAACAGTATACTTTGTATTCATACATTAAATGTTGGAAATCTAGGGAAAGGCTACTGGAGATTGGACATGATAATGGTTCTCTATCTCAGTAAATCCCAATAGGGTATTTTATGCAATTCAAAATGGTCCCCCAAAAATAAACTTAAAAAAATCTATTGAAGAGAAGGTAAAATAAATTTTAAAATACAGGAAAAAACTTACCAGATATAAAAATAACCTGTGATACTATAATAATTAAAACAGTAATACAGTCATACAAAAAGATAATAGGTTAGTGGAGTGGAATAAATAGAAATAAATTCTTAGAAAATCATGAAACAGAAACAGGAAGACTTCAGAATATGATAAAGATGTTGTTTCAGCTCAGAAGGAAAACAATGGATTATTTGGCAAATGGTATTACGACAATTGACCATCCATTTTGGAAGAAAGTTAAGTTAGAGTTCTACCTTATGCTAAAGAGGAAAATAATACTCTGTGTAGTGTAAAAAGACTAAGTGTTAACCCCCACCCCCCCCTACACACACAATTAGAATAAATTATAGGAGAATATTTTTATAATTACTTGGTAGAGAAGACCAAAGACACAAAACCTAGAAGTTACAGAAGACTGATGCACTTAACTAAATAACCTGGAAAATTCTGATATGACAAGATACTATAAAAAGTTAAAGCCAGGCAAGCTACTTGGGTGGCTGAGGCAGGAAGATTGCTTGATGCAAGTCTAGCACCCAGGCAACATAGCAAGACCCTGTCTCTTAAAATAATTTTTAAAAATTAAAAGATAAGCAATAAGCTAGGAAAATTCAGTTATATTACAAATGTTAAAAAGAAAACAAAGAATTAGTATCTAGAATATATAAAAGACTCCTAAACAACTCTGTCGTCTCCAACCACATATTTATAACAGCTTACTGGACAGACATTCACATCTGGGTGTTTTATTACTAACCTCAAACTCTACTTGCCCAGAATTGAACTCATTATCCTCATCGTCCTCCTCATTTTTCCCTTCTACCTTCTAATCTGCTCTTCACACAGTCCCTATCTCTTTAGCCCTGAATATTCCCATTCAACTATAGTACCAAGTTGTAAACATGTAAGCATTATCTTTGAGTGATATTTAAGTGAGTATTTATTGGCCAATTGGTAAGTCATAACATCAGTTTAGCTGATTGTGATGAATTTTTTTTAAAGAAATGGAATAGAATAAAATAGAAAATACAAGAATACATTGGACATGGGTAAAATTTTTGTTTTACTTATACACATACATATATGTATGTGTGTACTGGGTCATGATATGACCAAAATGTAATTCCGATTATGATCTTAGTAAAAAAAAATCTTTTGAAAACCACTGCTCTCTCTCTTCCTCTTACTATCATCTCTAATTGGCCACCAAGACATGTCAGTTGTGGAACTTTCATACCAGTCTCTTCTTTAGTCCCACCTCTGTTTTGGTACCTGCCTTTTTTCTCCTCTTTCAAGTTTTTAATCTTTCTGTTGCCAGGAATGACTACAACTCAATTCCAGTCACATGACTACCCTTTAATGAAGTTTTCAGTGGTTTTTGGTTGCCTTAGAATAAGAGCCAAACTTCTTAGCACATCATAAAGGGCCTTTTTCAGTTGATAATTCCTGTCATACTCGTAAGAGTTCTTTCACTACAGACAAGTCTTAAAATTTCCTGAAAATGCCATGTTCTTTCACACGGCTAATTGTACTTGCGTTGGATTTGCCTAAAATAATTTTGTCTATTTTGTTTCAAAACACTTTTTAAATACAAAGTTTTTCTGAAGTCTGCTTCCCTTTTTTTCAAAAATTTACCTGCTCCATCAACACAACTCTGTCAGCACTGTGTTAAAATTACATTTTTGTGTGCTTACCTTATGACCCTATGAAAACTATAAGCACTTGGGGACAGCATCCGTGTCTTCTTTTTCTTTGTTTTTACAGTGCCTAGAGCTAGCACTGGAGGCGCCCAAAGATTTATTAAATAAATTTATAAGAAAAAAGTTTCTTATTAGACCATTTTACAAACAGTGGCTGCCCTGTAAACAGTAAATTTCTTCCCATCGAAAGAATTCAAGAAAATCTTAGCTGTTGTCTTAGGTCAGGCTGCCATAACAAAATACCATATAGTGAGTGGCTTAAACAACAGGTGCTTATTTTCTCATAGTTTTGGAGGCTGGAAGTCTGAGATCAAGGTGCCAGCATGGTCAGGTTCTGGTGAGGGGTCTCTTCCTAGCTTGTAGATGGCTGCCTTCTTGCTGTGTCCTCACATGAGAGAAGGGGGAGGCAAGCTCTTTTGGTCTTTTCTTGAAAGGACACTAATCCTATAATTAGGGTCTTGCCCTCATGACCTCATGTAAACCTAATTACCTCTCCAAGTCCCCATTTCCAACATATGGGTCTGGCCTTCAAGGCATCATTTGGGAGGACATGGTTCAGTTTTTAGCTGCTACTGAAAGGGATATTTTTCATGGATGATGTAAATTGTAATCCCGCATTGGGAAGAGCTTAAACCAGATCATGTCTAAGGTTTTTCTAGTGTCTAGATTCTGTAATGTTGCTGTTAATGTTTTTATCCTTTTTTTAATCAGATAAACCTTCAAATCCAAAGAAAGAAAATTTGTTATTATCCTCCAATGGTTGTGATGAAGTCAAATTGACTTTTCCTGATGATGACTGGAATTCTTCGACACTAGAGCAAAGAGCTAATAATAAAGAAATCAGCAATATTGACAAAATGGATTTATTAGAGCCATTTTTTTCAGTGAGTCAAGATACTAACACAGAGAGTACTCAGTTTCAGTCAAGTGAACTTGAAGACAGTACTGACTATGCTTTCTTGAATAAAACATATTCTATACCTTATTCAGAGTCAAAACTAAAGAAGGAAAGTCTTACTCCTTTAAGTTCAGAATTAGATCCTGAAGTGCAGAAAAAAGAGGAGGTTTTTTTTAATATTTTGGAACATCAAGATAAGACTGTTGGCTTGGAAAGAATCTACAATATTTCAGATGCTAATTATAGAGAAAGTGCTGAAGATACACAAAAGCATGATACAGATGAAGACTCACAGCAGGAATATCACAGTGCAGAAGAACAAGAATACATAAGTAACCATTTATCTTTTGACCAAACAAAAGCATTAGATATATCTAATCCAGAAGTTGTTGAATTAGGAAATTCGGGTTATGAAGTTAAATGTGCTAGCAATGTAGAAGATAATCGTGTTAACTCGGGAAGTGGTTCTATCATCTCTTTCGATTCACTTGATGTTTATGGACAAGAAGAGTCACTTCATGTCTCCAAATTTCAGAATTCTGTTATGTTAAGAGAATATCATGACCTAAAGCATGAAAAGTATAAGGAACAAGAGACTAATTCAATGTACCACACTGTATTTGATGGCAGTGTACTAAGAAGCAATTCTCCAGGAAACCAGGAATCTCAATCTAAGAGTGGTTCCTTGAGCCCTCAAAAAGTATTAAAAATGAAAATTTATACTGAAAACATGAAATCTCAAATAAATGAAGGTAAAGATTTTTGTGGAAATAAAATTGTTGAGAACAAAATATTACTGCACCTTGAAAATCCTAGCACATTACCACAGGATAAAGCTTTAGAGACATTACTCCAACCCTGTAAAGATTGTCAAACTTCCTGGACCTCTGTTTTTGATGATTCGATAATTTCTGCCTGTGGATATTATGAAAGCCTACAAAACACTGCTGACTCAGCCTTAGATTTTTCTGCTATGCTACCAAAGATCGCAGTCAGAGATAATCAGGCAATAGAAGATAATACGTCCCTAAAAGTTGCTCATAGCAGTACCACAAAGAAAACATGCTTTCACAATATAGGAGAAATGTGTACTAAATCATTGACAGATGCAGCAAGTTGTACAGTCACAATTAATCAGACAGTGGACGTTAGCACTGATTTTAGGGCTTGTTTCACAACCAGCAGGGCAACAAGTGCAAGACCTTCTGTAGTATCTACATCAAGCAACACAGAGATAACAATGATGAATAAAAAACGACCTGATGAATGGCAAAATGAGAAACAAAAAAGTGTGGCTTGTAGTACAGATTGGTCATACAGTGAAGATTGTATAGATACACAGATGGCTATAACAAAAGGATCAGGAAAATCTCTCTCCGTTGACAGTTTAAAACCTAATGGAAATTTTCTAAATAAGGTAAAATCAATATGAGTAATAATAAAATTTGGACTTTATAAAGAGACAGTGTATGCTAATGTAAGTGTTTTTGGTTCGTTGAATTAAGGCTTTTGTGAGAAGATGCTAGATGAGGGGAGTAAATTAAAAAGGGAGTAAATTAAAAAGTAAATTAAAAAAAAAAGACGTGTAAATTACCACCAGTTCTATCCTCCTCTCCTGGCAGCTCCTCCCACAAAATCCATTAGAAATTGAATTGTACATTTTATTAGTTTGGAATTTCAGATATAACTTTTTTAAATTTAATTTTAAATCATATTTTCAGGATTTCCTGGAATTAAGAAAAGCATGTGGTATCACAGACCTAAAGAAACATCCTGAGAGGTACATCATTTATATATGCTTACAGATACATCTGGAAGAAAAAATCAAAATAGTATTTGCTTTCTGTATAGCATACTTACCCATATAGAATAATAGCTAAAATGGACTTTAAGAAATCATCTGTTTCAACCGTTTGCATTCAAATAAATATTAAAACAATATAGAATATTAAAGCTCTTCACTTATTGAGATTTCAGTCTCAATTTCTTCAGAAACTCATGGCATCTAATCTTTACTTGTTCAACCCAAATCCATACTGATTTAATTTTCCATTTCCTTTCACTTTATTCACCTGTAGGCCAGAACAAACTAGCACCTTTGGAATATGTCATTTATTTGGAGAAGTAAATAGCTACTTTCACAGGAGCATTTTAATCTTGATTTTAACTCATTGCATAATTTGCTTTGCATTTATCAGATACTCTTGTAATTCAGAACACAGTGGAGAACCAGGAAGTGGGAGGGAGAGAAACAGGGAAGGTCTAAGAAGCGAAATTAGTTATCATACTCTGAGGTCATTTACTTTTTCCTTCACTTATTACTCATTCTTCTAATATGTTTAATCTGGCGTTTCAGTTCTATACAATTAAATTATTGGTTTCTAGAAGCAGAACCATTGAGAATAGCTAGAAGTGGCAATTAGTAACAAGGGAAGACCTCCAAAAACTACTAATACTCAAAAAAACATAGTGATTTGGGGCTTTTTGATATAATAGTACAGCAAAATATTTGCTTATATTAATGATCCTTAACTATTAAGAAATATGTAAATTATTTTCTATTAAAAAGATAATATGTTTTAAGAATAATTTTCATCCAAAATGCTTATAACTTTTAAAAATCTTGGCCAAAGTTTGATTTAGATTGAAAGAAATCCATTGATTCTGGATAAATAAGGTCATTACCAAAATGACTTTATAGAGAATAAGCAATTCTCCAGAATAAACAATTCTCAAATTCATACTTCCTTTTTTGGTAAAAGAAAGTATGAATTTGAGAATTGTTTACTTCCTGGACCTCTAGAATGAATATATTTAGCTTTAACTTCTTGTTTTCTGAAGTTGTTATATATTCCTACAGCCTCTTCATCTTTAGTATAAATTGATTTAAACTTGACAGGGAAATATAAAAAATTTAAAATCTGTTTCTGGAGGCATGTTATTACTATAGAAAAATGTTTGGAATCTTACCTGATCCTATCTTTTATTTTTAAAGGGAATTTCAACTTTTTAAAGATACAGAGAAGGATTTGCCATCAATGTGCTGTCAGAAGATAATGCAGAGAGCCATAAAAGCAGAGCTGCACCTTTTAAATGTTCACTATCAGATGTGTCGTCGCCATTGTTGTGATATTTACAAACTTGTCATGGAAAATAGGGAAGGATTAAATATGTGTTTATTAATTTCAAATCTGTTTTTTCTTAGAAATGTGTCACTAGCTTTAAGTTTATTCTAGAGAGTTTCTCTAATTTTCATTTTTGAAGAGTAAAATGAGGAGTAGATTGTTACTGGGTTTGTTAGTTAGCCTAAGGGTAATAGAACCCTTGAGTTTCATGGAGGGGCCACAGTGCGTGGTTGGCATGATGAATCCAGTGAAAACATAGATTTGTTTTTTCTTTATAAAGTTCAAGTAAGGATGAACTTAGAGAGTTTTTGCATGACATGCTACCACACGTTCTCTGGCTTATGTGTCAAGAGTTGTTTGTACTGCCTTTAGAAAAACATATTTACTGTGGTTCATTTTTTTCTTTTACTCAGCATTTAAAAGAAAATATTTAGAGTTCTAGTAAAATTAGAACCAAGTGGGGTTGGGCAAGGTGGCTTGTGCCTGTAATCCCAGCACTTTGGGAAGCTGAGGCAGGAGAATCACTTAAGGCCAAGAGTTCAAGACCAATGTGGGCAACATAATAGGACCCCCGTCTCTACAATACATTTTTTTACAAATTAGCTGGGCATTGTGGCACACATGTAGTCCTAGCAACTTGCGAGGCTGAGACAGGAGGATTGCTTGAGCCCAGGAGTTCAAGAACCAAGTGTATAATATAATATTAGTGTTAAATGGATGACTTAGGCCTAAATAATTTAGTTTTGTGCACTCAACTTTTGAACAGGAATTTATCAAGTAATTCTGCTAAGAAGGAATTGGGATCAGCACTACTGTCTCTTTTGGGGGACTTAAAAGTTAGATATGTGACTTTGAAAGAAAAAATACACAAAGGCATACCACTGGAAGAGCTGCCCCCACTGTCACTAGAATCAAAATTATTATCTACCTTCTCTACTTTTGCTTCCAGGGTATGTATATATGTTTTAGAAATAAAAAATTTTACTTCATTTAGACAAAACATTTTAAACAAAGATTTTTTTTCCTTTTCTCTCCTTCCAGCTAATGAAAAAAGAAACACATGTGTGAGTTATGGTTTCATTTGATTTATAATTCATTAGATCCTAAAAATTGCTTAATTCAGTTAACTTTAAACTTTGTTTTGTTCCCTATTTAGAACATTGATAAATGTTTTAATGAAGTGTTTATCTTTTTTCTTGACATTTAATATTGTACAAATGTATGGGGTACATGTAATATTTTTTGCATGCATAGGATGTGTACTAATCAAGTTGATATTCAGGATATCCATCACCTTGTGTATTTGTCATTTCTATGTGTTAGGAACATTTCAAGTCCTCTCTTTTAGCTACTTTGAAATATACATTGTAGTTAACTATAGTCACCTTACTCTGTTATCAAACATTAGATCATATTTCTTCTGAAATGTTCTTTTTAGCTTTTCAGAAGCAGATGCTGAACAAGATAATCAGAGGGCTCATGATGTTGATGTTTCTTCAAACCTAAAAAAGACACTCTCTCAAGTAAGGGTCCTTGAAAGTTCATCAATGCAAATCTTTAAGTGTATGGTTTACGTAAAGTAAATCATAATTTTCAGAAACCCTGACATCCTTCTTTTCACTCAACTGGCTTACTTTGTGTACTACCATTTGAGGGATATAACTGATTATAATGATATATTTATGTCGAATCCTGATCAAACAGATGTCAACCGTATATGTTGAGTAGGGTGACCATATAATTTACACCACACCAGGAGACTTTTGAGGTTGAAAGAGTGTAATGGTAATTCTCTACAACAGTTGGTATAAACATGGACTGTCCTGGGCAAACAATAATTTAGTGCCATCATCATGTGAAGCCAGTGCAATTAAAACTAACACTTTGTACGTTCATCTCATGAGGTAAAGTAATAATTCAGTCATTTTAGACAGGGAAAAGTTATAATTTCTTCTTTACTGAGATGATGAAAATCATTTTTAAATGCCTGTCATAGGTTTTCTTACTCTTTCTTGTTCCCGCAAGAAAGTGTTTGTCAGATGACAACCAAGAAGGAAGATTTAATCTACGTAAGAACACTCTGAAAATTACAAAGTGTTATGGAAACATTGGTTATATTCTATTATTGAGCAAGGAGGCAATTGAATAGGAAGGCTGGGGTTTAGTCTGCTTTTCTGACCTTGGTTTTAACCCTGAGGTTTCTTTATTTGAGTAATATTAATCCCCCAAGATGAATTCCAAAGTTAAAAGTGAAATACTTGAGTAAAAGTAAATTACTTTAACATTGTCTATTCCATTGTTAAATTCTTTTTTAAAAAATCTCAGTTATCCACAAAGAATTAACAGGTCAAAAACTAGATTTTTATGTATTTAATGGTAGGAATGGTATAACCTGTTTATTTAGGGAGAACAATAAATTATTTTTTAAAGAACAAGATAAAGATATAACGTAGTTTTATAATCTTGGTTTTGGCTACAAAACAATATTGATTTTAAGTTGAGATTTATTTTAAGTTGAGATTACATTTTAATTCCTGTCTCATTAAATTAACTGGTAATTCATGAAACTCAGTATAGTGTTTCTAAATTTCAGCTACTCATGTACCATCTTCACAGTTTACCGTAGCCCTGTATTACCTATAATGTTACTTTGTCTTTAAATGATTCTCCTTTTTACATAAATTTAAATGTAAACAATAACTATTACATATAGGAAAGAAATATTGCTTCTCGTAAATAAAATATACACATAAGCATACGCTAAATTAAATATATAGCTGTTAAAGGTTAATGTGATAAATATTTGTGTATATATATAATATATATATATACACCTCCAAAAATTATCTCGATTACTTCTCATGTGTGTATGCCACACTTTGCCAAATAGTAGTGTTAGCACAGTCATTATACACAGACTGGATTCAAAGTGTAATTCTTGTTAACTGTGTAACATGAAGCAACAAGTTACTTAGATTCTGTTCTCTCACATGTCAGGTCAGGTTGATAATGTTTTCCTTTCAGAGCCCTCATTACTGTAAAGGCTGAATAATGCCAGTGAAGAGTACCTGTCACATAGTAAGAGCATAATAATTATTTGCCCTTATTTATTGTTTTTATTATCTTAATCCTCAGATGTCTTTATCATCTGACAATAGTCATGCTACACAAAACATATCACCCAAGAAAGATGACTTTAAAAATGGTGATATAAATGCAGACTTTAGTCAACTGAAACTTGGTGATAAAGGTTAGTATAAAAATGTGTTATCTTGTATAGTTGCTGGAAAACAAAATAAGGTTTAAAGTATTGGTAGTGTTTATTCATTAAATAAAAATAAATTTTCTTAATTGATGGAAAGGCATCATTCTGATTATAAATGTCAAGTATGTTCTTATTATTGCTACTTGACATCTTTAAGGTTGCCTAATATAGCTGACAATGCTAAATAATAATATGGACTCTTATTCTTCTGGTTCATGTTTTTAGTATGAAAATTCTCTCTTGTATCTAATTTGTATCTCTGTAAATTGTGTGCATTTTTAGCACATGAAAAGAGATTATGATCATTCCAAAAGATTATTAATTTAATTGTAATGAAATAAAGGGCTGCAACGCGGCTTAATTCTTTCAAAGATGTTTCATGTTATTGCATATATAAAGATAATATGTCTTTTTCACTAAAGTACAGTTCAAAATGCCAAAAATTAAGGGTTTCAATAAGCCGGGAATAGTGTTTTAATTAAAGGAAAACTAAGAAACAGATCAGTCAGACTGAAAGCAACTTTTTATTCAAGGACTGCTGAAAGTCTCTTCTCAGAGAATCTTTTTGCTTGGTTCTCTTATTTTGCTAATATTTCTCTTTAGATTTATACATAAAACTCTAGTAGTCATCATCGTACTGATTCATCCATGGTTTTAAGGTAACTTTTCAGTGTGTTGGACGTTACGTGTCATTCATAGCTCACTGTGTTGAGTGTCTTAGACTGCAGACATTACCAAGAGACAAGCGAAGACTGGTCTGATGCTAAAGAGAGCCTGACAGGAGTTGACGTCTCAGGGACACAGGGAAATCAAGTAGAACAAGACACATGGAATTTGGATCTTACAGGAGGTTGGTTCTCAAGAATTTACCGAGAAATCCTAACCTAGATCATTTGTAAAATAGTGCTTACCTGCTTCTGTGTTGTGTTGGGCAACTGAGTTGTTTTAATATTTTATTCCTGTTTTGGCTTTTCTTTATAAATAAAAAAAGTGAGGAAATTGTTCAGTTGGAGGTCAGTTTTTTAAAGAGGAAAAAACTGCTAAAAGCTTAAATCCAAGATTTAGTTAACAGGTAGATACCCGCATTCTTCCTCTTGCTCTAGGCCAACATCAGCACTCCTGCAGGGCATCATTTTCCTCTTTCCAGGCACGGGTACATGGTGAATAAGACCAGCTTCCCAGTTACCACCAGGCAACCAGTACTAATTTGTCAAATTGGTGTTAATGATGAAAACTATTTGTTTTCTCTTATTTCAATAATTTTAGGGATGTTTTCATTTTTAGATAGTCCTTAATTGCTTAGAATAGTTATAATTTTCTCTAGTACCTGTGATTATTGCCCTTCTGTCATTTCTAGTTAAGTTTATGCTACCTTTCCTTATTTTTTCTGTATCTTCTATGGATTTTTCTTTTATTTTCCATATCAGCATTGGTTGTATTGTTTTTTCCTGCTTGTCTAAATAATGCTTATTATGGTTTTTTTAATAAAATTTAAAAATATAGGAAAATTAAAAACTGGTTTCTCCAACCTGCAGTAACCACTATGAATATTTTAATGACCATTTTTATGCATTTTCTTATGCATATATTTAATATACATATACAATTTAAAGTAAGTAGCATTATGTCATCTAGTTTTGGGGTTTTGTTGTTGTTGTTTGTTTGTTTTTTGAGACAGAGTCTCGCTCTGTCACCCAGGCTGGAGTGGGTGGCACTATCTTGGCTCATTGCAACCCTTCACCTCCCGGGTTCAAGTGATTCTCCTGCCTCAGCTTACAGGTGCCCGCCACAACACCTGGCTAATTTTTGTATCTTTAGTAGTGACGGGGTTTCACCAGGTTGGCCAGGCTGATCTTGAACTCCTGATCTCAAGTGATCCACCCACCTCAGCCTCCTGAAGTGCTGGGATTAGAGGCGTGAGCCACTGCACCCAGCCCCATATCATCTAGTTTATTCTGTTTTTTCTTCCCTTGCATTAGTTTTCTTCATGTCACGTATCACAATACTGTATGGTTTGCTTACTTGATATATTGACTGCCTTCCCATCCTCTCATTAGCTCAGTGAGCTCAGGGATTTTTATGTGTTTTGTTTACTGCCTATCTCCAGTGCCAGGTACGGCATGCAGCCCATTGGATATTCATTAGCTATTTTGTGTTGAAGTAGTGAAAGGTGAGGTGATGGGTATAATGTATGTCTTCTGATTCTTATTTACCCTTTTTTACTGTACTGTAGCTCATTATTCCCTCCTCACTCCAGTGTAAAAATATAAAGGTAGGTGGTTTTGCTGTTTTCTCTATAGAATACATCATTATTCAAAGAGATTAACAAATAAAATAAGTTAATGAAGGTTAGGTATTATTACCTAAGCTGACAAACTCTGCCTGGATTCCAGCACCACTACTTACTCTATTTGTGACCTAAACTCCTGAGACCTCAGCATCCTTATCTGTAAAATGAAAATAATAATAGCTACCTTGTGGCGTGGTTGTGAGAATTACATGAGATGATGTGTATAAAGTGCTTGCCATGTTGCCTGGAGCATCAGAAACATTGGATAAGTGTTAGGCTACTCTTATATATTATTTATTATTATTTAATGAAAAAAATAAAATTTCCACATCTCCCATTACTATATAAAAATTATAAAGCATATAAATAAAAGCTACTTTAAGGATTTATTCAGCAAATATTTGTGTACTTCCTGTGTGCCAGGTATGGGATTTGCTAGTAATTTGAATCTCTATTCAGTGGATCCTTTTTGGTTTCAGGTTCTCTTCACAATAGAGACTATGAAAACGTACTCTTAAGAATTTTGAAATTTTTTATCAAGAAAAATATTTATCTATAATCCTAGTATTTGTAATTTGGAAAATCATGCTGTCTAACTCAAGTTGTCTCTCCCCTTTTTTGTGTGCCCTTACCGTTATTGCAAGCTATATATTATAATACCTGCTATTATATTGCCCAATTAAAAGGTTTTCTTGGTGTGATGTTTCCCCAGCAACGGAATGTGCATAATGAGAGCTCTCAGACCACTAGCTCTAGCCAGCATTAACACTAGGGAGTTAAGATCCTGTGTGTGTCCACTGTTCTAGATAGCACTTCTCTGAACCAAAGACAAAGACAATCAACTGCAGATTGAAAATATTTTTTAAAAGCCTGTACTAAACATATACAGACTTTTTGGGAGGCTCATTATTCCCTAAACAATACAGTATAACAAGTATTTACATTGTATTAGGTATTATAACTAATCTAGAGATGATTTAAAGTACACAGAAGGATGTGTGTAGGTTATATGCAAATACTGTGCCATTTTACATAAGGGACTTGAGCATCCTTGGAGTGTCCTAGAACCAGTCCCCCAGGGATACTGAGGGACAACAATTACAGTAATTGATTACTTTGTTTAGATGTAATTTATTCATTTTTGAGCTACAAGAGACTTAACTAACCCAGCCTCTTTAGTTTTTAAGATGATGTGATTAAGGCCCAGAAATCTTAAAACTATATTGCAGGCTCTTAGTCCTCAGTCTAGAAGTGCTGATAGTTGCTGATAACTTTATAATAAACTCTGGGTTAGTAGAAAGGAAACAAAATATTTAACAGTGTTCACATTTTCTCTGAAACATATCAGTACAATAAAGATCATTTCTGTTACATGTTTTTCTCTAAGCAGAAATGAAGAATGTTGAACCCTCACAAAGAGATAAAGGTTATTTGATACATGTTGGTGGCCTCTGCCCTTCAGTATCTGAGGTATACCAGGATTATTTTTTTGAGCTTCATTTTCAAATTTATTAGTTGTTCATATTTGTTGTTTTTTTCTACCTTTCACAAACTTTTATTTCTCTTCTTTTAGGCCGATTTAAGGTCTCATTTCCAAAAATACCAAGTTTCTGAAATTTCAATTTATGATTCTACTAATTACAGGTGTGTTTCCCAACTTTAATCAATGTGCATTATTATGTGTCTGCTGTTTGCCAAAGGTTCTATACCAGATATCAGCCACAGTGGTGATAAAGTCAAGGGTTATTCTCACAGGGTTTCACAGGCCAGGGAAGGGGACATAGGGACAAATAGCTGCAATCTTGAGTTGATACTGTTCTTAACCAGATCTTTTTTTTCATTATACTTTATAACTTGTTAATGGTATACAGGAGAGTTATTGATTTTTGTATACTTTATCTTGCTACATGCCACTTCATAGGGGAAGTAGAGCACATTAGGTAAAAGAACGGCTTCCAGAAATAGATAACATCGGTTCAATTCCCAGCTCTGTCAACAACTTGGTTAATAAATTTAGGCAAGTTACTTAACCTTTCTGTACCTCAGCCTCTTTGTCTATAAAGTGAGGATAATAATACTAACTTCACAGCATTGCTGTGAAACTGTTAGAAGTAAAATATGTGAAACACTAGGAATAAAGCCTGGCACATAGTAGGTGCTCAGAAAATTGTATTTCATTTCACTGTTTCTGATTTCAGTTACTTTTTAGTTGACACTTTTTATATATTTTAGGTAGACAGCTACCTCATTTACATGTAGTCAGTCTGAGTATGTATGTTGCTACTTTCTGTTTTGTGACATTGCCAGATCATTCAAAAGTATTAAATAACAATGGCGATAGCTTAATGGAAATTTTTTTACTGTTTCATTATTAAAAGTGATAGCTGTTTATTTCAGATATAAAATTTTTATCAATTAAGAAAGGATCCTGTTTGTAGTTGGGGTTGCAATTTATTAAAAATGTGTGTCTTAAATGAAGTCATATAATTGTAAGATAATTGTTCAGCTGTAATTATTTAACCTGTTGATATGATGTTAATACATTTCATTAAAGTAGTATTGTAATCCTAGGATTATTACTTGATGTGAAAACTCTTTTAGTATCTTGTTGAATACTTTTTTAAAACTATGTTTTTTTCTTACTTGAAGTATTTTGCATTCTGTGTAGAAATTTAGAAAGTACAATTAAGTGCAAAACTACAAGGAGTTTATAAAAATGTATCCATAGTCCCATCATTTGAAAACAGCCACTCTTCCCGGGATTTGGTATATATCCTTCCATTGACGCTGTCTAGGGCTGATGATTTTATAGGAATAGCTATTGCCCAACTTTCTTGTATATATAATTAAAATTCTGATTAGATTTTCCAACTCTTTGTTTTTGTCTGTATATTTCCCCACTACAAGGTCATAAAGATACACTTTTGCATATTCTGCTAAATATTTAAAATTTTGCCTCTCACATTTAAGCCTTTAAGTTATCTGAAGTTTACGTTTATACATAGGGATTAGTTTTAGGTTTTTAAGTTATGGATAACCAGTTGTCCCCAGACCACTAATCTCTGCAACTCTATCATATATTAGCTTCGCAAATATTTTACATTAGATTTTAATATGAAATTAATAGGAGATAATGTGTAAGAAATACTTTTCTTCTATTTCCCATCTTTAACTTGGTTTTTATTTAGTTATCCTAAATAAATATTCTTCTTAATCCCAAGGTAAGTACAGCAACCTTTTTATTTTTAAAAGCAGTTACTCTTGTGAAAAACGTATTTGCATCAGTAGTTGCAAAATTAAGTTTGATGTAATTTGAAGTCATTAACAACCTTTTGGTTTTCTGCTCTTATGTTTTAGATATGCATCTCTTGCTTTTACAAAAAACAGCGATGCAAAGATAGCTGTGAAAGAAATGAATGGGATAGAAATAAATGGAAAGTCAGTAAATGTGTGGCCTGTTAAAATTCTTGGAGAATATACATCACCACTTTCCTCCAAAAATGGGAATAGAATTAGTTCGAATAATTTAGAGAAAAGCACCAACAAACAAATCCACTCAGAATTCTCCATTTCTAGATTGCCCAGAACTAGGCCACGGCAGCTGGGTTCTGAGCAAGACAGTGAGGTTTTCCCTTCCGACCAGGTTAGTGTTTTTGATAGATCCCTTAAATGGTCTTTGTACGTCATATTGCTGTAAGTAGCTTTGTAGAATAAATAACTTCAATATGCAGTCTTGAAATGGGAATGACAGCATTAATCTGAATTGTTTTCAACCTTGAATCCACCTCAACCTGCTTTTGTACAACTCCAATTGTTCCTGGGGGGAAATCTAGATCTTTGTAGACCAAGCTAACGAAAAACTCGTTTTAACTAGGCTCTTTGCCAGTCTTTCGCCGTCTTTTTATTACTACTCTATAAGTAACTAATTATAATTTCATCTTTATTTTTCTTTCATAGCTAACTTTATCTCATAATTGTTAAAACCGTAAAATGTAGTCATTGTATTTTCATATATTCTCATGTCTCTCTTATGGAGGTAAACACCCTGTGAAAAGTGGTAAAGTTTGCCTTGTTCAGTCTTTTCTCTCCACTGCTCAGCAAATTGCCTGGAGTCCCATAGGCATTCCACAGATTTTAAAAAAAAAATTACGCACAGTAAAATTCAATACTTTTTGGTGCCTATAGCTTTAGACAAATGCATATAGGCAAGTCACCACCACCATAATCAAGATTCAGAACAGTTCCATCACTCCAGAGAATTATCTTGTGCTCTGATCTGTTTCCTATTCTTAAAACTTGACCTTTTTCAGAATGTTATATAAATGAAATTATACTATATAGCCCTGTTAGCCTGGCTTCTTTCCCTGAATGCATTTGAGATTGATCCATGTTGTTGTGTATACTGGTATTTTATTCCTGCTTATGTTGTGTCCATTTTTATTCAGTTTATTTTATTATTGAATTTTGATTTTTTAATATTCTGATTTTAAGTCCTTTACCAGATAGGTGATTTGCAAATAATTTTTCTCACTTCGTGCCTTGTCTTTTCATTCCCTTAACAGTGTCTTTCTCAGAACAGGGATTTTTTTTAGTATTTATGAAGTATAATTTATTAATTTTTTTCATTTATAATGTATGCTTTTAGTGTTGAAGCTAAGAAATCTTAGCATAATCCAAGGTCACAGAGATTTTGAGTTAATTTTTATATATTGTTTCAGGTATTTGTTGAGGTAATTATTGTTTATTTGCATTTGTTTCTGTTTTGCATATGGAATAGTTCCAGCATCATTTGTTAAAAAGATGATCCTATTTCTGTTGAATTACCTTTGCACCTTGGTCAAAAATCAATTGACCATGTTTGTGTGAGTCTATTTTTAGACTGGAACTGTTTCGCTGAACTGTCTCTTTCTACCCATAGTACACTGTCTTCATTACTGTAGCTTCATAGTAAGTTTTGAAATCAGGTGGGATGAGTCCTCTAACTTTATTCTTTTTCAGAGTTATTGTAGCTATTTAGTCTCTTTGCCTTGCTGTATACTTTTATAATTCACCGTCTATCTACAAAAAAAAAAAATCCTACTTGGATTTTTGCTGGGATTATTTTGAATCCATAGATCAGCACAAGAATAAATACTTGTTGAATAAATGTATCTGATTTTTTCCCTTAATAAGATAAAGGGATCTCTTCTAACTGTGTCCTTTATCCAGTCCTTTCCTCATTCCTGGAGTTATCCCATTCCTTTTCTCTACTATTAGCAACTCCGCTTCCACTCACAGACCTTCGCCTGTACTCCAAGTCAGGCACAGCCCTTCCTAATCCTGACAGGATTTTCACTTGACTTTGCATTCCTTTAACTTTACCATCCTTATTTGTCCTTTTTTTTGGGGGGGGGGGGGTTTGTCTTTGTTTTTGTTTGTTTTGTTTTGTTTTGTTTTTTTGAGATGGAGTCTCATTCTGTCGCCCAGGCTGGAGTGCAGTGGCGCAATCTCAGTTCACTGCAACTTCTGCCTCCTGGGTTCAAGCAATTCTCCTGCCTCAGCCTCCTGAGTAGCTGGGATTATAGGAAGCTACTACCTTGCCTGGCTAATTTTTGTGTGTTTTTAGTACACATGGGGTTTCACCATGTTGGCCAGGCTCATCTTGAATTCCTGACCTCAAGTCATCTGCTCACCTCGGCCTCCCAAAATGCTGGTATTACTGGCCTGAGCCACCACACCCAGCCTATCCTATGTTTTTATTGCCAAACTTCTCAATCAAGTAGGTTATATTCAATGTCTGTTTCTTTGCTTCTCTTTTGTCCCGATAATCTGACTTCAGTCTCTAAAATTTTACCTCAACGGCCCTTTTCATAAGGCACTAGTGACCTTTTATTTGTCTTTCCCTCATCTGCCTTCCTCTTTACTACTTTACCTGTTTGACACTGTTCATCCCTTTCTTGAAACTTTTCCTTTCATCTCAGTGACCCTTCATGTGTGGGATTGATTTGTTTGGTACATAGCCTCGATCTACAGCAGGAAGGAAGGAAATAAAGTGCAGTGAAGCTGCGTGGGGCCCTGAGCTGGAGGTTTGGGAACTGTGGCTCTCCCTTTCTTCTCTCGTGTAGCACATGTGGTCTCCTGCCTCTGCTCTCCCTGTGTTCATTCCCCTTATTCCCCTCTCTCTACAGACTGCTTTTCTCTGCTCATGACTGCTTTCTTCCCCCATTTGGCTTTGTTTTGCTTGATTCTAACTCTGTATTTTCAATTCAAGTCCCTGTGATTTGAGTAATTCATTTGCTTCATGTTCTAATTTCAGTCTTTTTTTTTTTTTTTTGAGACAGGATCTCACTCTGTCACCCAGGCTGGGGTGCAGTGGCACAACCACAGCTCACTGTAGCCTTGAAGTCCTGGGCTCAAGCAATCCTCCCACCTCAGCCTCCCAAGTAGCTGGGACTGCAGGTGTGTCATCATGCCCAGCTAATTTTTGTATTTTTCTGTAGAGACCAGGTCGTGCTATGTTGCCCAGGCTGGTCTCAAACTCCTGTCCTCAAGTGATCCTTCCACCTTGGCCTCCCAAAGTGCTGGGATTACAGGTGTGAGCCACCACACCCTGCTAATTCCACATGCTTTAGACAGGAAATTGAATTGATCCAGGCTGTGATTTTGATGTTCATTAGCTCAGGCAGCAACACTCTTGGTCCTGTCAGCTGTGGCAGTGGGCCATGGGGTTGGGAGAGAGACGTTATAAAGAGGGCCGTACAGGCTGTTGGTAGGAGTATGTGGATAGGGAAGCTCCTGTAACCATCTTTGTTAAACTATACTCCAAGTTCTCTTTCCTTTCTGGCAATTTCTTGTTCCCTTGTTCTTTTTCTGATTCTCAACATTATTATTTATTCTATTCATTTAGAAAATATTGATTGTCTACAATGAGAAGCAGAATCGTGGTGATTAATAAAAACTCTTCGATTCATAACCTGGCTCTGCCACTTACTCACCATGTGACTCTGGAAAACTAATCTAACCTTTCCGTTTCTGAGCTTCCTTATCTTAAAATGGAGATGAGAGCCATTACCTCACAAATGTTGATGAGCTTAAATAAGCTTAATACAGAAAAATTTTTAGAACGGTGCCTACCATGGAAGATGTACCCAGAAAATATTAGCTGTTGTTGTTATTACTTACCAATAATTTGGCTTCTTTCTTGGAGAGCACTTAACTTCAACTGTCACTTAAACTATTGTATCCCAAACTTTTTATTTATTAAACAAATAGTTATTACATACCAACTGTGTACACTATTCTAGGCACTGGGAAAGCAACAATGAACAAAAGAGACAAAAATCTGTACTCTTAAGGAGCTAAAATCTAGTGAGGGAGATAAGGCAATAAACAAGCAAGTGAAAGATACAATGTTCTGATGTGAAAGGTCCAGTATATCATGTGTCTTGCCCTGACTTTTCATCGAGGCTTTAAAGTCTGAGTCCTTCCTTTGTTGAACTTTTATGGGATTTACAGTGGTTTTCTACAATTTATAGCCTACTTGCAGTGTTAACAGTAACTAATTGGTCATTTTAATTTTGTCTCTTCGCAATAGAGGGTTCTGTTTTATGTCACTATAGTTTTTCCCCCACAGCATATAGTGCACTTCTGGGCATACAATTTGTATTCATTACATACAGCATATAGTAAATACAATGTAAAATATCTCTAATTACTGTGTAGCCTTTCTTAGGTTGGTTAAGAGAATTAAGCCTTAATGCCCTAAGCCTAAAACATTTATTTAATGAATGAATCTCTCTCCTGTGCATCCAAAATGAAACTAGTTATGTCCTATCTTTGAGAGAATTGAGAAAGTAGTTACATCATTTTCTGTGTTCTATGGTTCAGATGAGGAATCTGGTTGAGAAAGCCTTATTTAGACATAGCCTCCTATAGTTTATCAGTAAGAAAAAATGTTGGGTATGTTTTGTACTACATGGCCCTGAAACACAGCTCAAGTAAATGCAATTGGTATAAACAATCCCAAGTTAAAGTAAATTTTTAAGGAATTTTTATTTTATTATTTTAATTTTCAAATATATTATTGTTGAATAAGCGGTATTATCTTTATGTAATGGTCCTTACTGATTTTAAGAAAACTTTTTAAATGCTTATTTAGGGTGTCAAGAAGAATTGTAAGCAGATTGAATCTGCTAAATTATTACCTGATACACCCGTTCAATTCATACCTCCAAATACATTGAACCTTCGTAGCTTTACCAAGATCATAAAGAGACTGGCTGAACTGCATCCAGAAGTCAGCAGGTAATAACCAAAATTATATTTTAACTGCTTTAAAACTTCTGTGTAAAAATATAGTTCAAGTTAATAACTTAGATATATTCAGAATGTATTCCTTTGGAAAAGACAAATACTCATGTATGTTTTCCTTTTTCATAGAGACCATATTATAAATGCACTTCAGGAAGTGAGAATAAGACATAAAGGTTTTCTGAATGGCTTATCTATTACTACTATTGTGGAGATGACTTCATCTCTTCTGAAAAACTCTGCTTCCAGTTAGGAATTCAAAAAACAATAAAGAGGTAAAGTAATCATATTCTTTTGTATTTGAATATTACTTAAAATTTATAAGCTATTGATTTCATTTTCTTTTTACATAAAAAACATATTAAATTTAAAATAATAATATAATCACAAAATAATATGAAATTTTAAAACAAGCATACTGTAATTAGTTAACTACTAAGGCAAAACTAATTACCCTAAAATTGACTGGCTTAAACAACACTCATAAACTCACAGTTTGCAGATCAGGATTCAGGAGTGACTTAGCCGGGTAGTTTTAGCTCAGGGTTTTTCATGTTGCAGTCAAGATGTTGGCCTGGACTGTAGTCATTCAGAGGCTTCCCTGAGACCAGAGGATCTGCTTCTCAGGGGGCTCATTCACATGTCTGTTGGCAAGAGGCCTCAGTTCCTCACCACATAGGCTCTTCCATAAGGCTCTTCAAATGTCTTTGCATCATGGCAGCTGGCTTCCCCTAAGCAAGAGAGAGAGAGAGCAAGATGGAAGCTGCATTGTCTTGTATTATCTACCCTCAGTAGTCGCAGATACTGCAATTTTTACATACCGAAGGTTTGTGGCAACCCTGCATCAAGCAAGTCTATCAGCGCCATTTTTCCAACAATGTTTACCCACTTTGTGTCTGTGTCACATTTTGGTAATTCATACAACATTTCAAACTTTTTTGTGACGCCTGTATGGTGATTGTGATCAGTGATCTTTGTTACTATTGTAATTATTTTGGGGCACTTTGAACTGCACCCATATAAAACAGCAAATTTTATAAATGTGTGTGTTCTGACGACTCCACTCACTGGCTGTTTCCCCATCTCTTTCCCTCTCTTTGGTCTTCCCTATTCCTTGAGACACTATATTGAAATTAGGCCAACTGATAATCCTACAATGGCCTGTAAGTATTCCAGGGAAAGAAAGAGTCACATTAAATGACTCTTAAAAGAAAGAGCTCACTTTAAGTCGAAAGCTAGAAATGATTAAGCTTAGTGAGGAAGGCATGTCAAAAGCCAAGATAGGCTGAAAACTGGGCCTTTTGTACCAGTTAGCCACGTGGTTCATTGTCGTGAAGCCAATGAGGAAAAGTTATTGATGGGATTACAAGTGCTACTCCAGTGGACAGGAGAATGATAACAAAGTGAAACAACCTTATTGCTGATATGGTGAAAATTTTAGTAGTCTGTGTAGAAGATCATAGCAGCCACAACATTGCCTTAAGCCAAAGCCTAATTCAGAGCAAGGACCTCTTTTCCATTATTTGAAGGTGATGAGAGAGGGGAGGAAGCTGAGGAAGAAAAGTGTGAAGCTAACAGAGGGTTGGTTAGTTCATGAGGTTTAAAGAAATAAGCCATCTTTTTTTTTTTTTCCTGAGATTTTGGTGCACCCATCGCCCAAGCCCTGAGCAGTGTACACTATACCCAACATATAGTCTTCTATCCTTCACCCCACTCCCACCCTTTCCCTCAGTCCCCAAAGTCCAATGTATCATTCTAAGAAGTCGTCTTTCTAACAAAAGTGCAATGTGAAGCAGCAAATGCTGATGTAGAAGCTGTAGCAAGATGCCCAGAAGATCTAAGTTAGATAATTGATGACGGTAGCCACACTAAACAGCAGATTTTCAGTGTAGAAGAAACAGCCATCTACTGAAAGAAGATGCCATCTGGGACTTTCACAGCTTGAGAGGAAAAGTCAATTCCTAGCTTCAAAGGACAGGCACGCTCTCTTGTTAGGGGCTAATGCAGCTGTTGACTTTAAGTTCAAGCTGATGCTCATTTACCGTTCTGAAAATTCAAGGGCCCTTAGGAATTACACTAAATCTACTCTGCCTCCACTCTGTGAATGGAACAACAAAGCCTGGATGACAACACATCTGTTTATAGCATGGAGGTTTTTTGGGTTTTGTTCTTTTTTTAGAGATAGGGTCTTGCTATCACCTAGGCTGGAGTGCAGTGACACAATCATAGCTCACTGCAACCCTAAACTCTTGGACTCAAAAGATCCTCCTGCCTCAGTCTCCTAAGTGCTAGAACTACAGTAGGTGCATGCCACCATACCCTGCTACTTTCTTTTTAAATTTCAACCTTTCAGCCAGGCACAGTGGCTCACGCCTGTAATCCCAGCACTTTGGGAGGCCGAGGCGGGTGGATCACAAGGTCAAGAGATCGAGACCATCCTGGCCAACATGGTGAAACCCCGTCTCTACTAAAAATACAAAAATTAGCTGGGCGTGGTGGCGTGCACCTATAGTCCCAGCTATTCGGGAGGCTGAGGCAAGAGAATCACTTGAACCTGGGAGGCAGAGGTTGCAGTGAGCTGAGATTGCGCCACTGCACTACAGCCTGGCGACAGAGCGAGACTCCGTCTCAAAAAAAAAAAAAAAAAAAATTAAACCTTTTGTAGAGACAGGGTCTCACCTATGTTGCCCAGGCTGGTCTCATATTCCTGGCCTTAAGCAATTCTCCCACTTTAGCCTCCCAAAGTGCTAGGGATTACAGGCATGAGCCACTGAGCCCAGCCTGCAGCATAGTTTACTGAATCCCTGGACTCAAGCAGTCCTCCTGACTCAGCCTCCCTCAGTAGCTGGGATTAGAGGCACATACCACCATGCCAGGATAATTTTGTTTGTTTGTTTGTTTTAGAGGTTGGGTCTTACCATGTTACCCAGGCTGGTTTACTGAATCTTTTAAGCTCACCATTGAGACCTACTACTCAGAAAAAAAATATATTTCTTTCAAAATACTATTGCTCATTGACAATGCACTTAGTCACCAAGAACTCTGATGGAGATGTAGAAGGAAATTAATGGGGTTTTTTTTATGCCTGCTAACACAACATCCATTCTGCAGCCTATGGATCAAGGAGTAATTTTGACTCAAGTCTTAAATATTTAAGAAATACATTTCATAAGGTTATAGCTGTCATAGCTGATTCTCTAATGGATCTGGACAAAGTAAATTGAAAACTTTATGGAAAGGAGTCACCATTCTAGATGCCATTAAGAATATTTATTATTCATGAGAGGAGGTAAAAATATCAATATTCACAAGAGTTTGGAAGAAGTTGAATGCAACTCATGGATGACTTTAAGGGGTTCAAGACTTCAGTGGAGGAAGTAACTGCTGATGCGGTAGACATAGCAAGACAATTCAAATTAGAAGTGGAGCCTGAAGATGTGACTGAATTGCTGCAACCTCATGATAAAATTTGAATAGATGAGAAGTTCCTTATTGTGGATAAGCAAAGAAAGTGCTCTCTTTTTTTATTATTTGTTATTTTTGTAGAGATGGGATCTTGTTATTTTTCCCAGGCTGGTCTCAAACTTCTGGCCTCAAGCAATTCTCCCACTCAGCCTCCCAAAGTGCTGGAATTACAGGTGTGAGCCACTGTGCCCAGCCCAGAAAATGCTTTCTTGAGATGCAGTCTACTACTGGTGAACATGCTGTGAACATTGTTGAAATAACAACAGAGGATTTGGAATAGTACATAAACTTAGGTGACAAAGCAGTGGCAAAGTTTGAGGGTGTTTAAAAAAAAGTTTAAGGAAATTGACTCCAATTTTGAAAGAAGTCCTTCTCTGGGTAAAATGCTATCATACAGAATCTCAAGCTACAGAGAAATCTTTTGTGAATGAAGGAGTCAATTGATGCAGCAAACTTCATTGTTGTCTTATTTTAAGAAGTTGCCACAGCCACTCCAGCCTTCAGCATGACATGAGTACATCAGAGAAAAACTGCTTGAAAAATTAAAGCCTATAAGAACTATAAAGCAGCTGGAGGGAGAAAGTTTACCTTAAGAGTGCAACAGTTAGATTCACAGCTGACTCGCAACAGAAGTCACCAAACAATTCTCCAAGCCCAAAGCTCTAGACCCAGGAAGAGAGCCTTCAAAAATAAATGTAAAATAACTAATTATCTTGCAAATAAAAAAACTAAGATAATTTGTTACTTTAGAAGAAGCCCTACTCTAAAGAAAATACCAGAATGTTCTCTGGGGAAAAAAGTGATTTTAAATGAAAGGTCAGAGGTACAGGAGACATGAAGATCAACGAAGATTAAATATGTGGTAGGTCTCAATCAATATTGACTGTAGAAACAAAAATAATGATGTTTTATAGGTTCTAATATAATTAAAATACATGAAAATACTAATACATAAGTTGAGAGGGGATTAAGTATTCTTACTAAACACCTTGCAGTTTGGGAAGAGAGTAAGATGTTCTGTGTTGGGGGTACTCAAGACCACCCCAAGCTTCATTATATGCTAGGAGGACTCACATTACTCAGTATATAGATGTATTCATGGCTATGATTTATTACAGCAACAAAATATGAAGCAAAATCAGCAAAGGGAAAAGGTACATAAGGTAAAGTCTGGAGGAAACAGGGTTCCAAAAGTCCTTTTCCAGTGGAATCACACAAGATGTGCTTAATTTCAATGAATTGTGACACCTATAAAATGTTGTCTACCAGGGAAGCTCATTAAAGACTCAGTGCCCAAGGATTTTACTGGGGGATGGTCATGTAGTTGCCCTCTGCCTAGCACATACTGTAGCTCCAGGCTGTCAGGGAGCAGCAATTCAACATAAACCACATTGTTTGTATAGCAGTTTTAGTATAGTGAGGCACTCATCATTTCTGGAAATGGTGGGAACCCCCACCCCAAAATCACAAGTTCCTAGTTACCAGCCAGGGGCCAACCTTGCAAGCAGGTCTTTCTAAGGATGGCAGTCTTAGGCCTGCTACTTTAACCCTTTTTCTACATATGTGCCAGTTGATATCAGAACAACGAATCCATGTTGTAAATCTGGGGGCAACTACTAAAAGAACAATTTTCTTTTTTTGGGTGTGGGGAGGGGTTGGTTTGTTTTTGTTTTTTGTTTTGAGACGGAGTCACTCAGTCGCCCAGGCTGGAGTACAATGGCGCGATCTCAGCTCACTGCAACCTCCACCTCCCAGATTCAAGCGATTCTGCCTCAGCCTCCCAAGTAGCTGAGACTACAGTCACGCGCCAACACGTCCATCTAATTTTTGTGTTTTTAGTAGAGACGGGGTTTCACCATGTTGGCCAGGATGGTCTCGATCTCTTGACCTTGTGATCCGCCCGCCTTGGCCTCCCAAAGTGCTAGGATTACAGGCATGAGCCACTGCGCCCGGCCCCTAAAAGAACAATTTTCAAAAGCATGCAGAAAGTGAAGTTGGACCTTTACCTTACACCATATCCAAAAATCAACTAAAATGAATCAACAACTTAAACATAAGAGTTAAAATTATAAAACTCTTAGAAGAAAACGGTGGAAAACTTTTGCAGTATTGGATTTAGCACTGATTTGGATATGACAACAAAAGCATGGACAACAAAAGAAGATACATATATTAGACTTCATCAAAATCAAGAACTTGAACATCAAAGGACACTATCAAAAGAGTGAAAAGGCAGCCCATAGAATGAGAAAATATTTATAAATCATATATCTGATAAGGGGTTAATACCCAGAATAGGCTGGGGAGGGGGTGGCTCACGCCAGTAATCCCAACACTTTGGGAGGAAGGCAAATCGCTTGATGCCAGGAATCCAAAACCAGCCTGGGCAACATGGTGAAACCCCATCTCCACAAAAAATACGAAAATTAGCCGAGCATGATAGCACATACCTATAGTCCTAGCTACTCAGGAGGCTGAAGTGAAGGATCCCTTGAGCCTGGGAGGCAGAAGTTTCAGTGAGCTGAGATTACACCGCTGCACTCCAGTCTGGGTGATAGAGCAAGACTCTATCTCAAAAAAAAAAAAAAAAAAAAAAAGGGCACACGGCACATAGACCAATGGAACAGAATAGAAACCTCAGAAAATAATGCACACTTGTAACAATCTGATCTTCAACGAAGTCAACAAAAACAAGCAATGGAGAAAGGACTCCCTATTCAATAAATGGTGCTGGGATAACTGGTTAGCCATATGCAGAAGACTGAAACTAGACCCCTTCCTTATACCATATACAAAAGTCAACTCAACATGGATTAAAGACTTAAGTGTACAGCCTAAAACTTATAAAAACCCTTGAAGAAAACCTAAGAATTACCATTCTGGACAGTAGGACAATTACATTCTGGCCAAGATTTCATGATGAAGATGCCAAAAGCAATTACAACAAAAAAATTGACAAATGGGACCTAATTAAACTAAAGAGCTTGTGCACAGCAAAAGAAACTATCAACAGAGTAAACAGATAACCCACAGAATATGAGAAAATATTTGCAAACTATGTATCTGACAAAGGTCTAATATGCAGAATCTGTAAGGAACTTAAATTAACAAGAAAAAAATAACCCCATTAAAAAATGGGTGAAGGACATGAACAGACATTTGTCTCAAAAGAATACATTCACGTGGCCAACAAGCATATGAAAAAATGCTCAGTATCACTAATCATTGGAGAAATGCAAGTCAAAACCACAAGATACCATCTTATACCACCCAGAATGGCTATTACTAAATAAAGTCAAAAAATAACAGATGCTAACAAGGTTGTAGAGAAAAGGGAATGCCTATGCACTGTTGGTGGGAATGTAAATTAGTTCAGTCATTGTGGAAAGCAGTTTGGTGATTTCTCAAAGAACTTAAAACAGAACTACCATTCGGGCCAGCAATCCCATTGTTGAGTATATGCCCAAAGGAATGTAAATCATTGTACCATAAAGACACATGCATGTGCATATTTATCACAGCACTATTCACAATAGCAGAGACATGAAATCAACCTAAATGCCCATCCGTGGTAGACTGGATAAAGATAAGTGTATATATACACCATGGAGTACTATGCAGCCATAAAAAAGAATGAGATGATGTGCTTTGCAGCAGTATGGATGGAGCTAGAGGCCGTTATCCTAAGCAAACTAATGCAGGAACAGAAAACCAAATACCACGTGATCTTACTTATAAATGGCAGCTAAACTTTGAGTACACATGGACAAAGAAGGGAACAGCAGACACTGCAGCCTACTTAATGTTAGACGGTAGGAGGAGGGTGAGGATCAAAACACTACCTATCTGGTACCACGCTTATTACCTGGATGATGAAATAATCTATACACTAAACCCTGCAACATGTAATTTATCTATATCGATATAACGAACCTGCACATATGCCCCTGAAACTAAAACAGAAGTTTAAAATAAAATATCTGATTTTTCTTTATTAAAATGAAATAAAATGAGAGGCATGTGAAAGAAATATGAGTTAAAATGATTGCTAGATACAAAGACAAGACACAAAAATTAATTGCAATTCTCACTATCCATGATGTAAGAAAAATGAAATTTGTTAAAAGATATTCTAGTACCATTAGAAACAATCAAGTGTCTAGGAATGTACTTAACAAAAGATACTCAACAATCATTGTTGATTTCTCCTTTCTTTTGATTCTAGAACTTCCTTGGAAAGTGTGTTTCCTCCTTCAGAGAATGTTCTACAGCACTTAGGAAAAAGTAGTAATAACAAGATGATGTAATTAAATAGGCTCTATAAATGGGCTAAGCTGTTAAAATATTCTACTTTATATCCCTCCTTTAAAATCTAGCAACAGTTGTCTATACAATATTAAGATCTTCTCTATATATTTAAAGTTAAAATATAATTTTTAATAAGTTTTTAAATTTTTTTATTTCAATTTTGTTACTTAGAACATTAAGATGCATATTTGTGATCTAAAGAAATTGTCTTGTCCATTTTAAAAACCTTTATTAAGTCACTTTTAAAATGTATTGACCAAGAAGGAGGTTTGTTGTTACATCAATGTTTGTGAAATGATTTCCATACATAAAAAATGTAATTTACCTGAACTTTGTCTTAAGACTCTTACATTGGATTATAGGATAACAGATAAATAAACTGTATAGATACATTCAGTATCATACAACATTTTGGAATGTGTATGCTTTCAGGCTTCCAAGATAATTAAATTACTGTCATGATACATTTCATGCATTTTTTATGACTTCAGTATAAAACATTCAGGTGTGTTAGCCTTCCCTGGGAAGGGTAAACTTGTATGTGCTTTGGTAAAGTACTTAAATTCCAATGTTCCCTATAGTGCTTGCATTCATTTTGTGAAAAGTTTTGTTGTATTGTTAGAACAATTTTCAAAGGCTGATTTTATGCCTTATCTGATAGAAATATAGAATAGATAGTTCTTTAATTGCTTACTTTTTAAAAGTAATATAATATTTAAGTTGCATTTTTATTAATAGTAAGATTAACATTTAAGTCTGCATTTTCTTTAAATGTTTTAAATGTTTATAGCATTCAATGTGTAGTTGGATTTACTTGACTAAAAATTAGCCCTTTAACGTTTATATTTGTTGTATTTATATTTAATAAAGGCATCTAATCTTTAGTACCACTGTGAATTTAATGCTTTCTTCAGGTTCAGTGGCATTTTCTTTTTTGTTTTTCCAGAATAACAAATATTCTTTATTTATTTTATTTATTTTAATTGCCAGATAGTAGTTGTACATATTCATGGGGCACGTAGTAATGTTTTCATATACATAATGCATTTTAATCAAATCAGAGTAGTTAGCATATTTATCATCTCAAACATTTATCATTTGTTTGTCTTGGGAACATTCAATATCCCACTTGTAGCTATGTGAAATTATATATTATTGTTAACTATAGCCATCCTATAGTGGTACAGAAAGCTAGAACTCATTCCTC